>NC_000010.11:91506731-91809761 GCF_000001405.40 Homo sapiens | reverse complement strand
GAGACAGGCAGTAGATAGGTCCTTAAGGTTTTAGAATGCTATGTGCCATAGTCTAGGTGACAGATGATAAGGGCTAAGATTTTTTTTTTTTTTTTTGAGACAGAGTCCCGCTGTTTAGCCCAGGCCGGATTGCAGTGGCGCAATCTCGGCTCACTGCAAGCTCCGCCTCCCAGGTTCACGCCATTCTCCTGCCTCAGCCTCCCGAGTAGCTGGGACTACAGGCGCCCGCCACCACGCCCAGCTAATTTTTTGTATTTTTAGTAGAGACGGGGTTTCACCGTGTTAGCCAAGATGGTCTCGATCTCCTGACCTTGTGATCCGCCCGCCTCGGCCTCCCAAAGTGCTGGGATTACAGGCGTGAGCCACCGCGCCCAGCCCAGATGATAAGGGCTAAGATTAAGACTGATTTGGTTAGGATAGTATACCCACATGGTTCATGTGAACACCATAGGTAATACTCACATGGCTGGTGAAGCCTTCCTCCCACCCCTATTCCCAGCTTCCCAGTTCCCTTCCTTCTGGTTACCACTTTTTTTCACATACGTTGAAGTTATTTTATATACATGCAAGCAAACATCTGCTAATATATATCTTTAAAGATAGTGTTTACATCTTCCTTTCTTAAAAAACATCTATTATTAATAATATCCCAGAAATCAACTCCTATCAGTATTTTATATATTTTCTTGATTGGGAGTATCAAAATGTAACTAGTTCCATTCTCATACATAGTTAGGTTGTTTCCAATCTTACTACTATACACACTACTGCCAAGGTTTTTGGCCTCAGTAATGGAAGAGTGAAGTTGCCATCAACAGCAATGGGGGCAAGGCTGCAGATGAAAATAGGTTTGTGGCAGAAGATGAAGAGTCCAAGTTTTAGACATGTCATATCTCACTGAGGGCTTATTGCTTCCTCTACCTAATTTCTAAATATTGGGATTCCTCAAGACTCAGTTCTCTAACCTCTTTTTAGATAATCTTATCTGATCCCATGGCTTTAAATACCACCTAGATACACAACCCTCAGATTTAAATCTCCAGTCTACACTTTTCACCCAAATTCCAGAATGTTTGCTTAACATATTTCCTTCTGGATATTTTAAAGGTATCTCAAACTCAACACGTTTCCAACTTCTATTTCCACTGACATTACCTTACTCCAACCACTATCACCTCCAGCATAAGCTCCTGCAATGTCTCCCCTAAATAGGTCTCTCATTTCCACTTGTCTCTAGTGACCTTTTAAAAATAATAATATCACAGCCCTGTTTAAAATAATTCCTTGGCTTCCCACTGATGCTCTCAGAATAAAATTCAAACACTCTACTATGGCCTTAAAAGCTCCTTCATGAACTGGCCCTCAACTTCTTCTCTAATTTCATTTCACACGATTCTTCCCTTTCCCAACTATAATATACTTTCAGTTTGTCAAGTATGTCAGCGACTTGGTACATGCCACCCTTCTGCTTGGAATGCTCTTCCCTTGCACAAAGCATCCTCACTTCTACTCATTACCTGGTTTGTTTAAATGTCACCTCCTTAAGAAGGCTATCCCTGACCATCCCATCTAAAATAGTCCCTTCTGCCCATCCACATTTTTTCCTATCTTCACACCATTTAGTTGGTCTATCTCCCACCTCCTTCACTAGAATGCAAGCTCCATACAACAGGGATTTTTGTCTTTGCTGTTCATAGCAGTATTTGTCACTTATTAAAATTTGTAATTACTGCCTTATTTTCTAGACTCTTTTTTTTTTTTTTTTTGAGACAGAGTCTCGCTCTGTCCCCCAGGCTGAAGTGCAGTGGCCCAATCTCAGCTCACTGCAAGCTCTGCCTCCCGGGTTCATGCCATTCTCCTGCTTCAGCCTCCAGAGTAGCTGGGGCTACAGGTGCCCGCCACCACGCCTGGCTAATTTTTTTTGTATTTTTAGTAAAGGGGGGGTTTCACCATGTTAGCCAGGATGGTCTCGATCTCCTGACCTCGTGAGCCGCTCGCCTCGGCCTCCCGAAGTGCTGGGATTACAGGCATGAGCCACTGCGCCCGGCATTTTCTAGACTCTTAGTTCCATGAAGGACAAGAGCCATGTGCATCTTAATTCATCACTACTTCCCCAGCATCCTTTAGAGTACATGGTACAGAGCAATTTGTTGACATTTGCTGAATTAAGGTATCACAGTATATGAAAAGGAGTCTGAGAAGTAAAGCTAAGAAAGAATGGCATTGCAGGACTCGCGTCGGTTGGCGACTCCCGGACGTAGGTAGTTTGTTGGGCCGGGTTCTGAGGCCTTGCTTCTCTTTACTTTTCCACTCTAGGCCACGATGCCGCAGTACCAGACCTGGGAGGAGTTCAGCCGCGCTGCCGAGAAGCTTTACCTCGCTGACCCTATGAAGGCACGTGTGGTTCTCAAATATAGGCATTCTGATGGGAACTTGTGTGTTAAAGTAACAGATGATTTAGTTTGTTTGGTGTATAAAACAGACCAAGCTCAAGATGTAAAGAAGATTGAGAAATTCCACAGTCAACTAATGCGACTTATGGTAGCCAAGGAAGCCCGCAATGTTACCATGGAAACTGAGTGAATGGTTTGAAATGAAGACTTTGTCGTGTACTTAGGAAGTAAATATCTTTTGAATTAGAGAAAGTGTTGGGACAGAAAGTACTTTATGTAACTAAGTGGACTGTTCAGAAGCTTAGAGGTCATTTTTTGTAATTTTCTTTTTAATGTTTACTTTAGAGAGCTAGGGATGCAAATGTTTTCAGTTAGAAAGCCTTTATTTACTTTTGGAAACTGAACAAGAAATGCATCTGTCTTAGAAACTGGAGATTATTTGATGTTAGGTAAAACATGTAATTGTTTCTCTGGCAAATTTGTATCAGTAATTTGAAAATGAGATATTAGGAAAAACCAATTCTTCTTAAATTTAGTTCATCTTTCCTTAAAAGAACATTAAATGTAACCATTTTGTCAGATCCATGTATTTTGGAGCATAAAATGTATGCTGTTGTGACCAATAAATATAAAATATGGTAATTGGAATTAACCCCACACCATAGTATGCATTGTTATACATACTGTGTACCTAATTATGTATAGCAGTGTAGTCTCAATTATATCTAAAAGTAATTGTGACTAACAAGTATGCTTTGCCTTATTTCCACATTTAAAGTACCTGTTAATATAAGGGATTTGTAGTATCAGCTTGTTGAGCAATGACTTTGAATCTAGTTTTCAGTGATCAGAAGCAGCATTTATTTGAGTGTATGAATGGAATGATGATCACTGTGCTATAATGTACTGAAACCACCATATTACAGAAATATTTACTACATATTTTCCATCTGTAGTTTCTCAGAAGGGCTATGGATTAGTTTGAACTGTCAAATCCTTGCATACTTCTGTGACACCCCTGCCCATTTTCTGTCTTTAATTAACCAAGGTGTTAGGTGTTACTGTCACAACTGTTATGTTTTCCAGTAAACTAGAAGTACGATATTTGATAATTATATTTGTATCCTAAATTTCACCACCTAAATGTAATGTTGATTCCTCAAGAATGAAATGAAGGCACTACATTGAAATATGTTTTGTATAAATTTGTCATGTTGAACAACATTTTAGCATGGTAAGTTCCCTTAGCTATATGAATTTTGGCATGTTTCAGAGAGATCAGTAAATAAAATATTAGATAAAATATAAAAAAAAAAAAAAAAAAAAGAGAAAGAATGGCATTGCAGAAGCCAAGTAGGAAAATGTCAGAGGGGAAGGTCAGCTCTTGCTGTCATTAGCCCTGACTTCAGCCTTCCTTCCTGATCACTTCCTGGGCATTGCTGATCACACTGTCCTCCCCAAGTAGGTTATCTACAGTTGCCCTAATCTATGGTTCTGCTATCCCAACCACTTAGCACCCACCTGCAGGAAGTGCTTTTAGAAAAAGGCTTCTTAAATTGGAGAGTAAGAGAAAAAGAATCAAAATAAAGAAAAACCTGTAAAGCTACCTCTATAAAGTTATTTGATGTACCCAAGCATTTTAGAATAAGGATTACTATTCTTCAGCAGTAATAAGCATATCTGAAGTAATCAAAATGGTGACTCACAGGTTAACTCCCCCAGAAAGGAGAGTTAGATGTGCACAGAAATAGCTGGAGTAAAATAACTAGCTGTTATGAGAGACAGTGTCAACTGGGAAGATATCTGTCCCAAAGGATTGGTGATCTAAAGGAAGGTCAAGTAGTAGCCTTCTGTCAAAATAAGGCTGGAAAGAGAAGAGGGTTGCATGAAATCAGAGTTAAAGAGAAAGACATAACTGAAACTGAAGTTTTAGCTGAGGCGATCGATATGGGTAGAATGGGTAAAGTGATTATATCCACATAGTTACCAACATTCCAAGACACAGACTTCTGTGTCAATGTCTGTATCAACATGATTCCCTAGTCATTAAGATGTCTGAAACCAGTCTGGTGACTGATAGTAGAGGTATGATTTTACAGTCACACTGTAAGGACTACAATATGTGAGTGAATGTAATCTGCTATGCTGAGACAGTAGATTAATAGTCTGAGATTTTAATGTTTGAAGCCACATCTTGGGCACTTAAAGGAAATTATTTGGAGGCAGTCAATAGGTAGCTATGTTTAAAAAAAAAAAAAAAAGTTGCTTGGAGTTTGGCGAAATCTTTAGATTGAAGATACTTCCTGGCTGGGCACTGTGGCTCACACCTGTAATCCCAGCACTTTGGGAGACAGAGGTGGGTGGATCACCTGAGGTCAGGAATTCGAGACCACCATAGCCAACATGGTGAAACCCTGTTTCTACTAAAAATATAAAAATTAGCCAGGCGTGGTGGTACATACCTGTAATCCCAGCTACTCGGGAGGCTGAAGCAGGAGGCAGGAGAATTGCTTGAACCTGGGAGGTGGAGGTTGAAGTGAGCCAAGATCGCACCACTGCACTCCAGCCTGGGCGACAAGAGTGAAACTCTGTGCCTCACCCCCACAACCCCCAAAAAACCATACTTCCCAAACTGAGGAGTAATCCTTGATAAAATCTCTATTGTTATGGTCTCAAGAATAGTTCAAAGTACTTCTGTTAAGCACCAATTTCTGGAAGAAAAAATGCTCTGCAGGGTATATTCTGATCATGTTCTCACTGGCCAGGTAGAACATGAATAGGCATATCATCAGAGTCAATGTAAATCTCCATATTCTAAGGATCTCTTTATGAGGAACCAGAAGCCTAAATAAAGTTGGTAGTCATGGCTGCTCAGGACACACTGTAGTTTATTTTGTAATTATGGAACAGCACTCAACTTCAAACACTGTTCTACTTGTGAAAATTCTGATGAAACCATACACAGAGTATGAATCTACTATATAGTACTTACAGTGAAGCAAAGCAGGCCTATCTGTAAAGTATACTTGTTGACCACATTAACCATGTGTCAGTTAATGGCAGGTATTGTGTCCTGTTCATTTCAGTTTACTCAGGGACAAGGTCAGTGTCTGGCATATAGCAGGACTTGACAAACATTTGTTTAATGCATGTCTAATACTCTGCTGGAATAGGAAAGGATCCTCACAAAGAATATGGTGTTAATGATTTGTGAAAACAGAGAAAAGCAGCCTCTTGTCAAATTTATTACTTATCTAGATGCCATCAGTTTCAGCAACTCCAGGTACTGCTTGCTAACTATGACTATTGTTAATAATATCACATTTTGCTGCTACACTGGAAACATGCTTTCATCTGAATGGTTTCCCAAAAGCTGTGAGGCAGTCAAGTTCCTACAGAGAAACCAACTTAGACTCTTAGGAAGTTTAACTAAATGCTATCCCCCTCCTGTCTTTCATAGTCCAAAGGTGGGATTAATCACTGATAACACAATTGGTCCCATATGAGATGGTGATGTCTTGCAATATCTAAAGGTAGGCTATCACACAGGGTTTTGTCCAAAGGCAAAGTTCTGGAAAAATGTCAACAAATGCCACAAAACAAAGCTCCTGTAGTCTGGGAGATTGGAAGGTATAATCAAACAGCCTTCAGCTTTCAAGCAACCTTTAGCCAGGACTCTCAGTGACACATTTTTTCTGAGGAATGTCATTTTAAACTTCTCATTTACTATTTTGTGTTACAAGGTTTCCCTCTGTTGCCCAGCCTAGAGTGCAATGGCGCAATCTCGGCTCACTGCAGCCTTGGCTCAAGTAATCCTCTAACCTTAGCCTCCCAAGTAGCTAGGACTACAGGCCTGCACCACCATGCCTGGCTACTTTTTCTATTTTTTTGTAGAGATGGGGTTTCGCCATGTTGCCCAGGCTGCTCTTGAACTCTTAAGCTCAAGTGATACTCCTGTCTTTGCCTCCCAGAGTGTCAGTTCTGTGCCACCATGCCCGGCTCATTTTTCTATTTTCTTGTAGAGATGAGGTGTCACCATTGTTGCCCAGGCTGGTCTTGAACTCTTGAGTTCAGGTGATACTCCTGCCTTTGCCTCCCAGAGTGCTGGGATTATAGCCTGTGGCACTGTGCCCGGGCCTCATTTACTATTAACTTTAGTTTGCTAAGATCCAGAAAATTATTTCCCACATATACTTCTTAAGAACGAAGAATACAAGGGAGAGGACTTTGCCCATCTCAACTTGGGATAGACATACTGTCTGGCCAGATTAGTAGAAACTTGGAAAAGAACGCCATGGCCTCTACGGTGATGAAATTTTGACCATCTGAATGGGGGTACACTGAAAGGAGTACTCCAAACTCTTGTTATTGAAGTCAACTGTCTACCTCCAAATCCAGCAAGCGCTGAGGGCAAAGGTATAGCTCAAAGTCTTGATAATACATTGGGAGATTTGATAAGTCAAGAAAGATGATGAATTCCTAAATAGACTGATCTTTATTTGACACTAGGGTTTCCTGCTGATGTATGATTTATCTCCCATAGCAAAAACCAATCCTGAAAACAACAATCTATAACTGTAGTTCTAGGTGAAGAGTGTTGGATAAATTTTGTGCATCTCTTGTAACTATGATGTTGGCCTACAGCCAAAGAAGAAAATGTTACTGAGAGGTTATTGGAGGTCTCCAATGGTTATCATTTTGGGAAAAGATATGAATGGCAATCACAAAAGCTAGTATATCTTTGGTAGCTGAGCAGCTAAAGCCTTCAATTGGAGGAATCATCCCACTTTCTTGTACTAGTGAGATTATAACCTGTTGGTCGAACTAGGCTGAAATCCTCTCTACAACATCTCTGAAAAATGCCAATCCAGCCACTGCTTGGATACTTCCAGACAGTTCGATCGCTGAATATTGTTAAAGGTTGTCTGACCCCTTGTAACCTTCCACCTGCTGGCCTTAGTTTTGACTCCCAAAGCCACACAAGTAATATCCACTCACTCTTTGTGATTCTTCCACATATGTGAAGACGATAACATGGTATAGTCTTCTTTCATCTCTAGAATAAGCAGCACTAATTTTCGTATCTATGCTTGTGCAATAAATTCTGGATGCTCTGATTCCACTTTCCTCCTCTGAATAAAAAAATCCCCTCTTATATTTGATTCACACAATTGAATATAATAATCCAAGTCCGGTCTAACTGGTCCTATGTATGTGGTTCAGTAGCATACTCATACTAACAGTAACATAACATACTATAAATATAAAATAAGTGTTACCTTGTTTAGCTAGGACTCTACAATGCAAGCTCCTACCCCTACTCCAAGAGTTCTAAGATTGTAAGGAATGCCACATATTTCTTTCATTTCTATGATGGGCATCAAGATAACTTTCTCCCCAAGTTTGTGTCACCTCTTCTTTACTTTTTAGAAATAAGTTCACAGAAGCAGAGTCTTCTTTACTGAAATTTGCTGTTTTCTAGGGCATTAACTGTCAAGAATTTCAGATACTTTTGCTTTTAGTAAAATTAGAGCAACAGCCACCCTACCACCAACTTGCCTCTACAAATTCTGTTGTGTTGGAAAAAAATCATTCCTGGCCGGGCGCAGTGGCTCACGCCTGTAATCCCAGCACTTTGGGAGGCCGAGGCAGGCGGATCACGAGATCAGGAGTTTGAGACCAGCCTGACCAACATGTTGAAACCCTGTCTCTACTAAAAATACAAAAATTTGCCGGGCGTGGCAGTGCGCACCTGTAATCCCAGCTACTTAGGAGGCTGAGACAGGAGAATCGGTCGAACCCGGAAGGTGGGGGTTGCAGTGAGCTGAGATCGTGACGCTGCACTCCAGCCTGGGAGACAGAACTAGACTCCATCTCAAAAAAAAAAAGAAAAATTCCTGTCTTGTGTATATCTGCGTATGGTCGGGGGCAGTGGCAGGCGGACTGAAAAGGAAACAATTTACAGAGTCATTTTTCTCCTAAGGAATTACTTCTTAAATAATATTTATCTAGAAGAAAAGTATGCAATCTAGTTCAGTAATAAAAAAACACCTAGTAGAAGGAAAATTCCTGTTTATGTTGACTATCTTCTTCATTAACAGAATTTAACTCTCTTGGTGCTAGCAACGGATTATTCTTTTAATTGAACTAACTTTTGGGGATGAAATTAAAGCAAATGTTTTCTAAACTAATTTTCATTTTCTGTGGTCTGCACGAATCTCTCAGTCCTAATATTACTTGGGAATCAAAACAAAAAGACAAAAACATGCCTCCCCCAGTAAAATCTCCAAACTTTAATCAGCTAAAAAAATTTTAAAATAATGATGTCCCCCATCACCTCCAATAGCTCACTCTATGACTGAAGTACAAACACAAGAAACTGCTTGATCAGGCAGTTACATAATACCACCACCTGTGTTGAACTTCCAACAGTATGCTTGCAGGCACATTAACATGACTGATAACTCACTACCTACAACAGATTATAAAGTATATTCTCCATATATTAAGTGAAAAGGTAGCTGGATGCACTTAAAAAGCTTCTCTCTGATGAACCTAAAATTCAGATTAAATTTACAAACCCAATTTTTAAAAAAGTTTCTTATATGATTGAAGTGCAGGACTTCAAAAGCTCTGGTTGAATGAAGAACCCCCACTTCATAATTTTTATTACTCCCTTTTTATACCTTTAACTCTTAATCTGATAACCTATACCTGATAATTTGGGTAAGTTGTGAGGGGTGGGTTGGTTTCCAAAATATTAAGTCTTCCAAACTTGAACAAAATGAAACCTATGTAAAAAATATGCTTTGAAACGTTGGGACAGAACTGAAGGTGGGAAGGCAGAGAAGGAACAAGGTCACTGAGGATCTAATAACATAATCTTACACCTCTAAATATTACTATTTTCAGATATGAACTCACTAATACACCAAATTCTTGAAAGGTAGCAACTAAGATCTTTCTTGGTTATTTTTATCCCACAGATCAAGTGAACAGAATCTAAGTAACCCTACCCTTTGGCTTATGTATCAGTTGATCGTGACAGTTTGCCAAATGAGTTGTTTAAATGTTGACTACATGGTCAAACAGGACAACCTAAATTAGCTGAAGAACGGCAGCACTTACCACCGAAATTTCGGGCAAAAAGGCTAACTAGGTGTGTTTGACTTAAGTATTCTTCCTTCTCTTTCCATTGCCCACAAACCGTTTCTAGTTCTCCCACCTAGGTTCCCTAAACTTTCTTCTTTTTAAAAGACTCCCCAATGGAAATCCAACAAAGGTGCAATTGATCAAAAAAGCATACCTCCTGGTAGTATTTACATTTAAAATCTGGAACAGGTTAAAGCGAACAAATCTCCAATTGGTAGAAAGTGTAAAAGTAATATCTGTGAAAGAGGAAATATTTCTCACTGCTCCTTTTCTCTTCATCAATCTAGCCCCAAAAGAACAGGAGTACTTTAAAAGGTATTCCCCGATTTTTCAAAAAATTGTTTTAAACAATCATGAAATACACAAAACAAAAAACCAGGATTGTCAGAGGTAAGAGGAGGTACTCCCATTTTCAATCACGCATGACTCACCTGAAGTTAGAAACAGTCATCATCTTTCCTACAAGTGAACAGCATGCATGCTTTATGGGAATAAGCTGAATATCCCATCTATGGCTCTTTTAAATTTTTCGACTAAATTTAATATGCTTAAATCATAAAGTGAACCTAATAAATATTAAAATAATGTAATTCAAACGATCTAAATTTCAGAATGAAGCAAGGTTAGTCCCAACTTAAATTCTAGATTCAAGCTAAAGTACTTGCACTATCTTTTCTCTTATACTACCACTTTCCGCCCAACTTGTATGTGTGTGTGTCTAAGGCTTCCCGCACCCAGCCTAAGTCAGGTTTCAGTTCTCCCAAACTTGCCTATTTCCCGTTCTAGTCACTCCAGAAACTTGGTAATGATTGGCTATTCTGATAAACCAATTAACGCTAATGTGTCAACGTCCTATTAAGCTACTCCTCCTAAATTACATCCTTGTATTTTACAAAGTCCTTCAAGACCTTAACCCAAATGGAACTTGCAAGAACGAAAAATTTTGGAGGTAACTGACCTTTTAAATCATAAGGTCTATCAACTACGTCCCCTACTCTTTCTTGTGTGTAGAGGCCTTCTAGGGTAACAAGACCGGAAGTTGGTACAGGTATTGTTGATACTGTAAAACAAAACAAAGCCAAAACCCCAAACCACCCCCAACACCTGGCAAAAAAACCAAACCAAGACAAAACAAAAAACTTCCAGCGAGTGTGGCACGCTCACCCTACCCCTAATCTCCTTAGTCCCCACTGGAAGAGAGCGAGATCACCAGGACCAGAGTCCTGGAGAAAGGTCGGGAGGCGGAGGAGCACTGGTTTCAGACCTGTGGGCCCCGGCTGCGCAGGTGGGGTCTGGAGCGAGGCGAGGGGACGCTGGCCCCGGTTACCTGCGGCGAAGTGCAGCGGGGTGGATTTCCTGCCCGCCGTGTCGCGGCTGTTCACCTTCTCAGGCGTCACCAGCCTCTTGACTCGTTCCACGTCCCCGTTGCGGCACGCCTCGAACAGCTCTCGGGCGGCCGGCTCCACGGCCTCGGCCGCGGCGCTCGCGCAGGCCGCTCCCCCGCCGGCGCAGCGGCGACCCGACATGATCCTGGCCGCCGCCACAGCCAGCAACAGCGCCAGCAACCGGAGCAGGAGCCCCGGCCCCGCGAGCAGGAGGGCGAGGCCCCCCGGAGAAGACGCGCTCAGGGCCCGGGCCGCTTGGCTCCCTGCTGTCACCGGATCCGGCGCAGTCCCATGGCCGCGCCCACGCGCGCCCCTCGCTGGGCTCCCTGCCCCCCGGCTGCCCCGCGGCGGCGGAGGCAGCGCGAATCCGCCGTCCGGGTCCTGAAACGACGCGGCGGCGGAAGCTGGCAAGGCCCCTCCTGCCAGCTCCGTCCAGCCCCGGGAGCGCACGTGACGTCGTCCCGCGCGTGCGCAGTGGCCGGGCACCGGCTGGGCAGGTTTCGGCTAGCGAGGCGGCGCGAAGGGTTTGTGGGAAATGTGAGGCGAGAGGCTTCGGCGGCGGGAGAAGGGGCTTCGTCCCACCGCCATCTTTGCGGTGGGTTCTGCTGAAGCCGAACGATCCTGCATATTGTGTTTTTTGTTGTTGTTGTTTTAAGCCCTGGGCTTTCCAGGCTGAACTTTCTCACTACCATTACACTGAAAAAGAGCCCTTGAAAGTTTTGCTCGGATCTTGCACATTCTTTTGGAAGTCTTACTGTGGAAATTGTCCGTGTTTTCAGCTTCCACATCCCTTTCTCCTGGGAGATTTCTTTTCCGTTTTTTTTACTTTGTCTCTTTTCTTTCCTCCGCAACTGCTTTGTTGTTGTTGTTGTTGTTTCTTGTAAACCACTTCTCAAAAGTGAACTAGTTGCCGTTTAATAGAAGTTTGGATGAACTGCCCCCAAAATAAAGGAAATCCGAACAGTCATGGAAGTTGACTCCAATTGGAGGGATGGCTCTGATCAATTACTCTTTCCACAGTAAGTTATTAGCTCAGGATTGATTAGAGGAACTTTTTGTAAATCAATATTGTACCTGACATGCCTAAAGTTTGGATACACTGAGCATACGCATCTCCAAGAAAGTTTTCTGAGTTATAATCTTTTTCTTTGACCAACAAACAAAAGAAAAGCATATAATTGATTTTCATGCTTAAGATACTGGTGTAGTTTTACACGATAATTCCCCACTACACCCCCTTGTCTTAAACTGAAAGAAAGGTATGCCTATACATACATTTTACTTACAGAAGATGATACATGTTGACCTTTGCCATTCTGAAAAGCATCCCCCCCCCAACCTCCTACCTTAACCTGTTTTTCAGGAAATCCAGTTTTTGTTGGGGAATGTTGACTCACTACAGTGCTAAAAGAGGATGTACACTTTTTTGAGCATTTTTATACATATGAAATTGAAGTTATGGTGCTTATCAATAACATGAACATGCATGAACGAACCTAGGACTAGAACACTACCAATATGATTGCGTTTATCATTTTTCTTCCCATAAATCTGCTATGGTGATCTATGATCAGTGATAAGTTGAAATCACTGTTGTAATTGTTTTGAGGCACCACAAACCACACCCATAGAAGACAGCAATCAATCAATAAATGTGTATGTTCTGACTGCCCCACTGACAGGCTACTCTGCCATCTCTCTCCCTCTCCTGGGGCCTATCTGTTCCCTTAAACACAATAATATTGAAATTAGGCCAATTAAGAACTCTGCAATGGTTTTCTAGGTGTTCAAGTGAAAGGAAAAGTTGCGTATCTCTCACTTTAAATCAAAAGCTAGAAATGATTCATCTTAGTGCAGAAGGCATGTTGAAAGCTGAGATAGGCCCCCTTGCACCAAACAGCCAAGTTGTGAATGCAAATGAGAAGTTTTTGAAGGAAATTAAAAGTGCTACTCCAGTGAACACATGAATGATAAGAAAGTGAAACAGACTTACTGCTGATACGAAGAACGTTTGAGTGGTCTGGATAGAAGGTCAAACCAGCCACAAGATTTCCTTAAGCCAAAGCTGAATCCAGAGCAAAGCCCTAACTGCCTTCAATTTTGTGAAGGCTGAGAGACCTGAGGAAGTTGCAGAAGACAAGTTAAAAGCTAGCAGAGGTTGGTTCATGAAGTTTAAGGAAAGAAGCTGTCTTCATAATATAGAAGTGTAAGGTGAAGCAGCAAATACTGATGTAGGAGCTGCAGCAAGTTAACTAGAACAGGGGTCCCCAACCCCCGGCCCTTGGACCGGTACTGGTCCCTAGCCTGTAAGGAACAAGGACGCACAGCGTGAGGTGAGCAGAGAAGGTGCAGGGCGGGGGATGGAGGCAGGGTGGGGATGGGCGGGGAGTGAGCATTACCGCCTGAGCTCCACCTCCTGTCAGATCAGCAGCAGCATTAGATTTTCACAGGAGCGCAAACCCTATTGTGAACTGCACATGTGAGGGATCTAGGAATTTGAGGCTATGGTGAGCTGTGATCATGTCACTGCACTCCTCTACAGCTTGGGTGACAGAGACCCTGTCTCTGAAAACAAACAGAAAAACCAGCTTGAATGGATGAGGAGTTACTTCTTATGGAGCAAAAAAAAATTTTTTTCAGATGGAACCTACTCCTGGTGAAGATGCTGTAAAAATTTTTGAAATGACAACAAAGAATTTAGAATGTTACTTAAACATAGGTGATAAAGCAGGAGCAGAGCTTGAGAGATAGGCTCTATTTTTTTGTTTGTTTTGCCATTAAGTTTCAACACCCAAATAGACTCTAATTTTGAAAGCTCTGTGGGTAAAATGCTATCAAACAGCATTGTATGCTACAGAGAAATCTTTTGTGAAAGGAACAGTCAATCGATGTGGCAAATTTCATTTTAGCTTCTCTTAAGAAATTGCTACAGCCACCCCAACCTTCAGCAACCATTATCAGTTAGCAGCCCTCGATATCATTGCGGCAAGACCCTCCAACTGCAAAAAGATGACAAGTTGCTGAAGGTTCAGATGACTGTTAGCATTTTTTAGCAACAAAATATCTATTTTTAATTTTTAAAATTGTTTGAATTTTTAATTTTTTGGGTACATCACAGGTGTATATATTTATTGGGTATATGAGATATTTTGATACTATCACTCAATGCCTAATAATCATATCAGGGTAAATGGGGTATCAGTCATTTCAAACATTTATCTTTTGCATTACAATCAATTATACTATTTTAGTTATTTTTAAATGTACAATTAGATTATTATTGACTATAGTCACTGTGTTGTGTTATCAAATAATAGGTTTTATTCATTCTTTCTAATTATTTTTTGTACCCATTAAACATCCCCCACCCACTTCACTTCTCAGCCTCTGGTAACCATCATTCTACTATCTCCATGTGTTCAATTGTTTTAATTTTTAGCTCCCACATAAGTGAGAATATGAAAAGTTTGTCTTTTTCTGCCTGGTTTATTTCACTTAACATAATGATCTCCATTTCCATCTATGTTATTGCAAATGATAAGCTCTCATACATTTTTATGGCTGAATAGTACTCCATTGTGTATATGCACCATGTTTTCTTTATCCATTCATCTGCTGATGTACACTTAGGTTGTTTCCAAATTTTGGCTATTGTGGACAGTGCTGCAATAAGCATGGGAGTGCAGATATCTCCTCAATATACTGATTTGCTTTCATTAGGGTATATACCTAGCAGTGGGATTGCTGGATCATATGACAACTCTATTTTTAGTTCTTTGAGGAACCTTCAAACTGTTCTTCA
The DNA here is from genome assembly GCF_000001405.40 of Homo sapiens. Classification (NCBI taxonomy): domain Eukaryota; kingdom Metazoa; phylum Chordata; class Mammalia; order Primates; family Hominidae; genus Homo; species Homo sapiens. Next base: position 91,795,029 of record NC_000010.11, on the reverse strand, counting down.
TAGGGGTTGTACTAATTTACATTCCCACTAAAAGTGTACAAGGGTTCCCTTTTCTCCATATCCTTGTTGGCATTTGTTATTGCCTGTCTTTTGGATAAAAGCCAGTTTAGCTGAGATGAGATGATATCTCACTGTAGTTTTGGATGAGCAAAGAAAATGTTTTTTACATTTCTCTGATGATCAATGATGTCAAGAACCTTTTCACATGTCTATTTGCCATTTGGGTTTTTTGTTGTTGTTGTTTTTTGTTTTTTTGAGATAGAGTCTCACTCTGTCGCCCAGGATGGAGTGCAATGGCACGATCCCGGCTCCCTGCAACCTCTGCCTCCCGGGTTCAAGCGATTCTCGTGTCTCAGCCTCCCGAGAAGCTGGGATTACAGGCACCTGCCAGCATGACTGGCTAATTTTTGTATTTTTAGTAGAGATGGGGTTTCACCATGTTGGCCAGTCTGGTCTTGAACTCGTGACCTCAAGTGTTGTGCCCACCTCAGCCTCCCAAAGTGCTGGGATTACAGGCATGACCCACCGCGCCCTCTTCTATTTGCCATTTGTATGTCTTCTTTTGAGAAATGTCTATTCAGATCTTTCACCCATTTTTAAATCAGATTATTAGACTTTTTTTTTTTCCTTTTGAGTTGTTTGAGCTCTTTATATATTCTGGTTATTAATCTTTTGTCAGATGAATAGTTTGTAAATATTTTCTCCCATTCTGTGGATTGTCTTTACACATTGTTGATTGTTTCCTTTGTTGTGCAGAAGCTTTTTAACTTGATGTGATCCCATTTGTCCATTTTTTGCTTGGGCTGTTTGTGCTTCTGGGGTATTACTCAAGAAATCTTTGCCCAGTCCAATGACCTGGAGAGTTTCTCCAGTGTTTTCTTTTAGTAGTTTGATAGTTTCAGGTGTTAGATTTAAATCTTTAATCCATTTTGACTTGACTTTTGTATATGGTGAGAGATAGGGGTCTAGTTTCACTCTTCTGCATATGGATATTCAGTTTTCCTAGCACATTTATTGAAGATGGTGTCCTTTCCTCAATATGTGTTCTTGGCACCTTAGTCAAAAATGAGTTCACTATAGATGTATGGATTTATTTCTGGGTTCTTTATTCTGTTCCATAGGTCTGTCTGTTTTTATACCACTACCATGCTGTTTTGATAAGTCAGGTAATGTGATTTCTCCAGTCTTATTCTTTTTGCTCAGGATAGCTTTGGCTATTATGGGTATTTTGTGGATCTGTATAAATTTGAAAATTGTTTTTTTCATCAATGTTTTTTAGTTTTCATTGTAGAGATCTTTCACTTCTTTGGTTAATTCCTAGGTATTTAATTTTATTTGTAGCTATTATAAATGGGTTAATGGGATTACTTTCTTGAATTCTTTTTCAGATTGTTCACTGCTGGCATATATAAATGCTTCTGATTTTTGTATGTTGATTTTGTATCCTGTAACTTTACTGAGTTTTGTTTTGTTTTTTTTGAAACAGGGTCTAACTGTGTCATCCAGGCTGTAGCGCAGTGGTGTGATCAGGGCTCACTGCAGCCTCAATCTCCTGGGCCGAAGCAATCCTTCCACCTCAGCCTCCTGAGTAGCTGGGACCACAGGCATGCACCATCATGCCCAGCTATTTTTTTTTTTTTTTTTTTTTTTTTTGAGATGGAGTCTCCCTATGCTGATCCTGAACTCCTGGGCTCAAGCAATCCTTCTGTTTTGGCCTCTAAAATGTTCAGATTATAGACATGAGCAACTGCAGCCAGCCAACATTACTGAATTTGTTTATATGTTCTAAAAGCTTTTTGGTAGTCTTTAGAGTTTTCAAAATATAAGATCATATAATCTGTAAACAAGGATTATTTGACTTCTTCTATTCCAGTTTGGATACTCTTTATTTCTTTCTCTTGTCTTATTGTTCTACCTAGGACTTCCAGTACTATGTTGAATAACAGTGGTGAAAGTGGACATCTTTGCAGTGTTCCAGATCTTAGAGGAAGGTCTCTCAGTTTTTCCCTATTCACTATGATGTCAGCTGTGGGTCTGTTGTATATGGCTTTTATTATGTTGAGGTATGTAACTTCTATGTCCAGTTTTTTGATGGTTTTTATCATAAAAGGATGTTGAATGTTACCAAATGCTTTTTCAGCATCAGTTGAAATGATCATATGCTTTTTGTCCTTCATTCTGTTGATATGATGTATCACATTGATTTGTGTATGTTGAACCATTCTTTCATCCCTGGGATAAATCCCACTTGGTCATGATGAATGAGCTTTTAACGTCTTGTTGAATTCGGTTTACTAGTAATTTTGTTGAGGATTTTTGCATCAATGTTCATCAGGGATATTGGTCTGTAGTTTTCTTTTTTTGATGTGTTTTTCTTTTTGGTATCAGGATAATACTGGCCTTGTAGAATGAGTTCGAAAGTATTCCCTTCTCTGTTTTTTGGAATAGTTTGAGTAGGATTGGGATCAGTTCTTCTTTAAATGTTTGGTAAAATTTAGCAGTGAAGCCACCAGATCCCAGGCTTTTCTTTGCTGGAGGATTTTTTATTATGGCTTTGATTTCATTACTTGTTATTGTTCTGTTCAGGTTTTGGATTTCTTTATGATTCAAGATTGATAGGTTTTATGTGTTTAGAAATTTATCCATTTCTTCTAGGTTTTCCAATATATTGGCATATAGTTGCTCATAGTAGCCTTTAATGTTCCTTTGAATTTCTTTTTTTTTTTTTTAATTTTTTTTTTTTTGAGATGGAGTTTCACTCTGTTGCCAGGCTGGAGTGTAGTGGTGCGAACTCAGCTCACTGCAAGCTCCGTCTCCCCGGGTTCACGCCATTCTCCTGTCTCAGCCTCCTGAGTAGCTGGGACTACAGGCGCCCACCACCACGTCTGGCTAATTTTTGTATTTTTAGTAGAGACGGGGTTTCACCGTGTTGGCCAGGATGGTCTCGATCTCCTGACCACGTGATCCACCCGCCTCGGCCTCCCAAAGTGCTGGGATTACAGGTGTGAGCCACCGCACCTGGCTGTGATCCTTTGAATTTCTGTGGTATTAATTGTAATGTCTCATTTTTCACTGCTGATTTTATTTGAATCTTCTCTCTTTTTTTCTTAGTCGGCTAAAGATTTGTCAATTTTGTTTATCTTTTCAAAAAAATCAACATTTTGTTTCATTGATCTTTTGTGTTGCTTTCTTCATTTCAATTTCACTTAGTGCTGCTCTGATCTTTATTGTTTCTTTTCTTCTTCTAACTTCAGGTTTGGTTTGCCCTTGCTTTTATAGTTCTTTAAGACGCATCATTAAGTTGTTTATTGGAAGTTTTTCTACTTTTTTGATGTAGGTGCTTACAGGTTTATATTTTTCTTAATACTGCTTTTGTTTTATTCCATTATTTTTGGTATGTTGTATTTCCATTATCATTTGTTGCAAGACATTTTTCAATTTCCTTCCTAATCTCATTGGCCCACTGTTCATTCAGTTGCATAGTGTTCAATTTCCATGTGTTTGTATAGTTTCCAAAATTCCTCTTGTTACTGATTTCTAGTTTTATTCCGTTGTGGTTAGAGAAGACAGTTGCTATTATTTCAATTTCTGAATGTTTTAAGACTTGTTTTGTGGCCTAAGATATGGTCTATCCTTTAGAATGACCCATTTGCTGAGGAAAAGAATGTATATTCTGCAGCCATTAGATAAAATGTTCTGTCAATGCATATTAGTTCCATTTGGTCTATAGTGCACATTATGTCTGATATTTCTTTGTTGATTTTCTGTTTGGATGATCTATGCAGTGCTGAAAGTGGGGTGTTGAAGTCTTCAGCTATTATTGTATTGGTATCTATCTTTCTAATATCTGCTTTGTATATCTGGGTGTTCCAGTGTTGGATGCACATATATTTACAACTGTTATATCCTCTTGATGAATTGACCCCTTTATTGTTATAAAATGACCTTCTTTATCTCTTTTTATAGTTTTTGTCTTGAAAACTATCTTTCAGTCTGTATGTGTCTTTATATGTGAAGTGTGTTTCTTATAGGCAAATTGTTGAATTTTGTTTTTTAAATCCATTCAACCACTCTATGTTTTTTGATTGGAGAGTTTAGTCCATTTGCTATCAATGTCATTGACAAGTAAGGACTTACTCCTGCCATTTTGTTATTTGTTTTCTGGTCTTTTCCTCCTTTTTTTCCCTTCTTCCTATCTTGCTTTTAGTGAAGCTGATTTTCTCTGGTGGTATGATTTAATTTCTTGCTTTTCACTTTTTGTGTATTCATTGTATGTTTTTTGACTTAAGGTTACCATGAGGCGTGCAAATAATATCTTATAACCCATTATTTTAAACTGATGATAACTTAACATGGATTGCATAAACAAACAAAACTAAGAAAAACGCCACACTTTAACTTTGTTCCTCCTTTTAAAAAAATTTTTTGTTGTTCCTATTTATACCTCATTGTACTGTCTTGTAAAGTTGTTGTAGTTATTATTTTTGATCAGTTCATCTTTTAGTCTTTCTACTTAAGATATGAGTATTTATACATCACAATGACCCTGTTATAATATTCTGTGTTTTTCTGTGTACTTACTATTACCAGTGAGTTTTGTACTTCGGACGATTTCTTTTTTTTTTTTTCAGACGAAGTCTCGCTCTTGTCCCCCAGGCTGGAGTGCAATGGCGCGATCTTGGCTCACTGCAACCTCTGCCTCCCAGGTTCAAGGAATTCTCCTGCCTCAGCCTCCCGAGTAGCTGGGATTACAGGCGCCTGCCACCACGCCTGGCTAATTTTTGTATTTTAAGTAGAGATGGGGTTTCACCATGTTGGCCAGGCTGGTCTCGAACTCCTGACCTCAGGTGATCCACTCACCTCGGTCTCCCAAAGTGCTGGGATTACAGGTGTGAGCCACCGTGTGCGGCCTCAGGTAATTTCTTATTGCTCATTTTGCTCATTAACATCCTTTTTTTTTTTTTTTTTCAAATTGAGGAACTTTCTTTAGCATTTCTTGTAGGACAAGTCTGTTGTTGATGAAATCCCTCAGCTTTAGTTTGTCTAAGAAAGTCTTTATTTCTCCTTCATGTTTGAAGGATATTTTTGCCAGATACGCTAATCTAGAGTAAATGGTTTTTTTCCTTCACCACCTTAAATATGTCGTACCACTTTCTGCTGGCCTATAGGGTTTCCACTGAACAGTCTGCTGCCAGGAATATTAGAACTCTTTCTTTTCTTTTCTTTCTTTCTCTTTTTTCTTCTGCTTTTAGGATACTTTCTTTATCCTTGTCCTTTGGGAGTTTGATTATTAAATCCTTTTAGGAGTCTTCTTTGTGTTAAATCTGCTTGTTGTTCTATAATCATCTTATACTTGAATATTGATATGTTTTTCTAGGTTTGGAAAGTCCTCTGCTATTATTCCTTTGAAAAAACTTTCTAGCCTTATTTCTGTCTCTACCTCCTCTTTAAATTCAGTAACTCTTTGATTTGCCCTGTTAAGGCTATGTCCTAGGTCTTGTAGGTGTGCTTCATCCTTTTTTATTCTTTTCTTTTTTGTCTCTTTTGGCTGTGCATTTTCAAATAACCTGTCTCCAAGCTCACTAGTTCTTCCTTCTGCTTGATCAGTTCTGCTGTTAAGAGACTCTGATTCATTCTACAATATGTCAATTGCATTTTTCAACTCTAGAATTTCTGCTTGATTCTTTTTAATTATTTAAATTTATTTGTTAATTTTATCTGATAGGATTCTGAATTCCTTCTGTTGAATTTATCTTGAATTTCTTTGTTTCTTCAACACACTATTTTGAATTCTCTGTCTGAAGGATTACATATCTCTGTCTTTCCAGGATTGGACCCTGGTGCCTTATTTAGTTTGTTTGGTGAGGCCATGTTTTCCTTGATTCTTGTGAATGTTTGTCGGTTTCTGAGCATTGAAGAGTTAGGTATTTATTGTAGTCTTTGCAGTGTAGGCTTGTTTGTACCTATCCCTGGAAGGGTTTCCAGGTATTCAAAGAGACTCGAGTATTGTGATCTAAGTTTTTGGTCACTGCAGCCATATCTGCATTAGGGGGGACCGCAAGCCCAGTAACACTGTGGTTCTTGCATATTCACAGAGGGACAATGTTGGTGGTCTCGGATAAAATCTGGAAGAATTCTCTGGATTATCACGCAGACACTCTTGTTTTTTTACTTCCTCCCAAACAAACACAGTTGCTGTATCTGTGCTGAGCTGCCTGGAGCTGGGGGAGGGGTGACACAAGCACCACTGTGATCACCACCGCTGGGACTGCACTAGGTCAGACCTGAAGCCAACATAGCACTGGATCTCACCCAAGGCCTGCTGTATCTACTCCGTGGCTATTGCCTATGTTTGCTCAAGGCCCTAGGGCTCTATAGTCAGCAGGTGGCAAAGCCAGTTAGGTTTGTGTCCCTCCCTTCAGGGCAACGAGTTCCCTTGGACCCTAGGTGGGTCCAGAAATGCTGTCTAAGAGCCAGGGTCTGGGGTTGGAAACCTGAGATATGTACCTGGTGCTCTATTCTACTGCAGCTGAGCTGGCACCCAAACCACAAGACATAGTCTTTCCCACTCTTCCCTCTCCTTTCCCCAGGCACAGGAGTCTCTCCCCTCAGTCACCACCAGCACAGGCCCATGAGGAGTACTCCCACACTACCACTGATGCTCCCTTAAGGCCTAAAGGCTCTTCAGTCAGCTATAGTGAATGCTGCCAGGCCTGGGACTCACCCTTCAGGGAAGTGGGTTCCCTTCTGTCCCAGGGTAGGTCTAAAAATACCTGCCAAGAACCAAGGCCTGGAATCAGGAATCCCATGGGCCTACTACCTGGTGCTCTACCCCACTGTGGTTGAGCTGGTATCTAAGCTGCAAGACAAAGTCCCTGTTACTCTTCCCTCTGCTTTTCGCAGGCAGAAGCAGTCTCTCCTTTTTGTCATCACAGCTGTGAATGTGCTGGGTCACACTGCAGGCCAGCACATCTGAGAGTCTCACCCAAGGCCCATGGTGTGTTCTACCTGGTTACCGCTGCTGATTATTCAGGGCCCAAAGGCTCTTTAGTCAGCAGGTGGTGAATCATGCCAGGCCTGAGTCCTTCTCTTCAAGGCAGTGGGTTCCCTTCTTCCCAGGGTGTGTCTAGAAATGCTGTCTGGGAGCTAGATGTGTTAGGACTCTGCCTGGTACCCTATCTTACTAAGACTGAGCTGGTATCCAAGTCACAAGACAAAGTTGTCTTTACTGTTTCCTCTCCTCTCCTCAAACAGAAGGAAGGGGTCACTTCTGAAACTGCAAACTATGCTGCTTGGGATAGGGGGAGTGGTGGTGCAAGCATTCCCTTAGCTACCTTGGCTGTGCCTCACTAGGTGCATGTCCCTCCATGTCCACTGGCTCCAAGCCCAGCACAGCACTATGACTTGCCTAGGAGTTGCAGTCCTTGTCGCCTAGACTGCCTTTCAAGTTTCCTTAGAACCCCAGGGCACTTTAGCCCATGGAGGTGAGGCTTGCAGAAACTCAGGTTCCGACCCCTGGGATGGGTGATTTCCCTCTGGCTAGGGCTCATCTCAGTGCTGCCTCTGTGGGTGTCAGCTGAGTTCTGCACAGTGTTGGCAGCACTAGTTCCAATACAACATCCTACAATTGCTGTGCTCTTCCTGACCCCCAAGCACACAGATTCTCTCTCTGTGCAAGAGATGGGGAAGGGGTGGTGTCAGCAATTTAAGACTGTCTTTCCTACCCTCTTCAGTGCCTCTTTCAGAGATGTGGAGTTAAAAACCAGGCACTGTGATCACTCACCTGATTTTTGGTTCTTAACGGAGGTGCTTTCTTCTGTAAATAGTTGTTGAATTTGGTGTTTTTGTGGGGAGAATGATCAGTGGAAGCATCTATTCAGTTATCTTGTCTTGCCTCCTCCAAAATATTTTTAAATTAAAGTATGCACATTGGTTTTTTTTAGACATAATGCTATTGCACAGTTAATAGACTGCAGTATAATGTAAACATAACTTTTATGTGCACTGGGAAACCAAAAAATTCATGTGATTTCCCTTTATTGTAATATTTGCTCTATTGTGGTGATCTGGAACCAAACTTATAATATCTCTGAGGCATGCCTGTACTTAAAAATGGTTAATACAGAGCCTGGGCGAGATAGTCTTTACAAAAAATATAAACATCACCCAAGTGGGGTGGTGTGTGCCTATAGTCCTAGCTACTCAGGAGGCTGAGATGGGAGGATCTTCTGAGCCCAGGAGTTTGAGGCTGCAGTGAGCCATGATGTCACCACTACACTCCAGCCTGGGTGACAGAGTGAGATCTCTGTCTCAAAAAAAAGAAAAAAAAAAGAATATGGTTTAAAAAGGAAAGCAAATAAAGTCAAGTATATTAGCCTGTTTGTGCTGCTATAACAAAATCCCTGAGAGACTGGGCAATTTATAAACAATAGAAATTTATTTCCCACAGTTCTTGTACTTGGCTGGGAAGTCCAAAAAGATGTTGGCAAGATTGGTATTTGGTGGAGGGAGGGGAGTTGGGGGAGGAGAGAGGGATGGTTGGTTAATGAGTACAGAAAAAAAGAATGAATAAGGTCTAGTATTTGGTAGCACAGCAGGGTGACTATAGTTAATAATAATTTAATTGTACATTTAAAAATAACTAAAAGTATAATTGGATTGTTTGTAACACAAAGGATAAATGCTTGAGAGGTTAGATACCCCATTTTCTATGATGTGATTATTACGCATTGCATGCCTGTATCAAAATATCTCATGTATCTCATAAATATATACACCTACTATGTATCCACAAAAACTAAAAATAAGAAAATAAAAAGATTGATGTCTGTTGAGGGCTGCTTTATGCTTCCAATATGGTGCCTTGTTGCTGCATCCTCTGGAGGAGAGGAGCACTGTGTGAAGGTGGAAAGGCAGAACAGTCCCTTCAATCTTGAGCTCTTTAATAAGGTGCTAATACCATTCAAGAGGTTAAGATCATGACTTAATCACCTCCCAAATGCCACACCTCTTAATATTGCAGCATTAGGGATTAAGTTTCAACATGAATTTTGAATGAGATAACATCATTCAAAACGCAGCAATATCTTTTCTTATGTTTATGGTCTATTTGTATTTCCTTGCAGTAAAATGCTTATTTTTCTTTTGCCCATTTTTGTGTTATGTTGTTTATCTTTTGCTACTGATTTGTAGGCATTTTGTATCTATTTTGGATATTAATCTTGTATCAGTTGTATGTGTTGAAAAATATCTTCCCCAAGTTTATAGTTTGTTTTTTCACTTCCCCAGTGAAAAGATGTCTGAATTATAATATAGCTAAATTTGTACATCCTTTAATCAAGTTTATTTATGAATTCTCCCTTACCTCAAGGTTGTAAAGATATTATATTTTCTTCTAAAAGTTCAAATTTTTGCTTTTAACATTTAAGTTTTTAATCTTTATGGACTTGATTTTGGGTTATAGTGTGATATTCAATTTCTTTTATTTTTTCCCCAGGAGAATAACAGATAGTCCTCATAGCATCTAGTAAGTGTTTTCTCATTTAAGAAGGAAGCTGCAGTGCCACATCAAGCTTCCATATAGACTCTATTTCATTCCACTGATTGATCTATAGATTCTTCCTCCTACACCATACTATCTTAATATTACTTTATAATAAGTTTTCTTACCTGTTAGGGTAAATCTTCCACTATATTCTTCTTTGCTTTTCTTGAGATTTTGATCTCCCATATAAATTTTGGAATCAGAGGCTCAAGTTCTTTGAAAACCCCATTTGAATGCTGATGAGACTTGCACTGAATTTATAGTTCACTATTGTGATTTTAAAGATATTGAGTCCTCTCATCATTGAACATGGTATATCTCTTCATTTATTTTCTTCTTTAAAGAATTTCAGTAAAGTTTTACAGTTTCCTTCATATAGGTCTCACACATCCTTGTTTTATTGCTATAATAGTAAAAAAAAAAAGTATGGCTTATCAAACCAGTGTAAAAAGATATTTTTGAAGCACTTTGATACATTTTAATTTGTACTGGATATTAGATGATATTAAGGTGTTAGCATTAATTGGATTAGGTTATATGCTAAAATCATGTTCATTATGATAAAAATAAAAGGCCTTTATTAGAAACTCATATGCATTTACTGGTAAGGTGACATGACATTTGTTTAAAATAGTTCATATGACATAATGTCACTATTTTTAGTTTTAAGTAGTTCATTAAAAAAGTTAAGGGAGGTGAAAGAAGAATGGCCAAGTGTTGATAATTGTTGAAATGAAGCTGGGTAATGGGTATGTGAGAGTTCATTACGCTATTCTCCCAATTTTTGTGTATATTTGAAAAGTTGTGTAATAAAGACTTTAATATTATATTTTTGAGTTATTTTTGCTGAGGTGTAGAGATTATATATATGGAAGGGAAGGGATTGTTTTATTGATATATACATATATATATATAGAGAGAGAGAGAGAGAAAGAACCATTTTGCCAAACTCTCTCATTGTTTCCAATAATTTGTCTATTGTTTTGGGTGTTCTAGATAGTCTTATCATCTGTGAATGTGAATATGTGGAAAAAATTTATCCTTTTCCAACCCTAGGCCTTGCTGGGTTGGCTAAGACCTGAAATATAATATTGAGTAAAAGTATTAATGTTGGGCATGCTTGTCATGTTCTGGTTTTTTAAAAGACAGCTAAGTTTCACTACTAAGAATGATGTTTTTCTTTTTTTTTTTTTTTCTGTTTTCTTTTTGCTATACCGAGACCCTTACTCTGTTGCCCAAGCTGGAGTGTAGTGGTGCTATCATAGCTCACTGCAGCTTTGAACTCCTGGGCTTAAGTGATCCTTCTATTTCAGCCTCCCTAGCAGCTGGGACTACAGGCATGTGCCACTATGCCCGGGTATGATGTTTTAAAAAAAATTAGCTTTGGTAATGTTTTAGTAGTTATGAAAAGATGTTGAAGCATAATCAGATGTTGAATTTTATTACATGCTTTTCTTCTTTTTCTTGTTTTTGTTTGTTTGTTTGTGTTTTTTTACGATGGATTCTTGCTCTGTCACCCAGGCTGGAGAGAGCAGTGGCGCCATCTTGGCCCACTGCAACCTCCGCCTCCTGGGTTCAAGCAATTCTCCCCTGCCTCAGCCTTCTGAGTAGCTGGGATTACAGGTGTGTGCCACCATGCCTGGCTAATTTTTGTATTTTTAGTAGAGATGAGGTTTAACCATGTTGGTCAGGCTGCTCTTGAACTCCTGACCTTGCGGTCTGCCCGCCTTGGCCTCCCAGAGTGCTGGGATTACAGGCGTGAGCCATCGTGTCCAGCCTAAATGCTTTTTTCTACACTTATTGAGATGTGTTTTTTTTTTGTTCTGTTCACATAATCAATTATGTTTACGGATTTTCTAATGTCAAACCAATCAATAATTTAAACTTTTTCCACAAAGTAAACAATGCGCCCAAAGAATCGTTCAGAAAAATTTTACCAAACTGTCATTGAATAGATTATTCCAATCTTGTTCAAACTTCCAGAGACTAGAAAAAGAGGAAATACTCCCTAAGTCTTTGAAGTTAGTATAACCAAAGCAGACAAAGAAAGAAACAAGAAAGAGAAATTACAGGCCAATTTCACTCATGAACATAGGTGTAAAATTCCTGAATAGAATACTAGCTAACAGAATCCAGAAAAGATTGTGTGGAACCAGTGGGTGCTTGCAGCAAACACCCCAAACAAACAAACATACAACAAATAACTCCAGGGGTACTTATACATATAATTAAAGCAACTATAGGACTGACTCTGACAAGTAGTTTTCTTAACTTTAAACAGAATACTTTCCCTTGGCAACATTTATTTTTCTCTTCATTATAAAGGGAATTGAACAGCTTGGACTTGGAGACAGTGAGTTAAAACAGAAATAAGAAGGCGGCAGAAAAAGACTACCAGATTGAAATGTGTTGGATATTCATATCCACCCAGCACCTCAGAATGTGGCCATGGAGGATGGAGACAGAGATTGGAGTGATGCATCTTCAAGCCTAGGAACACTAAGGATTGCTGGTAATCACCAGAAGCTGGAAGAGGCAAGAAAGTGTCCTTTCCTAGAGCCTTCAGAGAGAGCGCAGCCCTGCCAACACCTTGATTATATGCTTCAAGCTTCTAGAATTGTGAGAGAATAAATTTCTGTTGTTATAAGCCACCTAGTTTGTGGTCTTTTGTTATGGCAGCCCTGGGAAACTAATAAACATAATAGTACTGGGAAGTGAGATGCTGCTGTAGCAAATACCTAAAAATGTGGAAGTGGCTTTGGAACTGGGTAGTGGGTAGAGGCTGGGAGAATTTTTAGGTGCATGCCAGAAAAAGCCTGGGTTGCCTTGAAGAGACTGTTGGTAGAAATACTGAAGTTTAAGGGGCTTCTAGTTAGGGCTCAGAAAGAAGGAAGGAGAGCTATGGAGAGAGCTTCTATTGTGTTAAGGCACATATATATATTACCACTAAAAGAATGTTTCTAGAAATATGAGCAATAAAGGTGCTTCTGGTGAAGTCCCAGATATAAATGGGGAACATATTCTTGGCCACTAGAGAAAAGGCAATCCTTGTCATAGAGTGGCAGAAAACTTGGCTGAATTATGCTCTACTGTTCGGTGAAAAGTAGAACTTGTAAAAGAACTTGGTTATTTGGATTAGGAGATTTCCAGGCAAAGTATGAAAGGTGCAGCCAGATTTCTCTTTGCTGCTGACAGTAAAATGAGAGAAGAAAGAGATACATTGAGAAATGCACTGTTAAGGAAAAAGAAACCAAGAGTTGATCATTTGGAAGATTCTTATGCTATCCAAATAGCATGCTATGAAAAAAGGGCTAAGGTGTAGCTGGACAGCTGTTTGCGATAGACATTAGGTGTGTGATTTAGGGATCCAGTCAACCATCTCAGTAACAGCCTGCAATAAAGATGGGGTTATCCAGGAAGGACCCATGGAGCACCTTCATGTCTAACAATGTAAGACTCCTTGACATTCATAAAAGACTTACAAGGTTTTTGAGAATTTTATACCAGCAGAAACACTGCCAGCCTGGACTGAAAGGGACAGAGACAAGACAAAATGAAGGAGGAATGACTTTTGAGGGCAGAGCCATGAAGCAGAGGTCAGAGAGAAAGGAGTTCCTACCTCAGAGGGCCCAGAGGACATAGCATCAAGCCACAGAGGATTACTCTTAGGCTTTGAAACCTGAGGGAATTTGCACTGCTGCATTGTGAACTTGCTATAGACAAGTAAGTCCTTCATTTCTTCCAATTTTTTAGTTTAGGAATGGGAATGCCTGGCCTATGCCTGTTCCATCAGTGTATTTTGGAAGCAGGGAACTTGTTTTCTAGTTTCACAAATCTGTGGATGGAGAATAATTTTGCCCTGGGATGGACCATACCCAGAGTTTCACCCATACTTGGTTTAGATTATATAGCTGATGATATTTGGAACTTTACTGGTGGATGTTTAGGGGAGATTTTGAATTTAGAGCTAATCCTGGAATAGGTTAAGACTTTTGAGGATATGGGGATGGGGTGAATGTATTTTGTGCATGGGATGGGTGTGAGTTTTGGGGAAGCAGAGGGCAAACTTTACTGGGTTGAATGGCGTCCCTCCCAAATTCATATCCACCTGGAACCTCAGAATGGGACCTTATTTGCAAATCAGATCTTTGCAAACGTAATTAAGATGTATATTAAGATGAAGTCATATCAGATTAGGGTGGGCCCTAAATGTAATCACTGCATTTAGTGATTACATTAAAGGAAGAGGAGAGGGCACACAGGGAGAAACTCATGTGAGGATTGCTGGCAACCAGTAGAAGCTAGAATAGGCAAGGAAGAATTCTGCCATAAAGTGTTTCAGACAGAGCATGGCCCTGCTGACACCTTGATTGGAACTTTTCATTGCCATAAATGTGAGAGAATAAATTTCTGTTGTTATAAACCACCAGGTTTATGGCACTTTGTTACAGCAGCCTTGGGAAGCTAATAACACAGTTAGTTGTAGGAAACACTTGTCAAACATAGGAACCTGTAGGTTTGAAAGCTCATCAAAGGCTCACAAGAAAACAACAGTCTAGGCAAGTGGATTAAATGAACAAGTATTAAGGGAATTAAAGAGGTTTCTAAGTGACTTCTACTCATGTGTGATGTTGTAGGAGTTTGGAAATAACACAACTGTACAACTGATTTAATGAGGAAGCTTTGGTTTGGCATTTAACTTGCTACCTAATGGGAACTGATTACATGTCTATTTATTTTTTCATCATTTGTATTCCTTTAAGTTTTCTTGATAAACAAGGATGATATCTTTTATTTTCAATGGCTAGGGTACTTTCAGCTATTTTATGTTCTTGGAAGAAATTCTAGCATGTTTTGTTATTGCTAAAGCTGATATAGAAATACATTCTGATGATACTTTGTAAAACTTTCATATTTATTTATTTTCACAAAATGTTGCTATAAACTTGAAAAATAGAGGTGAGCAGAAGGGAAATATAGAGCAACAAAGGTTAAGATACACGAACATACATTAACGTTTGTGTCACAGCATGTTGCTTCAGGAAGAAGAGGTGGAGATACAGTTGAAGAAGAGATGGAGACTAGTGTGCAGGCCATTTATTAGGCAGTGGTCTTGGGATCAGCACTTGTGGAAGGGAGGGAACGAAAGCAGAATTGGGTAGAGGGAGAAGTTGAAATGTAATCAATTAATCAACCTGATGACAAGCTCTGGATCTGGGATGGCCCTTCAAAATTGTCCCTAGCTGAAGCAAGAACAGGCACCTCTCAATCATTGTATATGAGCTACTCTTGGAAGGAGGTATCATCTTGGACCTCCAGTTTTCTTTTGCCACAGCAATCCCCAAAGAGGACTGAGAGCTGAGGAGTGTCTTCCTGCAGCACTTTAGCAGCTGGGGGAACAAATCTTCCATTCCTGAAGAAGAAATCTGGGTGGCATATTGCAGCATCTATCACATGTAGATACAGAAAATTGAGTCAATCATAGCCCTCAATTGATGGCACTTTATCACTATTGTTTCTGCAATATCCCCTTTCTTTTCTTTTTTTTCCCCATTCAATTGACTCCCAGACCCATTCTTCTTCCCTGACATGTTTGGTATATACCCTTGGATATGTGTGTATCTTTGAAAAATATATAATACTGTTTTGTGTATTTATGTGTTTAAATTTACATCAGTGGTATTGTGCTATAGTTTTTTTCCCCATTTTATTTCAAAATTACATCAATGATATTGTACTACTGCTATCTGTAATTCTGCTCGTTGCTTTTTTCGATCAACACTATGTTCTTGAGGTTTATCCGTCTCATTGTACATTCATCTAGTACATTGCTTCCAGATGCTTCATTTTTATTTACCTATCTTTTTGTTTTGTTTTGTTTTTGTTTTTTTCCTAGGCTCTGGGGTGTTTTTATATTTACCTATCTTTTTAAGTGACGAATACCAAAGTTAACCCCAACTACCATAACCAATGTTTGTACATGTTCCCTCTAGGTGAAAAGCTTTTAAAAACTGGTATTTCTGGTTTAAAGTGTATTCATGTATTAAGCTAACTGCTATAACTCCTGAAATATCAGTGGCTTAACATAATAACAATTTCCCACTCACATAAAGTCCAACTGTCAGCAGGGGCTGGGGCACACTCCATGCAGTCATTCAGGAACCTAGGCTGGTGGAAGCTCTGCCATCTTTTGCTGTGGTTTTAGGTGTCACTATCCAGCCAACTATGAGGAGAGAAAGTGAAGGAATGATTGGTGGATTTTTACAAGCCAAGCCTGAAAGTGGTGTATAATCATCACTCTTTCCACATTCCATAGGCTGAAAGTCATATAATTGCACCTCACCAAAACAGAGGCTGGGAAATATGGTCTAGCTGAGAGTCTAGGAGAAAAAAAATAGGTTTGCTGAATGTCTGGCCAATTTCTGCCATAGTTCACTCTTCTGGTAAATAGCATCTGTTTTACTCTTCTTCCCACACATAAGATACACCTTATCTTAAGAGTGACTGCTCAAAGTATCAGTCAGTGCATCCAATTCAAGTTCTAGGATTTCCTAGTGATACACAGTTATTTCAGTCATAGAAGTGGCTTCTTGTGGTCAAGCCACCCATGAACTAAAGAGATAAATTATTTGCACCTATTCTCATTCTTACTCCCACATACCTAATACATTCATTAGGGACAGGGCTAGATGGCTACAATTAAGAATTCTTAACTTGAAAAGAAAAATAATGGGAGACACATAGTAACTGCTGGTTCATTACAATGATAAAATCCTCTGAGGCATGCATTGTGAATTCCTCTTAACTGGGGTGTGGGCTAATTTGTAATTAGAGCTGGGTTCTACTCCCTTTGAGGCATTCCCTTATCCACTGTTTTTCATGGTTCTTGGGTTTTTCCTGCCGGATGTTCTTCCTTGTCTATTTTTCATGGCCATACCTGAAGAGGTTGTTGAGGAATATGTCCTTGGAGACTGCACAGCTTTCTGAGCCTGCTTTCAGCTATGCAAATTTCAGAACCTGACTTTTTTGTTTTGTTTTGTTTTTTGAGACAGAGTTTCCCTCTGTCACCCAGGCTGGAGTGCAGTGGTGTGATCTTGGCTCACTGCAACCTCCGCCTCTGGGGCTCAACCGGATTTTGTGCCTCAGCCTCCCAAGTAGCTGGGATTACAGGCATGTGCCACCATGGCCAGCTAATTTTTGTATTTTTAGTATAGATGGGGTTTTGCCATGTTGGCCAGGCTGGTCTCAAACTCCTGGCCTGAAGTGATCCGCCCGCCTTGGCCTCCCAAAGTGCTGGGATTACAGACATAAGCCACCATGCCTGGCCTGTGTTTTTTGTTGTTGTTGTTGTTTGCTTTTTTGTGACAGGGTCTCACTATGTTGACCAGGTTGGTCTTGAACTCTTGGCTTTAAGCAATTCTTCTACCTCTTTCTCCCAAAGTGTTAGGATTACAAGAAGTTCATTTTAAGACTAGACTAGTCAAAAAAATTTTTTTAGTCCAGATTCTGTTGTTGACTCCATTTGTTAGTTTTTGTTTTTGGCAAAATAATTCCTTCAAAACCTTAATAGAGTTCTGATCAATTTACTTCTAGTCAATTCCATATGTCTGTAACCACACCTAAATTATTTGATAAATGTAATTCTAAAACCTGATTCATTTTTGCTTTCTTGCCACCATGCTTTTCTCAATGGCAGCTTCTGATCGTTGCATTATATTCGATCATATGCTTATATAGTTTCCTTATCCATTACTTTATAAAAGGACATGTAAGTTTTCTCCAACTCTTAGTTACCACAAACAACTGCAATGAATATCTTGTGTATGTCTCCTTGTATATCTCTACAACTGTTCTTTGGGGTAAAAACTCATTAGAGGAAGTGCTACATCATAACATTTACACGTATTTAATGCTACTAAAAACTGCCTATTTAATGTTATTAAATACTGCCATACTGTTCTCCAAAATGGCAGCACCATTCCATCCAACCATAAGACAGTTTTCTAGTATCCTCACCTGCACTTAGTATTATTTAATAACATAGTAAGTGTAAGATGGTCTCTTATTGTCTTAAATCACTGTGTGGATATGTCAGTCCTCCCCTGACTAATCAATAAAAGCAATTCTAATTAAAATTTTAGAATTTTTGAGGAAATCAAACTTTTTCTAATATTTATATAGAATAATTAAGGAGTAAAAATTAGGAAAGTCAATTTTATAAAAAAGGGCAGAGAAAGGAGCCTAATCTACAAGACATGAAAGTATATTATGGAGTTATAATAATTAAAACTTATGTTTTTGTCAGAGGAACAGGAAACTAGACCGTTGGAACAGAATTTACTTATTTATTTTTTTGAGACAGGATCTCACTGTGTTGCTAAGGCTTGAGTGCAGTGATGCGAACTTGGCTCACTGTAGCTTCAACCTCCTAGGCTCAAGTGGTCTCCCACTTCAGCCTCCCAAGTAGCTGGGACTATAGGCACGTGCCACCATGCCT
Organism: Homo sapiens; assembly: GCF_000001405.40. NCBI lineage: Eukaryota > Metazoa > Chordata > Mammalia > Primates > Hominidae > Homo > Homo sapiens. The sequence continues at coordinate 91,776,988 of NC_000010.11, read as the reverse complement.
GTCTAATTTTTTTGTGGAGATAAGGTCTCACTATGTTGCCCAGGCTGGTCTCGAACTGCTTAGCTCAAGCTATCCTCCTGCCTAGTTCTCCCAAAGTGGTGGGATTACAGGCGTGAGCCACTGAGCCCAACCCTGGAACAGAATTTAAAACTCAAATAGACCCACGGGTGTATGAAAATTTTGTAAATAATAACAATAATAATGTGGAAGGTAATATTATTTGTTTACAATCTTCCTTCCTGGCCCCTGCCATAGTTTCATTATGGACAAGCTTCCTGGACCTAAATGTTTATCTCTCCCTCCCCACTCACTCTATACAAAAATAAACTCAAATGGATCAAAGACTGTATGGCAGGTACACCTGGCAGCAATAACTTAAGCATACCTTAAGAATAACCCTATGGTTTAAGAATGTATGTTCAGACTTCTGAGCTAAGGAACCTGGGAACAGCCAACCCACAGATTCATTCCTTATCTGTGAGGAACATCTGAACCCTCTGGGATATCCTGTGGAACTCAGGTAGCGTAGGGGATCAAGGTACTTTGTTTTGGGTTAAATGAAGGTTGCCAGGTGGAGATTGCTAGGGGAAGGGTGCTACGTGAAAATGCTATATACACTGCATGCTTTTTATAAGCAGTTGTGGTTCTCCTGCCCAGTCCATGGCCACCGGACTGCCCTGTATATAAGTCTTCTCAATAAGCCCTATGTCTTGTTCACTGGCTCTGGGCCTCTTCTTCAGTCTCTGTTGACTGAAGTCAGTAAGGGTCTGGCATGACAAAGACTTAAATATGAGACCAAAACTATAAAACTAGCTAGATAAAAGGAAAAAGTTCTAGTGTTCTATGGTATTGTAGGATGACTATAGTTAACAATAATGTATTACATAGTTTCAAATATCTAGAAGAAGGATCTTGAATGTTCCCAGCACAAAGAAATGATAAATGTTTGGAATGAAGGATATGCTAATTACCCTGATCTGATCACTATACTTTGTATGTATCAAAACATCACTGTAGGCTGAGGTGGACGGATTGCTTCAGCCCAGGAATTTGAGACCAGCCTGGGCAACATGGTGAAACTCCATCTCTATTAAAACTGCAAAAATTAGCCAGGTGTGGTGACACGTGCATGTAGTCCCAACTACTTAGTCCCAACTACTCCAGAGGCTGAGGTAGGAGGATGGCTTAAGCCTGGGAGGCAGAGGTTGCAATGGGCCAAGATCATGCCACTGCACTCCAGCCTGGGGGATAGAGCCAGACCTTGTGCTGAAAACAAACAAACAAATAAACAAACAATCACTATATACCCCATAAATATGTATAATGATTATGTATCAATTAAAATACATAAAAGATAGAGCTTATGAAAGGAAATTGAATTGAGAACTAGGGATTTGAGATTAAGGAAAAAGCTAATAATTACATTAAAAAATTTAAAAAGTGGGGTTTAACATGGATAAATGATGATAGCTTGCTAAGAAATTAATATTATCAACTCAATTCTGTACATCTGAGGTAAAAAAAGCCTCTGCTAGTAATTCACTGAACTATACCACTTTTGGAAAGAATTCCACTTTTATTTTATAGTTTGATTAAGTTGTCTATACCAACATAAAATAAATTTAACATTTTTGCTTCAATCTTGAATAAAATTTGTTTTCAATGTATTTTATTAATTGTACGTTTTGTTTTTTATTTTGCATATTTATTTTTCTCATTCATTTCTTGATAAAGTAGTCCAATGACATATTCTTTTGTTAATTTAAATTCATGTTTTCCCATAGGGCACACTAATTACTATACAGTTTGGATTTAAAGTCCATGATATACCTGATGAGAAAAACGAGAAACTCTCTTATTTAGCAGTCTAACTTCCTGAACATAATCAATAGCTTCATCGAAAGGGAAGATCTAAACTCTGTGGTTAGGACTTCTACTTTTAGCCAGGCAGAGTAACTTACGGCAGAAAAATGCACCCTTTAAGAAAAAGTATAAAAATTGGATTTAAAAAAACCCAAAAGCTCTTTATGGGTATTGGGAAGCTGCTAAGGCAATGCAGAACTTGAGAGGTCAAGATTCTGGAGAGATGAGAACCATGGAGAGCTGAAAGGACATTCTGCAACAATGTTTTACCATGGGGAGTTTCACAATTCTGGGCTCAAGGAATGTCGCTGAAAACCCAGTAAAGGGCCTGGGGAAAGGGCTTTTGCTGGAAGGCAGAGTAGCCATCAGAGCATTTGTCAATCCTGTGGGTGTGAAGAAATACATATTGTAGACTGGAGGGACAGAAAGCTGGGCCCAGCAATTGACCATTTTTTTTGTTTGTTTTTTGAGACAGGGTTTCCCTGTTGCCCAGGGTGGAGTGCACTGACACAATCACAGCTCACTGCAGCCTCAATCTCCGGACTCAAGTGATCCTCCCAATTCAGCCTCCTAAGTAGCTGGGACTACAGGCACATGTCACCATGCCTGAATAATTGTTTTATTATCATTATTATTTTTTGTAGAGACGGGGTCTCCTTATGTTGCCCAGGCTGGTCTCAAACTCCTGAGTTCAAGAAATCGTCACACTTTATGCTGGGATTACAGGATTGAGCCACCATGCCCAGCAAGGTGGTTTTGTTTTGTTTGTTTTTGTTTTTTTTCCATTTTGCTGAATTCTGAAGCTGTAAAATTCAGGAACCTAAGAAGCCAGGCAAAGCAGAATGGAGTTCCTGGCAGTTGCACATGGCTGAGGAGTCAAGGATTAGAGTTCAGAACGTGACATGGGGGCTGGAACCTGGAGAAGTCCCAGGCTTTTAGTTGGAACTTAAGCAGCTAAGCTCTAGAGTGGTAGTAATACAAAGGTAGAAAGAGGCTGTGTGCAGTGGCTCACACCTGTAATTCCAGCAATTTGGGAGGCTGAGGTGCTTGAGGCCAGGAGTTTGAGACCAGTCTGGGCAATGAAGTGAGACCCTGTCTCTACAAAATATGCATAAAAAAATTTAGCTGGACATGGTGGCATGCACCTGTAGTCCTAGCCGCTTGGGAACCTGAAGTGGGAGGATTGCTTGAGCCCAGGAGTCTGAGCCTTCAGTGAGCTAGGATTGTGCCACCGCACTCCAGCTTGGGCAACAGAGTGTCTCTAAAATAAATAAATAAATAAATAAAGAGGTGGAAAAAGCCTTAGTAAAACTGCAGCCTAACTTTGAGTTAGCTCAGTTCCTGATTGAATTGAAGTGGCCGGTTCTAATTCTACCTACCTATCAGAGGAAAGGGTGAGCCCTCTCTGGAGATTCCTTCATCATCCAAAACTTCTGTAATTTTTCAGAGAGTATCTGACTGTCAATCAAAAAGTATCAGGCATACCAAGAAATAGGACAAAATGACAGAGAAAGAGAGGCAGAGAGCAAGAGAGAGGGGGAGAGAAATCAGACAGGTGATCCAGAATTATAGCTGTCAACAAATATTTTAATATGACTATAATAAATGTATTCAAGAAAATAGAGAAAAATATGGAGAAAATAGATTAAGAAAAAAAAAAGAATTTCACCAGGGACAAATGGGACATAATGAACAGGTCTGACATATATGTAACTGGAGTCCCAGCAGACTAGGAAAAACTGGGAAAGAAAATGTTCTAAGATGGAAAAAGAAAGTGCAAAAAAAAAAAAATGAAGAGTAATGAAAGAGTTAAATATATGGGTATATATGAATGTATTTTGACTGTATAAAGCAACAATAGTAATGCTGTTTAAAATTTAAAACATACAGAATTTCACCAGGTCTGGTGGCTTATGCTTGTAATCCCAGCACTTTGGGAGGATGAGGTGAGATGATCTCTCAAGGCCAGTTCCAAACCCGCCTGGGCAACATAGTGAGACCCATCTCTACAAAAATTAATTGGGCATGGTGGTGTATGCCTGTAGTTCTAGCTACTCAGGAGGCTGAGTTGGAAGGATCACTTGAGCCCAGGAGTTTGAGGCTGCAGTGATTCATGATCATGCCACTGCACTCCAGCAGCCTGGGCAACAGAGCAAGACACTGTCTCAAAAAAAGGAAAACAAAAGGAAAAATTAAAAAAATGTAAAATATATAAAATTGAATATACAATAACAACAAAACAAAAGACAAGATATGGTAAATGAAGTTAAAGTGTTCTAAAGTACTAGCATTGTCAGGGAAGTGGTAAAAAAAAATTTTTAGGCTGTGTTATGGTTAAATTGTGTCCTCCCCAAAAGGTATGTTGAAGTCCTAACCCCAGTACTTCAGAATGTGACCTTATTTGGAAACAGGGTCATTTCCAATGTAATTAAACTAGAGATGAGGGCATACTGGAGTAGAATGACACCATAGAGTAGAAAACAGCCATGTGAGGACAAGAGATACAGAGAGAATACCATGGGAAGATGGAGGCAGAGATTAGATTGGAGTGATGCACCTACAAGTCAAGTGTATTAGTCAGGGTTCTCTAGCGGGACAGAACTAATAGGATAGATGTATATATAAAAAGGAGTATATTAAGGAGTATTAACTCACACGATCACAAGGTCCCACAATAGGCTGTCTGCAAGCTGAGGAGAAAGGAAGCCAGTCTGAGTTCCAAAGCTCAAGAACCTGGAGCCTGATGTTTGAGGGCAGGAAGCATCCAGCACAGGAGAAAGATGTAGGCTGGGAGGCTAAGCCAGTCTAATCTCTCTACATTCTTCTGCCTGCTTTTTATTCTGGCCACACTGGCAGCTGATTAGATTGTGCCTGCCCAGATTAAGGGTGGGTCTGCCTTTCCCAGTCCACTGACTCAAATGTTAATCTCCTTTGGCAACACCCACACAGACACACCAGGAGCAGTATTTTGCATCCTTTAATCCAATCGAGTTGACACTCATTATTAACCATCACACCAAGGAATGCCAAAGATTGCTGGCTGTCATCAGAAGCTAGGAGAGAAGCATGGAACAGGCTGTTTCTCAGAGCCCTCAGAAGGAACTAAACCTGCTCACATCTTGATTTTGGACTTCTGGTCTCCAGAACTTTAACATTTTTGTTGTTATAAGCCACTTAGTTTGAGGTAATTTGTTATGACAGCCCTAGAAAAATAATATAGACTGTAATAAATTGCAATATTTAGGCTAATCACCAAAAGAACAACTAAAAAAGTAAAAGGAATTAATAGATGAAAAATAGAATAATATTGCATTATTTAATTAAATCCAAAGGAAAGTAAGAAATGAGAGAAAAAAACTCAGTTGGGTGAGATATATAACAAGTAGTAAAATGGTAGACATATTAGTAATGATATTTTATATTTCTTATTATATTGTATTAAATGTAAATGGACTGAACAATCCAATTAAAAGATTGTCAGAAATTGGATAGAAAACAAAACTCTGCTATAGCTGCTTGTAAGAAACATAGCTTGATATAAGAACGTAGACAGTATAAAGTAAATGGATTAAAAAGTATATCATGCAAATTCCAGTCAAAAGAAAATGAATGTAGCTATATCAATATAAACAAGAACATTTTAAGGCAGGAAATATTACTAGAAATAGAGAAACATTTAATGATTTTGAACAGGTGTGCTATAGATTGGATGTTTCTGTTCCTCCCTCAAATTCCTCTATCGAAGCCCTAATCCCCATTGTGATGGTATATGGAAGTGGGGCCTTTGGGAGGTAGTTCATGAGGTTGGAAAGTGGAGTCTCATGATGGGATTAGTGCACTTATAATAAGAGACATGAGAGAGATGATCTCTGTCTCTGCCATGTGAGGATAAAAAAAAAATGCAGCCATATGCAAATAAGAAAGAAGGCCTTCACAGACAATGAATGTGCTGGTACCTTGATCTTGGATCTCCTAACATCCAAAGCTGTGAGAAATAAATGTTGAATGTTTAAGTCATTCAGTCTAGGGTATTTTGTTATAGCTGCCCAAACTGAGTAAGACAGGGTGAATCCTTTAGAAAGATATAACAATTTTATACCTATATACACCCAGTAAATGGTTTTAAAGTATATGAAGCAAAAATCTTACAGAACCAGGAGAAACAGGAAAATCCACAGTCATTGTGGGATGCTTTCACATAGCTCTCTCAAAAGCTGGTAGAACAAGCAGACAAAACATTAGCAAGTATATAGAAGATCTGAACAATATGATTAACAAAATTTAACCTAACACACTATGTAGAACATTACAGCCAACAACAACAGAATATGCATTCAATTCAAGTGTACGTGGAACATTTATTAAAATTGACCATATGCTGAGCCATAAAGTATACATAAAGTTTTCAAAGGTTTAAAACCATACAGATTGTGTTCTCTGAAACAGTGAAATCCAGCTAGACATCAATGACAGTTAACTGGAAATCCCTCAACTGTTATTAAATTAAGCAATATAATTCTAAATACATTAGAGCTCAAATAAGAACTTGGAAACTAGATAGTATTTTGAATTGAATAATAACGAAAATATAACATTAAAATGCATAGCTTCTACTAAAGCTGTGCTTATAGAGAATTTTACAGTTTTGAAATGCATACTATTAGAAAATAAGGAAGGTTGGCCGGGCGCGGTGGCTCACGCCTGTAATCCCAGCTCTTTGGGAGGCCGAGGTGGTTAGATCACGAGGTCAGGAGATTGAGACCATCCTGGCTAACACGGTGAAACCCCGTCTCCACTAAAAAATACAAAAAAATTAGCAGGGCTTGGTGGCGGGTGCCTGTAGTCCCAGCTAGTCGGGAGGCTGAGGCAGGAGAATGGCGTGAACCTGGGAGGCAGAGCTTGCAGTGAGCTGACATCACACCACTGCACTCCAGCCTGCGCAACAGAGCGAGACCCTGTCTCAAAAAAAAAAAAAAAAAAAAAAAAAGAGAAAGAAAAAAAAAGGAAAAAGAAAAAGAAAAAAAGAAAAAAAAATTTATCTAAAAAAAACCTAGAAAAAACCCAGCAAAATAAATCTACAAAAGTAGAAGGAAGTAAATAATAAATGTAAGAAAAGAAATTAATTCAATAGCAAACAAGTGCACAATAGAGAGAACCAACACAACCAAAAGTGGGATCTTGGAAAATAATAATAAATTTGACAGGCCTCTAGCAAATAAATCAAAGGGAAAGAGAGAAAGAGGGAGATAGCATGAGCAAATGAGAGCAAGCAAGCACACAATTCCAACATCAGAAATGAAAAATGGACATTTCTACAGATTTCGTAGGCATGAGAAATATAAAAAGATGATATTAAACACAACCTGCCAATGTTGTATAGACTCAAAGCTACTAAATAAGTTGCTTCTGTAATTTAAAACCTTCCCATAAAGAAGTATTCAGGCCCAGATAACCTTATGGGTGAATTCTTTCAAATATTTAAGGAAGAGGCAACACTAATCTTACACAACTTCCTTAGAGAATATAAAAAGGTAAAATACTCCCAACTAATTTTAAGAGGCTAGCATTACCTTAGGTCCAAAGTTTGAAAATGACATTTAAGAAATGAAAATTATACGCCAATCTCTTTCAAAACCAGAAATGGAAGAATTCTAAACAAAATGTTAGCAAATTGAATTTATCAATGTATAAAAATACAATAATCATGACCAAATTGGCTTCTGTTGAGGTTGGTTTGACATTTGAAAATTAATCAGTGTAAATCATCACATTAACAGAAAAAATGAGAAAATCATATGACCTACTTATTGGATACAGAAAAAGCATTTGATGAGGCAAAGAATAGTTGTGATAAAAACTCTTAGCAAACTAAGAATGGAAAGAATTTCTTTTATCTGAGAAGGAGTATTTACAGAAAAACCTAAAGAAAATATAATAGTGAAGAGTAAAGTATTTAAAGACATCCCTTTGAGATGGGCAATGAGACAAAGTTCTCTTCTATCATCATTTCTACTCAACATTTTATTGGAGGTCCTATCCAGTCCAAAAAGGCAAGAAAAGGAAGAAGGAAGCTCACATCAGCTCAGATGACATGAGTGTGTATGTAGAAAATCAAAAGAGTTCATGAGCTATTAAAATTAATAACTGACTTTAAGCAAGGCTGCGAGATACGTGATCAAAATAAAAAAAGTAATTTGTATTTTATATACCAGAAACAAACATTTGCAAGTGAAAATTAAAAAGATAAAATTTACAATTGCATCAAAAACATCAAATAACTAGGAATAAATATAATAAAACATGGGCAAGATCACGTCAAAAAATTACAAATTATTATTGAGAGAAATTAAAGATAACCAAATTAGTAGAGGGATATAGCAAGAATTGGAAAACCCAGTATTGTAAAGATGTTTGTATCAGTCAGGTTTCAATCAGAGAGGCAGAACCACTAAGATAAGATAAACAAATAAATACACTTACGCATCTCATAACAAAGTTTTGGTCAATGACAGACTGCATATACAATGTTATAATGGAGCTGAAAACTTTATGCTGCCTAGTGATGCTGTAGCAGTGGTAATAGCGTAGAGCAAGCATATGCTCTTTAAATATGTTTAGATACACAAATATCATTGTGTTACCAATTCCCTGGAGTATTCAGTACAGTAACATACTGTACAGCTTTGTCGCCTAGGAGCAATAGGCTATACCATATAACCTAGCTGTGGAGTAGGCTGTACCATCTAGGTTTGCGTAAGTACACTCTATGATATTTATACAATGATGAAATTGCTTAATGACACATTTCTTAGAATGTATCGTCATCATTAAGCAACTCATGACTGTACACACATAAATGCAATGTGCACACACACACACTATATATATATATACATAAATATAAACACATGCATATGTATGTATGATTTGTTATAGGAATTTAACCTTGCACAATATAGGAGCTGGTAAAACAGCCTCTATAAGGCTGTTGTCTCTGTGTCCAATGCTGGACCTTGAAATCTGTATGACAGACAATTGAGAAGGAAAGAAGGATATTAGGGGGTAGAACAGAGGCAGAACCTGGATCAGCTTAAGTCTCATTGCCTCTAACCTTGGTGATGTGGGTGTCCAGCAGGAGAAACTAGTGCCACTTGCTAAGGAGTTGGAGGGGTTGAAAGAGGATTCAGAGTAATTTGGAGCAATTACAACCTGACTGTTGTTTCCACACCAACAAAGGTGAGCCAAGAGATTAGCTACAATGTACATGAGCTATAACAACGCCTGCTCTGACATGTGAACATAAAAATTATAGCTGCTACTTTACTTCTGCTCTCCAAATCTCTTGCAAGAAAGGCCTCCTATGGTCCACCCTAACCAAAAACCATCAGGGAAAAGAATTCTGGGAGATATAGTATTGCCTAGCTAAATCAATCCATCACAAAACAATTTTTTCCAAATGAATTTATTGGTTAATTCAATTTTAGTTAACAGTCCCAGTAGCTGTTTTTGTTCCTCCTGTGGAAATTTACAAATTTATCCTAAAATTCATCTAGAAATGCAAAGAACCAAGAACAGTCAAGACAATTCTGAAGAAGGCTGAGGACTTAGACTACCAGATATCGTGACTTGTTATATTGCTAAAATAACAAAGCTCATGGGCCTGAGGATAGACAAATAGACCAATGCAACAGAATAGAAAATCCAAAAACAAACCCACAATATATGCAGTTATCTGATTAATGACAAATATGAAACTGTAGTATAGTAATGAAATGAAAGTCTTCAATAAGTGGTGATGGGACAATTTGATATCCATATGAAAATGAATTTTTACCCTGCTCTCACTCAAAAGCAATTGCAGACATATTAGATATAGATATAAAAGGTTAAGTAATAAAACTCTGCAGGAGCATAGAGGCGATGTCTGAGAAGCAGGATCTAACACAGGAACAGACAGAGAAGCTGCTGCAGTTTTAGGATCTAACTGGCATAGAATCTATGGATCAGCATCACCAGACCTTGGAACAGCATAACTGGAACATACAGGTTGCTGAACAGGACAGCTTGAATGAGCGAGATGGTGTATGGAGTGTTTTCAACCCGCCTCCGTCCCCACCCCTGCAGGTTAATACAGCTGACCACAGGATCTACAGCTATGTTGTCTCAAGACCACAACCGAGGGGTCTGCTTGGATGGGGTTATTACTTGATAATGCTTCCATTCCAGTCTACCTATTACACAATACTTGATATATTTAGGTTTGCCCTTTGTTTTATATGGCTTGACCTTCGCAGCCAGATCACTGACCCTGTTGGGTACATTGTTTCATTTATGCTAGCGTTTGAATAGAAATATGGGAGGGCACACCTTGTCTTCTAGCCCAGAACACACAGCCAGGCACTTAATGATGCCAAGCTGGAGCTTCGCTCTTTGGTTTATCTTCTTGGAGATGATCAACAGGTCTCTGATAAGTTTTGTTGCAACACACTCTGTGAACCCAAAGTTATTTCACTAAAATTCTTTCTCTAGGATGCTCTTCTGGGCATGCTCTACAAACAAATCTGAGGGATACAGGATCTTGCGGGCGTTATGAGAGAACACCTATCCATTCCTGGCCATGGTGATGCTGAAGGATCAGCGGATGACTGTGGTGGGATGGCTAGAAGGCCTCCTTCAACTGGATGACCTCATTAACCAACTGACATCTATCATGGATACAAACCAGACTTACCTGGTGTCAGAATGCCTGGAAAGGGAAGAAAGAAACCAGACCCAGGTGTTGAGACAAAAGCAGGATGAGGCCTACCTGGCTTCTCCCAGGGCTGACCAGGAGAAAGAAATGAAGAAATGGGAGGAGTGGGAGCTTAAGCAGCAGAAGGAGGAGGAGGTGCAAGAGCAAAAGCTGGCAGAGAAGAGATGGTAGCAGAATTTACATGAGGAAAAGGAAAGGAAGTTGGAATGCCTGCCCCTGAAATTTCCCCGATGACCCTGAAAATGTCAAGATTATCTTCAAATTACACAGTGATTCTCAAGTAGAGAGATGATTCCACTTTTCATAGTCTCTAACAATAATCCATGACTTCTTATTCTCCTTGAAAAAAAGCCCTGAAAAGCTTCCAATTGAAGCCAATTTTTCCAGGCAAGTGCTGCCCAATTTCCCTATGCTGCAGGAGGTTGGACTCAGCCATACAGGAGTTCTGTTTGTTCAGGATCTAATAGACAAATGACATTTTTTCTTCCCCTCCCCTCCTACTCCCATCCCTAAACGAAACAGAAAAACACACAAACAAACAAAACAGAAAAAAAAACAACCAAGAGAGAGAAATTCATATTATTATTATACAATATATTTTTTAAAAGACTACTGCATCCAAAGGAAGGATCAGAAGCCATGTTGCCTGCAAGACATCACAACCTGTTTGTGCGTACACAAGGTTAGCAATGAACGTACCCACTCAGCAAGCTCAGCTTTTCTCGATGGCCTCTGCACATGCACCATCCAGTAAACAGAGACTCTTCCCCTTCAACTCATACATTGTCCCAACTGGGGAAGGGGACATTCCCACAAATTCTCATTGATTCTTGGTTTTATGGAAAATAAAGTGAAAAACTTCCATCAACCAGCTACTTGCAGCATCTTCTGAGGACTTGCTTCTCCCACCTCTGGAGAGGAGAGGGAAGAGAAAGTACACAGCAGAGATGTTCCTTGAACTGCCACAATTTATGAATAATTTTGTTTCTGTTTTGCAATGACCAAGGGGGCTGAAAAAAAAATTCCAAGAAGAAGGCACAGATGAATATATTCATGAAATTGGAATAGGCAATGATTTTCTAAAATTATTTCCATAGATTTAGGGGGTATAAGTGCAGTTTTGTAACATGGATATATTGTGTAGTGGTGAACTTTAGGCTTTTAGTGTACCCATGACCTGAATAGTGAACATTGTACCCAGTAGGTAATTTTTCAACCTTTACCCCCTCTGCCACTCTCTCACCTTTAAAAAAATTTATTTATTTATTTATTTTGAGACAAGAGTCTTACTCTGTCGCCCAGGCTGGAGTGCAATGGCATGATCTTGGCTCATTACAACCTTTGCCTCCTGGGGTCAAGTGATTCTCTGCCTCAGCCTCCCAAGAAGCTGGGATTATAGGCATCTGCCACCATGCCCAGCTAATTTTTGTATTTTTAGTAGAGGTGGGGTTTCACCATGTTGGCCAGGCTGGTCTCAAACTACTGGCCTCAAGCAATCTGACCGCCTTGGCCTCCCAAAGTGCTGGGATTATAGGCGTGAGCCACCGCACCTGGCCCCTCTCACCCTTTGGAGTCTCCAATGTCTATTATTGCCCTCTGATGTCCATGTATACCTTCTGTTTAACTCCCACTTAGACGTGAGAACATGCTATATTTGACTTTCTGTTTCTGAGTTATTTTATTTAGAATAATGGCCTCCAGCTCCATCCATGTTGATGCAAAATACATGATTTCATTATTTTTATGGTTGCATAGTATTCCATGGTATATATATGTCACATTTTCTTTATCCAATCATCTATTGGTGAACACTTAGACTTATTTCATGACTTTGTTATTGTGAATGGTGCTGCAGTAAACATATGAGTGCAGGTGTCTTTTTGATATAATGATTTCTTTTCATTTGGGTAGACATCTAGTGGTATTGCTGGTTTGAATGGTAGTTCTATTTTCAGTTTTATTTGAGAAATCTCCATACTGTTTTCCATAGAGATTGTACCAATTTACATTCTCACCAACAATGTATATGCATTCCCTTTTTGTCACATTCTCACTGATATCTGTTTTTTGACTCTTTAATAATAACTATTCTGACTGATGTAAGATGGTATCTCATTGTAGTTTTAATTTGCATTTCAATGATGACTAGTGATGTTGAGCTTTTTTACCTGTTTGTGGGCTGCTTGTAAATCTTCTTTTGAAAAATATCTGTTCATGTCTTTTGCCCATTTTTAATGGGGTTATCTATTTTTTTCTTGTTGAGTTTGATTTCCTTGTAGATTCTAGATATTAGCCCTTCGTCAGATGCATAGTTTACAAACATTTTTTTTCCCATTGTGTAGGTTGCCTGTTTACTCTGTTAATTATTTCTTTTGCTATATGGAAGCTTTTAGTTCAATTAAGTCCCATGTGTCTATATCTGTTTTTGTTGTATTTGTTTTTGATGACAGTCAGAAATTCTTTGCCTAGGCCAACATTTAGAAGAGTTTTTCTGAGGTGTTCTTCTAGGATTTTTATAGTTTCAGGTCTTATATTTAAGTCTTTAATCTATCTTGAGTTAATTTTTACATATGGTGAGAGATATGAGTCCAGTTTCCTTCTTCTGCATATGGTTATTCAATGTTCCCAGAATCATTTATTGAAAAGTGTGTCTTTTTCGCAGTGCATGTTTTTGTTGACTTTGTCTGTTGTAGATGTCGTTTATTCCTGGTCTCTGTTCTGTTCCATTGATCTATGTGTCTATTTTATACCAGTGTCATGGTGTTTTGGTTAATATAGCGTCGTAGTATAATTTCAAGTCAGGTAAGGTGATGCTTTATTCTAGCTTTGTTCTCTTTGCTTAGGATTTCTTTGGCTATTCAGGCTCTTTTTGCATTCCATTGGAATTTTAGGATTTTTTTTCCCCTAATTCCATGACAAATGACATTGGTAATTTGATAGGAATTGCATTTAATATGTAGATTGTTTTGGATAGTATGATCATTTTAACAATATTGATTTTTCCAATTCACAAGCATGGGATGTTTTTCCATTTGTTTGTGTCACCTACAATTTCTTTCATCAGTGTTTTGTAGTTCTTCTCATAAAGATCTTTTACCCCCTTGGTTAAATGTATTTCTAGGTATTTTATTTTATTTTTCTAGCTACTGTAAAAGGGATTGAGTTCTTAATTTGGTTCTCAGCTTGATTTTATTGGTGGATAGACATGCTGCTGATTTTTGTATCTTGATTTTGTATCCTGAAATTTGACTGAAGTCATTAATCAAATTTAAAACTCTTTGGAGGAGTGTTAGGATTTTTCTAGAGATAAGATCATATCATCAGTGAACAGAGATACTTTGACTTCCTCTTTCTAATTTGGATGCCTTTTATTTCTTTCCGTAGGTAGGATTCCACTACCATGTTGAATAGGAGTGGTAAAAGTGGGCATCCTTGTCTTGTTCCAGTTCTTAGGGAGAATGCTTTTAGCTTTTCTATATTCAGTGTGATGTTGGCTGTGGGTTTGTCATATACGGCTTTTATTATTTTGATATATGTTCCTTTGATGCCTAGTTTGTTGAGGGCTTTTATCATGAAGAAATAATGAATTTTATCAAATGCTTTTTCTGCATCTGTTGAGATGATCATGTGATTTTTGTTTTTAATTCTGTTAGTGTGGTGTATCCCATTTATTGATTTGTGTATGTTGAACCATCCTTGCATCCTTGGAATAAAACCCATCATGATGTTCTTTTTGATGTGCTGTTGGTTTGCTAGTATTTTGTTGAGGATTTTGCGTCTATGTTTATCAGGGATATTGGCCTATAGTTTTCTTTTTTTGTTGTGTCCTTGCCTGGCTTTGTTATCAGGGTGATACTGGCTTTGTAGAATGAGTAAGGGAGGATTCCCTCCTCAGCATTTGGAACAGTTTCAGTAGGATTGGTACTACTTCTTTGTACATCTGGCAAAATTTGGCTGTGAATCCCTCTTGTCCTGGATTTTTGTTATTGTTGTCAGGAGATTTTTAAAAAATTACTGATTCAGTTTAACTACTTGCCATTTGTCTGCTCAAGATTTCTATGTCTTCCTGGTTCAATCTTGAGAAGTTGTATGTTTACAGGAATTTGTCTGTTTTCTCTAGGTTTTCTAGTTTGTGCACATAGGGGTGCTAATAATAGTCTCTGATGATCTTCTGTATTTCTGTATTGTCCATTGTAATGTCTCCTTTATAATTTCTGATTGTGCTTATTTGAATCTTCTCTATTTTTTTCTTGATTAACCTAGCAAGGAGTATATCAGCCTGTTTACCTTTTCAAATAACCAACTTTTTGTTGATCCTTTGTTTCTTTTTTTGATCTCAATTTCTCTGATCTTTGTTATTTCTTTTCTTAGGCTAGATTTCGGTGTGGTTTGTTCTTGTTTTTCTAGTTCCTTGAGTTGCAACATTTGGTTGTTAATTTGAGATCTTCCTGTCTTTTTGATGTAGGCAAGCTACAAACTTCCTTGTCAGTGCTGTCAGTGGGGTGTTGAAATTCCCCATTATTATTGTATTGCTGTCTATCTCTTTTCTTATGTCTAGTAGTATTTGTTTTATGAATCTAGGTACTTTGGTGTTGGGTGCATATATATTTAGAATTGTTACATTTTCTTGTTGAATTCTTTTATCATTTTATAATGACCTTCTTTGTCTTTTTTTCCTGTTGTTGGTTTAAAGTCTGTTTTATCTGATGTGAGTATAGCCACTACTGCTTTCTTTGTTTTCTGTTTGTGTGGAATGTCTTTTTCCACTCCTTTACTTTGAGTTTGTAAATATCTTTACCCATTAGGTGGGTTTCTTGTAAGCAGTATTTGGTTGGATTTTATTTTTTATCCACTCTTCCAGTGTATGTCTTTTAAGTGGAGCATTTAGTCCATTTACATTCAAGGTTAATATTGATATATGAATTTTTTTCCCATTATGATGTTAATTGTTACCTAGTTGCTTTGTAGTCTCAATTGTGAAATTGCTTTATAAGACCTGTGAGCTTTATACGTTTGTGTGCTTTTATGATGATGAGTATTGCCTTTTCATTTCCATGTTTAGAACTCCTTTGAACATTTTTTGTACAACTGGTCTAGTGTTGATGGATTTCCTTAGCATTGACTTGTCTGGGAAATACTTTAGTTATTCTTTATTTATAAAGCTTAGTTTAGTAGGATAAAAAATTCTTGGCCAGCAGTTCCTTTTTTTGGAGATGGAGTCTTACTCTGTCGCCCAGGCTGGAGTGCAGTGGTGTGATCTTGGCTCACTGCAATCTCCGCCTCCTGGGCTCAAGCAAGTCTCCTGCCTCAGCCTCTCAAGTAGCTGGGATTATGGGTGCACACCACCATGCCTGGCTAATTGCCAGCAGTTCTTTTCTTTAAGAGAACTGAAAATAGGACCCTAATCTCTTCTAGCTTATAAGATTTCTGCTGAGAAGTTGCTAGTCTGATGAGATTTTCTTTTTTTTTTTGAGATGGAGTCTTGCTCTGTAGCCCAGACTGCAGTGGTGTGATCTCGGCTCACTGCAACCTTCACCTCCTGAGTTCAAGTAATTCTCCTGCCTCAGCCTCCCTAGTAGCTAGGATTACAGGCCGCACCACCATGCCTGGCTAATTTTTGTATTTTTAGTAGAGATGGAGTTTCACCATGTTGGCCAGGCTGCTCTCGAACTCCTGACCTCAGGTGATCCACCTGCCTCCGCCTGCGTCTGCCTCCCAAAGTGTTGGGATTACAGGTGTGAGCCACCTCACCCAGCCAGGATTTTCTTTATAGGTGATTAGTTGCCTCTCTCTTGCTGCTTTTAGAATTTGTTCCTTCACACTGACTTTGGATAGTCTGATGACTATCTGGGCAAAGATTTTAAAAAGAGGACCTAAAGAATGTGCTAACCATAAAAGATAAAATTAATAAACTGAACTTTACTCATCAAAGATAATGTTAAGACCATAACTGGTCAAGCCCCAGAGTAGAAGATAATTATAATATATTTATATCTTACCACTGACTCACACAAATTAATAAAGAAAAGATAGAAAATATGTGTTTTTTTTTGGAAACAGGGTCTTGCCCTATGGCCCAGGCTGGAGGGAAGTGGTGCAATTATAGCTCACTTCAGCCTCAAACTCCTGAGCTCAAGCAATCCTCTCAGCTTGGTCTCCCAAAGTGTTGGGATTACAGGCATGAGCCATTGTACCTAGCCTGAAAATATTATACAAAATGAAGAAAAGATTGGAACATTCTTAACCAATAAGCATATAAACAATTTCATTAGTTTTCAGGGAAAAGCAATTTAAAACTATAATGAGATATCACTATATACCCACCAGAATGGCTACTGTTTAAAGGACTGACAATACCAAGTGCTGAGGAGGAAATGGAATAGTGGAGTTCGTATCCTGCTTGTGGGAGTGTGGATTGGTACAACTACTTCAGAAAATTGGCAGTATTTACTAAAGCTGAACATATGCAAATGTCATGACTCAGCAATTCCACTTCTAAGTATATGCTCACTCAAAGAAATGCATACACATATTGATTCAGTGTATATATAGAAACTTCATAACAGCACTATTCATAATAGCTCCAAACTGGACACCACACAAATGATCATGAATAAGTAAGTTGTGATGCATAGCAGTGAAAACAAAGTAGATGATTCTCATCAACACAATGAAAAGCCAAACAAGTGGGATGAGTCATATAAACTTCAAAACAGGCGAAAGCCATCTCTGTGGTATTAGATGTCAGAATAATGGTCACCACTTCGGTGAGGTGATTAGGAACGTCTGGGCGGCTGGTAGTGTTCTAGTTCTTGATCTAGGTGCTGGTTATTTGGATGTAACTAAACAAATAGCAAATAAAATTTAAAAAGGTAAAATATACAATTGCACAAAAACGTTTATGTTAATTTCACTTTGCGAACATCAGTCAAGCTATATGCTTACAATTTGTGCACTTTTCTTTAGTTTTGTTATACCTCAATAAAAAGTTTACTGAAAAACAACCAACCACCCAACCAATCCTCTCTGCACTTGGTGCTGAATTTTTGTACTAATCAAATAACAAGGAATCAAATACTAAGGAAATAACAAAACATGTGAGTGGAAGAAACAATTTCCTTGATACAGTAGAAATTGTAGCTTATAACAAATTCTATTCAATGTATCATATTTTAACTTTAAAATACCTTTATGACCTAGAGAAAGGTGTGAAACAAATTCCAAATATAAGTAGTGATAGCCAATCTCTTTTCTTAAATATTAAAGAACACAATTTTTATAACCAACAAGTAACTTTTGATCTGACAATATAAACAATTACACTGAGATAATTTTTATATATGTCTTTCAGTCTCCAGGGCAAAATTCCTTACATGTTTTAGAAAATTTTCAGCCTGAAACAAATAAAATTTCTCTCATTATTTTCTAGAACACATTACATTTTTATCATATTGACTTTTTGCAATGCGGGGGTGAACAAATAAAGTAATACATGAACATTTTGTAGGAGTGAGCCTATTAAATGGCTGCATATATGCTTGCCTCTGTAAAAGGTAAGCTTTAAAACTTGAAAACTGCTGCAAGTTGGCATAGCTCTTACAGTTCTTGGTAAAGACAGCCATCTAGTGGAAATAGTTCTATTGACTTTTGAAGGCTGGCAAATAGAATGAATATGAACCCTCAGTTCAACTTAAACTTCAATGTTGGTTTAAGGCTTAAGAAGAGGTAATCCATCTTAACAGGACATTTATAAAGTTTGGGGCATTTTTGGGGCAAATCATAATTTGCATTTGGAAAGTATTTTAATAATGTTCACAAGGTAAAATTCATTCATTTTCGTGAACTAATTATGGACAACATGTTAATAAAATTTCAACTAATTCTAAAAAAAAAAAAAAAAAAAGGAGAGGTATTAAAAAAAAGATCCAGTATTTGGATGCTCCTTATCTTGTGTCCAGGTCTGGAACTGGGGAGGGAGTGTAGGTTGTGGGGTAGGGAAAAAAATTGGTACTTTGGTCTAGGGAGGAATAGAGTGCCATTAGAATAAAGAGAGCGCTGGACTCAAAGATGCCTTGCTTTGGACTGTATTGAATGCTCTCTCTAGGTGGCAGAAAGAAGACAATTTGGTAGGATAGCAGGAAGTTGGTTTTGTTTTTTTTTTTAATGTAAGCTGAACAACCATGCCTAGTTGTGGTGTAGGAAGTTTAGTTAGTTGGTAGCCATCAGCTCAGTAAGAGTTCTAGAATAAGTATTCCTTTAAGTTGATGGTTTAAATAACTAGAGCCTTGCAATAGATCAAAAGCACACTACAGGCTCTGATTATGAGAAGGAATGGTATGAAGCAAAGAGTCTGAATTAGAACTGTGAAGACGTGAGTTAGGTATGCTTCTGGTGTGTATAATCTT
The DNA here is from genome assembly GCF_000001405.40 of Homo sapiens. Taxonomy (NCBI): domain Eukaryota; kingdom Metazoa; phylum Chordata; class Mammalia; order Primates; family Hominidae; genus Homo; species Homo sapiens. The sequence continues at coordinate 91,757,968 of NC_000010.11, read as the reverse complement.
ATGACTTTGCTTATTTTACTTACCCGAATTACACTTTTCTTATTTATAAAAACTGTAGAGTAACAAAATCCACTCCAATGACTTGTGCCCAGGGAGAGAGCAACTCTCTTTTTTTGGTTTGTTGGAGTCAGTTGTGATTTAGTGATACCCAGAGACACCTAGTAAAATTCTCTCATTATGGCTTATCATTAATGTGTTTCTCTAACTTTTAACAGGTTTGATGATGGATGCCCTGAACTGTAGGTCAGGTTTTAAATGCAGGCTTTTTCTTACCTTTTATGTTCTTCTAAATTAGAAAATGCTAATTCATAATTGTAAGTCATTAAAAGAGCAAATATTTGAAGGCTTTGTCAGATAGTTTTGGACTTTTGAGTTGCATATTAATCCAGAAATTGTGGAGAGATTTTTCTCTGAGCAGCACATTTGGTTCTCTTCTTGTTCAGATGCCGATATTTCAAATGTTTCAAATATTTGAATGTCTAATAACACTCTGCTTGTGTGTGCGTCTAAGAAATATTTCTTGATATTCTGTTGCAGTGTTTGGTTGTAGTTTTAAAATATGCTTTTGCTCTATCCATAGCTAGTATTCTATCACTACCAAATTATTGATACAGTTTCCATTTCACATCACAGATGGACACAAAATAGATGTTAAACATGTTCTCTTCCTCTGTAGCATGCATTTTCAGTGGTAAACACATAAAGTCATGAGGTCCTTCCTATATCAGGGTCCCCAATCTCTATGCTGTGGAATGGTACAAGTCAGTGGTCTGTTAGGAACTGGGTTGCACAACAGGAGGTGAGCAGCTGGTAAGTGAGCATTACCAGTTGAGATTTGCTTCCTTTCAGATCATTGGCAGCATCAGATTCTCACAGGAGTGCGAACCCTATTGCGAACGGTGCATGCAAGGGATCTAGGTTGCATGCTCCTTATGAGAATCTAATGCCTGATGATCTGAGGTGGAAGAGTTTCATCCCGAAACCATCCCCCCATCCCCATCTGTGGAAAAATTGTCTTCCGTGAAACTGACCCCTGGTGCCAAAAAGGTTGGGGGCCATTAATCTATATAATATATATAATGTTAAGAGGTTGCCATGGCTTGAATATTTGTCACTTCCAAAACTCATGTTGAAATTTAATCCCCAATGTGGCAGTATTGAGAGGTAGGATATTTAAGGGGTGATTGAACCTTGAGGGCTCTGCTCTTATGAATGGATTAATCCATTTATGGATTAATGGATTAGAGGGTTAATGGATTAATAGGTTATCATGGGAATGGAACTGGTGGCTTTATAAAAAGAGGAAGAGAGACCTGAGTATAGCGCATTAACATGTTCAGTCTCCTTACCATGTGATCTCCTGTACCACCACTGGGCTCTGTACAGGATTCCCACCAGCAAGAAAGCTCTCACCAGATGTGGCCCCTTGACCTTGGACTTCTCAGCCTCCAGAACTTAAGAAACAAATTCCTTTTCTCTACAAATTACCCCGTTTCAAGTATTTTGTTATAAGCACAGAAAATGAACTAAGACAGAGGTGACTCATCATTTCAGTGGTTTTGAGCAACTATGTAGAATGAAGTACATTCTAGCACAGATATGTGATAGTAATTACCTTCCATATAGCTATATTTCAGATACTCAGAGTTCAATAGTGTTATCTGACAAATTTTGCTAATAGCTCATTATGCTTTCTAGAAGAAAAACATCAATTTCATTGATTATGGCTATTACTACAAACTTCTTACCAATACTATAACTTATACCTGTTTTTACTGTAAGGAATGAAACTTTGAATGATGTTTCTGTAATTCGGTCTCTTTTGTGCCTTTTGTAATCAAGATTCCTCAATTTAAGACTGGAAAGCATTATCTTGTGCATATTTGGTTACTGGAGAGATCATGGTGCTTTAACTGAAAATGACCCTAATATTTCAAAGTCATAAACCAGTTGATGAATTTTCATAAGAGATAATGTTCTGGAGACTAAGAGCAAATGGCTCATCAGTTCTCAAAAATTCTATCTTCAGATGCCAATCATCATACTTAGTGGAACTTGTCTTTTAAAGCTTCTGTATGGAAAAATTACACTCAGATGTACCTGAACCAATTCTAGTTCTGTATTCACACTATAGATTTGTGATACAATTCATAATGGTAATATTTTTGTTATAATTTTAATCACTATTTTTATACCTTAGTGAACCATTGTTGAGCTTCAATGTATGTTTTCAAATCAGGGATATTACTCAATATAATAGAAAAAACTGCACATTTTACAAACATAAAAATTAATGCCATATCATGTTTAAAAAGTTAGTTTTTTTAAAATTTATTATTATTATACTTTAAGTTTTAGGGTACATGTGCACAATGTGCAGGTTAGTTACATATGTATACATGTGCCATGCTGGTGCGCTGCACCCACTAACTCGTCATCTAGCATTAGGTATATCTCCCAGTGCTATCCCTACCCCCTCCCCCCACCCCACAACAGTCCCCAGAGTGTGATGTTCCCCTTCCTGTGTCCATGTGTTGTTCTCATTGTTCAATTCCCACCTATGAGTGAGAATATGCGGTGTTTGGTTTTTTGTTCTTGTGATAGTTTACTGAGAATGATGATTTCCAATTTCATCCATGTCCCTACAAAGGACGTGAACTCATCATTTTTTATGGCTGCATAGTATTCCATGGTGTATATGTGCCACATTTTCTTAATCCAGTCTATCATTGTTGGATATTTGGGTTGGTTCCAAGTCTTTGCTATTGTGAATAATGCCGCAATAAATATACATGTGCATGTGTCTTTATAGCAGCATGATTTATAGTCCATTGGGTATATACCCAGTAATGGGATGGCTGGGTCAAATGGTATTTCTAGTTCTAGATCCCTGAGGAATCGCCACACTGACTTCCACAATGGTTGAACTAGTTTACAGTCCCACCAACAGTGTAAAAGTGTTCCTATTTCTCCACATCCTCTCCAGCACCTGTTGTTTCCCGACTTTTTAATGATTGCCATTCTAACTGGTGTGAGATGGTATCTCACTGTGGTTTTGATTTGCATTTCTCTGATGGCCAGTGATGGTGAGCATTTTTTCATGTGTTTTTTGGCTGCATAAATGTCTTCTTTTGAGAAGTGTCTGTTCACGTCCTTCACCCACTTTTTGATGGGGTTGTTTGTTTTTTTCTTGTAAATTTGTTTGAGTTCATTGTAGATTCTGGATATTAGCCCTTTGTCAGATGAGTAGGTTGCAAAAATTTTCTCCCATTTTGTAGGTTGCCTGTTCACTCTGATGGTAGTTTCTTTTGCTGTGCAGAAGCTCTTTAGTTTAATTAGATCCCATTTGTCAATTTTGTCTTTTGTTGCCATTGCTTTTGGTGTTTTAGACATGAAGTCCTTGCCCATGCCTATGTCCTGAATGGTAATGCCTAGGTTTTCTTCTAGGGTTTTTATGGTTTTAGGTCTAATGTTTAAGTCTTTAATCCATCTTGAATTGATTTTTGTATAAGGTGTAAGGAAGGGATCAGTTTCAGCTTTCTACATTTGGCTAGCCAGTTTTCCCAGCACCATTTATTAAATAGGGAATCCTTTCCCCATTGCTTGTTTTTCTCAGGTTTGTCAAAGATCAGATAGTTGTACATATGCGGTGTTATTTCTGAGGCCTCTGTTCTGTTCCATTGATCTATATCATCTATATCTCTGCTTTGGTACCAGTACCATGCTGTGTTGGTTACTGTAGCCTTGTAGTATAGTTTGAAGTCAGGTAGTGTGATGCCTCCAGCTTCGATCTTTTGGCTTAGGATTGACTTGGTGATGCGGGCTCTTTTTTGGTTCCGTATGAACTTTAAAGTAGTTTTTTCCAATTCTGTGAAGAAAGTCATTGGTAGCTTGATGGGGATGGCATTGAATCTGTAAATTACCTTGGGCAGTATGGCCATTTTCACGATATTGATTCTTCCTACCCATGAGCATGGAATGTTCTTCCATTTGTTTGTATCCTCTTTTATTTCGTTGAGCAGTGGTTTGTAGTTCTCCTTGAAGAGGTCCTTCACGTCCCTTGTAAGTTGGATTCCTAGGTATTTTATTCTCTTTGAAGCAATTGTGAATGGGAGTTTACTCATGATTTGGCTCTCTGTCTGTTGTTGGTGTATAAGAATGCTTGTGACTTTTGTACATTGATTTTGTATCCTGAGACTTTGCTGAAATTGCTTATCAGCTTAAGGAGATTTTGGGCTGAGATGATGGGGTTTTCTAGATATACAATCATGTCATCTGCAAACAGGGACAATTTGACTTCCTCTTTTCCTAATTGAATACCCTTTATTTCCTTCTCCTGCCTAATTGCCCTAGCCAGAACTTCCAACACTATGTTGAATAGGAGTGGTGAGAGAGGGCATCCCTGTCTTGTGCCAGTTTTCAAAGGGAATGCTTCCAGTTTTTGCCCATTCAGTATGATATTGGCTGTAGGTTTGTCATAGATAGCTCTTATTATTTTGAAATACATCCCATCAATACCTAATTTATTGAGAGTTTTTAGCATGAAGGCTTGTTGAATTTTGTCAAAGGCCTTTTCTGCATCTATTGAGATAATCATGTGGTTTTTGTCTTTGGTTCTGTTTATATGCTGGATTACATTTATTGATTTGCGTATATTGAACCAGCCTTGCATCCCAGGGATGAAGCCCACTTGATCATGGTGGAGAAGCTTTTTGATGTGCTGCTGGATTCGGTTTGCCAGTATTTTATTGAGGATTTTTGCATCGATGTTCATCAAGGATATTGGTCTAAAATTCTCTTTTTTGGTTGTGTCTCTGCCCGGCTTTGGCATCAGGATGAAGCTGGCCTCATCAAATGAGTTAGGGAGGATTCCCTCTTTTTCTATTCATTGGAATAGTTTCAGAAGGAATGGTACCAGTTCCTCCTTGTACCTCTGGTAGAATTCAGCTGTGAATCCATCTGGTCCTGGACTCTTTTTGGTTGGTAAGCTATTGATTATTGCCACAATTTCAGATCCTGTTATTGGTCTATTCAGAGATTCAACTTCTTCCTGGTTTAGTCTGGGGAGAGTGTATGTGTCGAGGAATTTATCCATTTCTTCTAGATTTTCTAGTTTATTTGCGTAGAGGTGTTTGTAGTATTCTCTGATGGTAGTTTGTATTTCTGTGGGATCAGTGGTGATATCCCCTTTATCATTTTTTATTGCATCTATTTGATTCTTCTCTCTTTTTTTCTTTATTAGTCTTGCCAGCGGTCTATCAATTTTGTTGATCCTTTCAAAAAACCAGCTCCTGGATTCATTAATTTTTTGAAGGGTTTTTTGTGTCTCTATTTCCTTCAGTTCTGCTCTGATTTTAGTTATTTCTTGCCTTCTGCTAGCTTTTGAATGTGTTTGCTCTTGCTTTTCTAGTTCTTTTAATTGTGATGTTAGGGTGTCAATTTTGGATCTTTCCTGCTTTCTCTTGTGGGCATTTAGTGCTATAAATTTCCCTCTACACACTGCTTTGAATGCGTCCCAGAGATTCTGGTATGTTGTGTCTTTGTTCTCGTTGGTTTCAAAGAACATCTTTATTTCTGCCTTCATTTCGTTATGTACCCAGTAGTCATTCAGGAGCAGGTTGTTCAGTTTCCATGTAGTTGAGTGGTTTTGAGTGAGATTCTTAATCCTGAGTTCTAGTTTGATTGCACTGTGGTCTGAGAGACAGTTTGTTATAATTTCTGTTCTTTTACATTTGCTGAGGAGAGCTTTACTTCCAAGTATGTGGTCAATTTTGGAATAGGTGTGGCGTGGTGCTGAAAAAAATGTATATTCTGTTGATTTGGGGTGGAGAGTTCTGTAGATGTCTATTAGGTCCGCTTGGCGCAGAGCTGAGTTCAATTCCTGGGTATCCTTGTTGACTTTCTGTCTCGTTGATCTGTCTAATGTTGACAGTGGGGTGTTAAAGTCTCCCATTGTTATTGTGTGGGAATCTAAGTCTCTTTGTAGGTCACTCAGGACTTGCTTTGTGAATCTGGATGCTCCTGTATTGGGTGCATATATATTTAGGATAGTTAGCTCTTCTTGTTGAATTGATCCCTTTACCATTATGTAATGGCCTTGTCTCTTTTGATCTTTGTTGGTTTAAAGTCTGTTTTACCAGAGACTAGGATTGCAACCCCTGCCTTTTTTTGTTTTCCATTTGCTTGGTAGATCTTCCTCCATCTTTTCATTTTGAGCCTATGTGTGTCTCTGCATGTGAGATGGGTTTCCTGAATACAGCACACTGATGGGTCTTGACTCTTTATCCCAGTCTGTGTCTTTTAATTGGAGCATTTAGTCTATTTACATTTAAAGTTAATATTTTTATGTGTGAATTTGATCCTGTCATTATGATGTTAGCTGGTTATTTTGCTCGTTAGTTGATGCAGTTTCTTCCTAGTTTTGATGGTCTTTACATTTTGGCATGATTTTGCAGCAGCTGGTACTGGTTGTGCCTTTCCATGTTTAGTGCTTCCTGCAGGAGCTCTTTTAGGGCAGGCCTGGTGGTGACAATATCTCTCAGCATTTGCTTGTCTGTAAAATATTTTATTTCTCCTTCACTTAGGAAGCTTAGTTTGGCTGGATATGAAATTCTGGGTTGAAAATTCTTTTCTTTAAGAATGTTGAATATTGGCCCCCACTCTCTTCTGGCTTGTAGAGTTTCTGCCGAGAGATCTGCTGTTAGTCTGATGGGCTTCCCTTTGTGGGTAACCCGACCTTTCTCTGGCTGCCCTTAACATTTTTTCCTTCATTTCAACTTTGGTCAATCTGACAATTATGTGTCTTGGAGTTGCTCTTCTCGAGGAGTATCTTTGTGGCGTTCTCTGTATTTCCTGAATCTGAATGTTGGCCTGCCTTGCTAGACTGGGGAAGTTCTCCTGGATAATATCCTGCAGAGTGTTTTCCAACTTGGTTCCATTCTCCCCGTCGCTTTCAGGTACACCAATCAGACGTAGATTTGGTCTTTTCACATAGTCCCATATTTCTTGGAGGCTTTGCTCGTTTCTTTTTATTCTTTTTTCTCTAAACTTCCCTTCTCGCTTCATTTCATTCATTTCATCTTTCATCGCTGGTACCCTTTCTTCCAGTTGATTGCATTGGCTCCTGAAGCTTCTGCATTCTTCACGTAGTTCTCGAGCCTTGGTTTTCAGCTCCATCAGCTCCTTTAAGTACTTCTCTGTATTGGTTATTGTAGTTATACATTCTTCTAAATTTTTTTCAAAGTTTTCAACTTCTTTGCCTTTGGTTTGAATGTCCTCCTGTAGCTCAGAGTAATTTGATCTTCTGAAGCCTTCTTCTCTCAGCTCGTCAAAGTCATTCCCTGTCCAGCTTTGTTCCGTTGCTGGTGAGGAACTGCCTTCCTTTGGAGGAGGAGAGGTGCTCTGCTTTTTAGAGTTTCCAGTTTTTCTGCTCTGTTTTTTCCCCATCTTTGTGGTTTTATCTACTTTTGGTCTTTGATGATGGTGATGTACAGATGGGTTTTTGGTGTGGATGTCCTTTCTGTTTGTTAGTTTTCCTTCTAACAGACAGGACCCTCAACTGCAGGTCTGTTGGAGTACCCGGCCGTGTGAGGTGTCAGTCTGCCCCTGCTGGGGGGTGCCTCCCAGTTAGGCTGCTCGGGGGTCAGGGGTCAGGGACCCATTTGAGGAGGCAGTCTGCCCGTTCTCAGATCTCCAGCTGGGTGCTGGGAGAACCACTGCTCTCTTCAAAGCTGTCAGACAGGGACATTTAAGTCTGCAGAGGTTACTGCTGTCTTTTTGTTTGTCTGTGCCCTGCCCCCAGAGGTGGAGCCTACAGAGGCAGGCAGGCCTCCTTGAGCTGTGGTGGGCTCCACCCAGTTCGAGCTTCCCGGCTGCTTTGTTTACCTAAGCAAGCCTGGGCAATGGCGGGCGCCCCTCCCCCAGCCTCGCTGCCGCCTTGCAGTTTGATCTCAGACTGCCGTGCTAGCAATCAGTGAGACTCCATGGGCGTAGGACCCTGCGAGCCAGGTGCAGGATATAATCTCCTAGCGCACCATTTTTTAAGCCTGTTGGAAAAGCGCAGTATTCGGGTGGGAGTGACCCGATTTTCCAGGTGCCGTCTGTCACCCCTTTCTTTGACTAGGAAAGGGAACTCCCTGGCCCCTTGCACTTCCCGAGTGAGGCAATGCCTCACCCTGCTTCGGCTCGCGCACGGTGCGCGCACCCACTGGCCTGCGCCCACTGTCTGGCACTCCCTAGTGAGATGAACCCAGTACCTCAGATGGAAATGCAGAAATCACCTGTCTTCTGCGTCGCTCATGCTGGGAGCTGTAGATCGGAGCTGTTCCTATTCGGCCATCTTGGCTCCGCCCTCCAAAAAGTTAGTTTTGATAAACTTCATTTACTTAATTTTTATCTAAGATTAGTATAGTCCTTGTAGCATATATGAAAACTTAAAAAAAAAACAGATTGGCCTTTAAAACTGTAGTGGGATTTCTGTGAAAAGAATAAACCAAACTTCAAATTTGTCAAATGTATGTAAACAAAATACTTTTAGCATTTTTTCCCTCTGAAATTGCCGAACTGCCTCTAGACTACTTGAATGCTAGTTTGAAAATTTTTTTCATAGATTCTGGGAATTTTAACCCCATTGATTTTGGATAGAAGAATATAAAGAGCATTGGCTTTTGAAGACAACAGGAATACATTGTGAATGGGAATCTTTGACACTGAGATGTTGAATTCTTGGTGATAATTCCCTTGAAGCAATTCAATTGCTTTTCTTTGAGAAAGATTAGACATCAGTTATATTGGAAGCCCAAGTATCTACTTTTACTTTTATATAAAGAAAATAGTTTTAAAAAATCTTACCGCTTCTTCAAAAGGAAATCCTCAGGATGGATATGTGTGTGTTTGTATGTGTGCATGTGTTCAGGCACAAATGTATGTTTAAATTTTTTTCAGTTCTTTATTGAGGCTTAGTTTATATAAAAGTAAAATGCACCAATCTTAAGTGTACAGTTTGATGAGTCTACCTCTATATATCCCTGTGTGAACACCACCCAAATTAAGATAAAAACATTTCTATTATCCTAGAAAATTCTCTCATACCTCTTCTCAGTTAATCTCCCTGCTGTCCCCAACCCAAGGTAACCACCATAGATTTCTTTTGCCTATTCCTGAATTTCAAATAAATATATAACATGTACTTTTCTGTGCCTGGCTTCTTTTTTTCACTGTTGTTTTTGAGACAGGGCCTCACTTTGTCATACAGGCTGAGTGCAGTGGCACAAAAATGGCTCACTGCAGCCTCGACTTTCTGGGCTCAAGTGATTCTCCCTCCTTAGCCTCCCAAGTATCTGGGACTACAGGTGTCCAGCTAATTTTATATTTTTTGTAGTGATGAGGTCCAGCTAATTTTATATGTATATTTTTTGTAGAGATGAGGTCTTGTTATGTTGCCCAGGCTGGTCTCGAACTCCTGAACTCAAGTAATCTGCCCACCTTGGCCTCCCAAAGTGCTAGGATTTCACGTGTGAACCACTGTACCAAGCAATTGTGTCTGGCTTCTTTTGACATTCACAGCAAAATGTCTGTGAGATTCATCCATGTTGTGAGCATCGGTAGTTCATTCTTTTTCTTGCTAAGTGGTAGTCCACTGTATTTACATGGAATAGCAATCATCATCTCCACAAAAAAAATAAAATTAGCTGGACACCTGTAGTCCCAGCTACTTGAGGGGCCAAGGAGGAAGGATCACTTGAGCCATTGTATTTACATGGCATACTACCATGGAATACCACTCAGCAAGAAAAAGGAATGAACTACTGATACTCACAACATGGAGGAATCTCACAGACATTATGCTGGGCAAAATTTGTTTATCCATCCTCCTGTGGATCAAAATGTGGGTTGTGTCCAGTTTTTGCTATTATAAATAAAACTCCTATGAAGATTTGTGCGCAAGTCTTCATATAGACCTATATTTTCATTTTTCTTGGATAGATGCCTAAAAGTAGAATTGCTGCGTTGTAGGGTTAATACTATCAGAAACTGCCAGTTTTTCAAAGTGGTTGTACCATTATATGTCTCTTTTCTTTTTTTTTTTTTTTGAGACGGAGTCTCCCTCTTCCGCCGGGTCTGGAGTGCAGTGGCGCGATCTCGGCTCACTGCAAGCTCCGCCTCCCGGGTTCAGCCATTCTCCTGCCTCAGCCTCCCCAGTAGCTGGGACTACAGGCGCCGGCTACCACGCCCAGCTAATTTTTTTTTTGTATTTTTAGTAGAGACGGGGTTTCACCATGTTAGCCAGGATGGTCTCGATTTCCTGGCCTTGTAATCTGCCCGCCTCGGCCTCCCAAAGTGCTGGGATTACAGGCGTGAGCCACCGAGCCCGGCCTACCATTATATGTTTCTAATCAGCAGTGTATGATCTGCATTATCTTCAACACTCGATATGGTGAGTCTTTTAAATTTTATCCATTCTGTGTATATAATGGCATATATTTAAATACGTAAAAATTTGTTACTTTAAGAAATACTGCATTTGTGTGTTTATGCATTAGTTTTTCATTTTCAAAATATATTGGTTATAGAAATGCAATATTTTTGATTTGTTATTGCCTTATTCCTAGAAATAGCCTGATTGTTGTTTGAATGCATAGTAATTTTGGGATATATCCATATATCCACATATTATATATAATGTATATATAAATGTGTTAACTAATATGTTCACCATCAAGGATAAATATAACTATAATGGAGTCAATACATGTAACTGTGAGGTTTTCTAAGAAATAATTACTTTTATTATTTATTTTCTTTTAAAAATTATTACTTTTGTCTTTTGAAACAATTATTTTTTTTTTTTTGAGATGGAGTCTTGCTCTGTTGTGCCCAGGCTGGAGTGCAGTGGTGCGATCTCAGCTCACTGCAACCTCTGCCTCCTGGGTTCAAGTGATTCTCCTGCCTCAGCCTCCCCAGTGGCTGGGATTACAGGCGCCTGACACCATGCCCGGCTAATTTTTTGTATTTTTAGTAGAGATGGGGTTTCACCATGTTGGTCAGGCTGATCTCGAACTCCTGACCTCAGGTGATCTGCCCGCCTCGGCCTCCCAAAGTGCTGGATTACAGGTGTGAGCCACTGCACCTGGCCCTGAAAGAATTTTTTTTTATTGATGCTTAATAGATATACAGAGTCTTGGGGCACATATGATAATATATTCATAAATTTGTAAAGATCAAATCAATGTACTTGGGACAACCATTACCTTAAATATTCATCCTCTCTCCTTCATATTTGAAGTATACCTTTGGGGATACAGTATTACTGAATGGCAGTTTTGTTCTTTCAGGACTTTGAAAATGTCATTGCACTCTCTCCTGGCCTGCATTGTTTTTGTTGAGAAGTCTGTCGCCTGATGAATTGGAGCTCATTTATATGTTATTTGCTTCTTCTCTTTTGCTGCTTTTAGGATCCCCTCTTTTATCCTTGACCTTTCAGAGTTTGGTTATTATATACCTTGGGGTAGTATTATTTGGGATGAATGTGTTTGGTTTTCTCTGACCTTCCTGTATCCGGATATTTTTTTTCTTTTTAAGTTTTGGGAAGTTTTCTATTTCTTGAATAAGCTTTTTACCCCTTGCTCTTGCTCAACTCCCTCTTGAACACCAATACTTCTTAGATTTGGTCTTTTGAGGTAATTTTCTCTATCTTGTAAGTGGCCTTCTTTCCCTTTTATTCTTTTTTTCTCCTTTGACTATGTATTTTCAAATAGCTGGTCTCTGAGCTTACTGATTCTTTTCTCTGCTTGATCCATTCTGGGGTTGAGAATCTCTAATGGATTTTTCAATTCAGCAAATGTATGTCTCAGTTCCAAGATTTCTGTTTGATTTTTAAAATTATTTCAATCTCTTTGTTAAATTTCTCTGATAAATTTCTGAATTGATTTCTGTGTTATTTTAGACTTGGCCAAGTCTCCTTAAAACTGTCATTTTGAATTCCTGGTCAGAGAGTTCACAGATTGCTGTCTTGCTAGGGGCAGTCACTAGTTCCTTTCTTTGTTCATTTGCAGAGATCATGGTTCCCTATTTCTTGTGGGTGTACGTCCATGTTTTTGCATCAAAGGATTAATTATTTATTCCAATCTTCTCTGTTTGACTTGTTTTGGTTTTTATTGGGTACACCTGCTTAGAGATTCTTTTTCTTTTTCTTTTCTTCTTCTTTCTTCTTCCTTCTCCTTCTTCCTTCTCCTTCTCTTTCTTTTTCTCTTCGAGGCAGGGCCTTGCTCTATCACCCAGGCTAGGGTGCAGTGGTGATCATAGTTCACTGCAGACTTGAACTTCTAGGCTCAAGCAATGCTCCTGTCTCATTCCCCCGAGTAACTGAGACTTACAGGCATACACCACCATGCCTGAGTAATTTTTAGACATTTTTCCTAGAGTTGGGTTTCTGCTCAGGCTCGTCTCACACTCAGGTTCAAGCGATAATCCTGCCTCAGCCTCTCAAAGCGCTAGGATTACAGGCATGAGCCGCTGCATCTGGCTGAGTAGAGATTCTTTACCACTAGGTCACTGCCGCCTTTGCAGCTCTAGGTGGCACCTTAAGCCCAGGTTCACCTCAGCTCTAGTAAATGATGGGAACAATGACGGTCCAGAATCGGGGAGGTATCAGAGAGGGATATCCCGGCAGTGTAGGAATGCCGGCCAGGGGTTTGTGCCCTGGGGACCTGTGGAACGTACCTCCTACGGCATGGTGCTGTTGAATGGCCACTCTAATTTGGCGCCTCCTTCAGCTAAATTACAGAGCATAGTTTTCAGGGCCGGGCATAGCATTCCCATCTCCACCTTTTACTGTCTGTCCTCAGGGATATTTCTTCCTTCAGGCAATTGCAATGCTTCCTGTGCGTTAAGGCAGGGACGGGCCTCCTGCCAGGGAAACCGAGTTGATGGGGAAGCTGGTTGTCCACTTGAGCTCACTTTTTGCAGTGTAGAAACCATGAGTTGGCAGGAAATTTTCCTTTCTTTCTTTTCTTTTCCTTTTTTTTTTTTTTTTTTTTGACAGTGTCTGGCCCTGTTGCGCAGGCTTCAGTGCAGTGGCGCGATCTCGGCTCCCTGCAGCCTCCGCCTCCCGGGTTCTAGCAATTCTCCTCCTTCAGCCTCCTGCGTAGCTGGGATTACAGGCGTGCACCACCACACACAGCTTAATTTTTATATTTTTAGTAGAGATGAGGTTTCACCATGTTGGCCAGACTGGTCTGGAACTCCTGGCCTCAAGCGATCCGCCTGCCTAGGCCTCCCAACATGTTGGGATTACAGACGTGAGCCCGTGCACCCTGGAGAAAATTTTTATTTACTTATTTATTAATTATTATTTTTTATTATTATACTTTAAGTTCTAGGGTACATGTGCACAACATGCAGGCTTGTTACATATGTATACATGTGCCATGTTGGTGTGCTGCACCCATTAACTCGTCATTTACATTAGATGTTCCTCCTAATGCTATCCCTATTCTGAAACAGGAAAAATTTTCTATGCGCTGGATGTCAGACAAAATGGAGGGATGGGCTTTGTGGCTGTGGAAGTCTGATTTCCTCACCATCTGCTCAGAGTTGTTTCACTTCTCTGTGGCCTTGGGAACTGTCTCGTCTTTCCATCTGAGTTCTGGGATATTGCTGATGATAATCTCGGTGCTGTACATTTGTTTTTTGTTTTCTGCCGTGGGAAGTGAAGCCACCTTGCTTCTACATCACCATTTTTGAACCGAAAGCCTTTTTCCTCTCCAGGATAGTTATTTTTAATAGCACATAATTTTTCTTATGTTCCGTTATCTTTATAAGATCATGAATTGTTCTAGAATTTTAGGAATGAGTTAAAAGATCTTTAACTAAAGAATGGATTTTCTTTTCACTATCAGCAAACTTTATACAGCAAAAATAAAAATCATGTTAGTATTTTTTAGGGGATAACTTTGGCTTTCCAAAAGTTAACTCTTGAAACTTTTATTCTAAACTAAAAAATTTTGGTTTGTTAATTTTTTGCACTAGAGATGGCTTTTGATGTAGTAGTTTTATCTTAAAAAAAAAAAACCAACAAACAAATCCAAAAAACAGCTTTATTAAAACAGGTAGGTGGAACTTTTTCTAAACACTATTTAACTATGATGCAGCCAAGCTTTTTAAAAGTAATATTTAAAATCTTCGTGATTCTGTTATTAAAGCAAAACAAAACAAAAATGAAGATTGTATCTCTAAGCTCATTGCTCTAACTGGTTTGATTCTCTATCTAGAATCTCTGTTCATGGCTGAGTCAGCAATCTCATAACAAGGCCCTTTGTGTATACACCTTTCCTCATAGCTTTGGCTGCCTGTGTGGGAACTCACATAAGAATGTTCATTTCAGCATTCTTTATGGTGGTAGATGGATGAATGCCCTCCTGAGTGCCCATCACTAGAAAAGTGGCTAGGTATAATTTGGAGATTGTATACTATGAGAATAAGGGAAAAAATGAGAAGCAGCTAAATAGATACACATCTGACAATATAGATGAACTTCAAAGCATAGTGCAGAGGGGAGAAAAGATAAATAGAACGATATATAGCACAATGCTATTTAAGTAAATTACAACTATCTTTACCTTTATGCAAAACCATGTGTTTTGCAAGAATACTTACAAGCAAAAAGATATGAATTTAACTCATTGGCATTTGATTTTGGACATATCTGACCTATAAAATCTCACTTTTGAATTTGCCTTTGAAAAAGAGCTGTGAGGGACTAATTTATAACAGATTTTCTATTTTTTTCCCAAACCACAATAAGAAACAAAGAACACCAAGCCCCAAACCAAATAAGAAGTAGAATAAGAAGTTAAATGAGATACATTACACAATACTATTTATATCAATTAAAATTATATGCATACAAAACAGTGTATTTTTCAAGAACATCTATCAACACAAATCAATGTTCAACTCATTGCTGTTGAGGAATGGAAGGAATACTCACATCCCTGTTGGCACGTAATATTAAGCATGGAAATTTAGCGATGGGGAGTGTGGGAAAGGGGTTTGAAGGAAATTCACTGGAATCTAGGCACTGAATTAGATATTTCATATATATTCTATCATTTGATCCTCACAACAGCCCTGTAAGAAGAATTATCTCTGCTTTACAAATAAGAAAACTGAGACCCAGAAAAGCTAATTGTGTTCCTAATGTCACATAGCTCTTTAGTGGCAGAATTGGGACTTAAAATCTTGAGGCATTCTTAGGGAACAGATTAAAAAAGTCTTGGTTATGCTTGAATCTGTGTGACCTAGTTCTCACACAAGACAACCAAGGCTTAAGTAATACTGATGGTGGAAATTATTTATTGTTTTTGTAGCTTGGTATTTTGTATTATATTCTGAGATCGTATGGAAAAATGAAACCTAGAATCTAAAAATAACTTGTGCTTAGAAGCATTACTTTTTTTTCAGTTCTTCCAGCTTTGTGGTACTTTTCCAGGGTCTTTTAAGACATATTTGTTACTCTTTAACTGTGGTAAAAATAGAAAAACTAGTGGTCTGATTTGTACATAACATGCTGCAATCAAACTGAGGTCTTACTCTCCAGTTAGTTACTCATTAAGTAGAGCATATGATAATCAGAAATTTGACTTTGGAATTGATTAAAGTTGAAGCTGGAGCTCTGGATTGCCTATTAAATTCATACCATTGATTCCAGGAGAAGAGAGTTTATAGTAGTTCATTTTTATTGTTTATTATAATGTGATATTGGCATAATGACAGCATGCAAACTTCCAAAATGAGTTTCCTAAGAAAAATGTTTACATTTCTTCTTAAAAGCACTTTATTTTTTCCAGTGTTGTCACTTGCCTTTTTAAAAGCCATTTATAACGAACATTAAACACATCTATATTTAGATTTATAAAGAAATAACCTGTTGAGTCAAATCCTATTCATATTCAGTTTTTATATGCTAAACTTAAAATCTCAATTATAAATTACTAACAATTCAGTTTAATGTTTTTTTTAAAAAAATTCTATTGTTCAGGTAGAGGGCAGGAAAAATGAGGCCAGCCTACAGAAAAGGGAAAATGAGGAATTGCAGTGTTTACGGGTGACAAAAAACATCTTCTTTTAATTAAGAAGAAGAGAAAGAATAGACAAAAAAGAAAAAGAAAAATAAATATTGGAATGACTTGCCATTGGGAAGGAAAAGAAGGGAGTGTAAATTTGGCTCTTGCCTTGTTAAAAACTTTTTCAAAAAATGAGGTGTCTTGGTAAATGTGTGGGTGCAAACTGAGAAACAATCAGAAGTTTGTTATATTTAGATGTTATATTTCCAATGTTACAAACCCATCCTGGAAAAACTTACTCAATGTGTTCTCTGCCAAAGACATCAGCTAATAACGGCAGTAAAGGAAACAGGCAGTGTCCACATTTGGAGAAGAATATAGTCTTCCTTTTACATCATGGGCTAGCATTCTTTTAAAATTAGGGTGCCAAAGTTCCTACTCTCTTCCCTTTGGCATGTTAGAGGCAGCTCACAGAAAGGGTCTTAGGCCTTAGTGATTTCCAAATAGGGAGGGAGAAGGATAGCCCACTAACACCAAAGTAGGGGAAGGAGCATGCTGGCTGCCAGTTTTTGTCACTGAGGTGGGTAGCAGACTGTCATAGTCAGCAGGAAGGTAGGGATTTGTTGGCAATGAATTTTGATATGGCGTGAGTGCTGTTGGTTGCCAAACTACATTCTGATTTAAAACACATATTCTTGATCCTCAGCAAGATGGTTGACTAGACACAGCCAGGCGGAACATGTGTCACTGAGGGACTGAAACATCAGGAAGACCAGTACACTCCAAGCAGATATTTGGGGGGAGGGCATTGAGACAGACACAGACACTAGGCTGAAGGGGGAGTGAGGAGTGGCTCGCTCTTGTCCTGAACCTATGCTCCCCTAGGGGACTTAAGTCTTAGGGGAACTGTCAGACCTGAATAGAGTGGGGCGGTCTTGCTCATGAGACAAGGTCAGTTCAATCTGAGAACCCTCCTGTCTGCTGCCCACTCCTGGGACTCCAGTCTGGCTATATTTGCTCACAGTGCAGCCTCGGATGCACAACTAGGGTGACTCCTGGGAGCCCACATCATAGCACCTGCACTGGCAGATCACATCTGACCATCAGAGAGCTCCAGCAGAGCAGCCCCCACTGATGCACATCAACCCACCCGTGCCCTCCGCCAACCGCAGCCTCCCCTGTGCCACTTTGCTGTCATGAACTTGCCTATGGCCGCACCCCCAACTGCTTTGCCGGTGTGTGTGTGTAGTGGACCTTGCCTCCCCTCCCCTGCCAGCACAGGTGTGCTTGCATCCCACTGCACCACTGCTGCTGTTGTGAGTGGACCTCACATGTCCACTGCTGCACTGCTATTGCCAGTGTGAACATGCACTGAGAAGCCAGTGTGGCCCCATCCTCCAACCAATGCTGCCATTGCTGCTGGCATGAATGAGTGCATAGAGGCTGGCAGTCCTGTGCAGGCCAGCACCCTGCCTTGGCACCAACACCACCACCAATGTGAACACACACATGGATGCCAGTGGTCCTGTTCCTGACTCACACTGCCATTGCTGTTGCTGTGAATGCATGTAAAGAGGCTGGCAGCCCCATGCCTACCAGAGCTCCACCCCAGCTGACAAGTGTGCACCCTGCCATTCTGCTGGTGCTGCTGGCACATGTGAATGAGCACAGATCCTGCTGTCACCAACCTTATGAAGTGCTTTGGCTGGTACCACCCATTGGGGTTATTGTTGCCAGCAGTCCAGGAACACATTGGTCCCTCTAGTGCAGCAGATTTCTAACGTTGAGGGGCCAGAGAACAAAGCCAGGGCCCAATAGCAGCCCTCCAGAGTTATAGCACACAGCCCTAGAATGCTGACCTGAGACTTGGCCCCCTAAAATCTTCCAGAAATGAAGCCAGTTGACTGAACCCACCTTATACCACAATTAACCCCCAAGGGGTTAACTGTTTCAAAGGTAAAAACAAAACAAAACAAAACAAAAACTCACCCAAAAGGCAGCAACTTAAAAGACTGAAGGAACGTCAGCCCATGTAGATGAGAAAAAACCAGTGCAAGAACTCTTATAACTCAAAAACCAGTGTCTTCTTACTTCCTAATGACTGTACTAGTTCCCCAGCAATGCTTCTTAACCAGGCTGAAATGGCAGAAATGACAGAAGTAGAAATCAGACTATGGATAGGAATGAAAATTACTGAGATTCAGGAGAAAGTCAAAACCCCATCCAAGGATTCTGAAGAATACAATAAATGACACAGGAGATAAAAGATGAAATGACCGTTTTAAGAGAGAACCAAACTGATCTGATAGAGCTAAAAAACTCACTGCAAGAATTTCAGAATACAATTACAAGTATTAACAGCAGAATTGACCAAGCTGATGAAAGAACCTCAGAGCTCAGAGACTAGTTCTCTGAAACAATTCATTGAGACAAAAATAAAGAAAAAAGGTTAAAGAAAAATGAACAAAACCTCTTAGAAATATGGGATTGTGTAAAGAGACCAAATCTAGAACTCATTGTCGTACCTGAAAGAGAGGCAGAAAGCCAGCAACTTGGAAAACATATTTGAGGATATCATCTATGAAAAGTGTTCCCACTTCACTAGAGAGGCCAACATTCAATTTCAGAAAATGCAGAGAACTCCTGTAAGAAGACACAAGATAACCATCAACAAGACACACAGTAGTCAGATTCTCCAAGGTCAAAATGAATGAAAAAATGTTAAAGGCAGCTAGAGAGAAGGGGCAGGTCACCTACAAAGAGTACCCAACCAGGTTAACTGTTGTTCTTTCAGCAGAAACCCTACAAGCCAGTTGAGATCGTGGCCTGTATTCAGTATTCTTAAAGAAAATAAATTCCAACCAAGAAATTCATATCTAGCCAAGCTAAGCTTCATAAGTGAAGGAGAAATAAGATTCTTTTCAGACAAGTGAATCCTAAAGGAATTCACTAACATGAGACCTGCCTTGTAAGAGGTCCCGAAGGGAGTGCTAAATATGGAAAGGAAAGACAGTTACCAGCCACTAAAAAACACACTTAAGTACATAGACCACTGACATTGTAAAGCAACCACCTAAACAAGTCTGAATAATGACCAGCTAACAACATGATGACAGAATCAACTCCGCATATGTCAATATTAACCTTGAATGCAAATAGGCTAAGTGGCCCAATTAAAAGGCACAGAATGGCAAGTTGGATAAGAAAGCAAGACTCAACAGGATGCTGTTTTTGAGAGCCCCACCTCACATGCAATGACACCCATAGGTTTAAAGTAGAAGAATGGAGGAAAATCTACCAAGCAAACAGAAAACAGAAAAAAGCAGAGGTGGCTATTCTAATTTCAGACAAAACAGACTTTAAACCAACAAAGACAAAAAAGACAAAGAAGGGCATTACATAATGTTAAGGAGTTCAATTCACCAAGAAGACCTAACTATCCTAAGTATAAATGCACCCAAAAGAGGAGCACCTAGGTTCATAACGCAAGTTCTTAGAGACCCATGAAGAAACTTAGATAACTACACAACAATAGTGGGAGACTTCAACACTCCACTGACAGTATTAGACAGATCAGTGAGGAGAAATTAACAAAGATATTCAGGACCTAAACTCTACACTTGACCAAGTGTACCTAATAGACATCTATAGAACTCTAACACAAAACAACAGAATATATATCTTTCTCATATGCACATGGCACATACTCTAAAATTGACCACACAATAGGACATGAAACAATCCTCAGCAAATTAAAAATCCTGAAATCATACTAACCACACTCTTGGACAACAGTGCAATAAAAATAGAAATAAACACTAAGAAAAGTGCTCAAACCCATACAATTACATGGAAATTAAACAACCTGCTCCTTTGTGGTAAACAATGAAATTAAGGCAGAAATCAAGAATTTCTTTGAAACTAATGAGAATAAAGACACAACAAACCAGCATCTCTGGAACACAGCTAAAGCAGTGTTAAGACAGAAGATTTTAGTGCTGAATGCCCACATCAAAAAATTTGAGACATGACTGGGCATGGTTGCTCACACCTGTGATCCTAGCACTTTGGGAGGCAGAGGTGGGTGGATTGCTTAAGCAAAGGAGTTAGAAACCAGCCTGGGCAACTTGATGAAAACCCATCTCTACACTCCCCCCTAAATGTTAGAAAAATCTCAAATTAACAACCTAACATTACATCTAGAGAAACTAGAGAAAAAAGACCAAACCAACCCCAAAGCTAGCAGAAGACAAGAAATAACCAAAATCTGACTTGAACTGAAGGAAATTGAGAAACCAAAAACAATACAAAAGATCAATTAATCCAGGAGTTGGTTTTTGAAAGAATAAATAAGATTGATAGACTGCTAGCTAGACTAATAAAGAAAAAAGAGAGAAGCACCAAATAAACACAATCAGAAATGACAAAGGTGACATTAGCATCAACCCCGCGGAAATACAAAAAACCCTCAGAGACTATTACAAACACCTCTATGCACACAAACTAGAAATCTTAGAAGAAATAGATAAATTCCTGGAAACCTACAGCCTCCTAAGATTGAACCAGGAAGAAATGGAATTCCTGAACAGACCAATAATAAGTTCCAAAATTGAATCAGTAATAAGCCTACCAACCAGAAAAAAACCAGGACCAGATGGACTCACAGCCAGATTCTACCACGTGTATAAAGAAGAGCTAGTACCATTCCTACTGAAACTACTCCAAGAAATTGAGGAGGAGGAACTCCTCCCTAACTAATTCTATGAAGTCAGCATCATCCTGATACCAAAACCTGGGAGAGATACAGCAAAAACAGAAAACTTCA
The DNA here is from genome assembly GCF_000001405.40 of Homo sapiens. NCBI lineage: Eukaryota > Metazoa > Chordata > Mammalia > Primates > Hominidae > Homo > Homo sapiens. The sequence goes on along the minus strand of NC_000010.11, from coordinate 91,737,079 downwards.
GGCCAATATCCTTGATGAACTGAGATGCAAAAATCCTCAACAAAATACTAGCAAACTAAACCCAGTAGCACATCAAAAAGCTAACTCACCACAATCAAGTATGCTTCATCCCTGGGATGCAAGGTTGTTTCAACGTATGCAAATCAATAAATGTGATTCATCATGTAAAGAGAACTAAAAACAAAAACCACGTTATCATCTCAATAGCTGCGGAAAAGGCTTTCAATACAATTCAACATCTTTTATGTTAAAAATCCTCAACAAACTAGGCATTGAAGGAACATACTTCAAAATAATAAGAGCCATCTATGACAGACTCACAACCAACATCATATTGAATTGGCAAAAGCTGGAAGCATTCTCCTTGAAAACTGGCACAAGACAAGGATGCCCTCTCTCACCACTCCTATTCAACATGGTATTGGAAGTCCTAACCAGAGTGTTCAGGCAAGAGAAAGAAATAAAGGGCATCCGAATAAGAAGAGAGAAAAGCAAACTATCCCTGTTTGCAGATGATAAGATTCTATACTTAGAAAACACCATAGTCTCTGTCCAGAAGCTTCTTGATCTGATAAACAACTTCAGCAAAGTTACAGGATAAAAAATCAGTGTACAAAAATCAGTAGCATTCCTGTACACCAACAACATCCAAGCTGAAAGCCAAGTCAAGAATGCAATCCCATTCACAACAGCTGCAAAAAGAGTAAAATACCTAGGAATTCAGCTAACCAGGGAGGTGAAAGATGTGTGCAATGAGACTTACAAAACACTGCTCAAAGAAATCAGAGATGACACAAACAAATGGAAAAACATTCCATCTCATGAATTGAAAGAATCAATATTGTTAAATTCATCATACTGTCCAAAGCAATTTACAGATTCAATGCTATTCCTATCAAACTACTAATGAAGCATTATAGAATTAGAAAAAACTATTTTAAAATTTGTATGGAACCAAAAAAGAGCCCAAATAGCTAAGGTGATCCTAAGCAAGAAGAACAAAGCTGGAGACATAATTTTATCCACTTGAAAATATACTACAAGGCTATAGTAACCAAAAGAGCATGGTACTGGTATAAAAACTGACATATAGACCAATGGAACAGAATAGAGAGCCCAGAAGTAATGCTGCACATCTGCCACCATCTGATCTCTGACAAAGTCAACAAAAATAAGCAATGAGGAAAGGACTTCCTCTATTCAAGAAATGGTGCTGGGATAACTGGCTAGCATATGCAGAATATTGAAATTCGACCACTTCCTTACACCATATACAAAAATCAACTCAAGTTGGATTAAAGACTTAAATGTAAAATCCAAAACTCTAAAACCCTGGAAGGCAACCTAGGCAATCTGAACATAGGACCTGGCAAAGATTTCATGACACAGATGACAAAAGCAATCATAACAAAAGCAAAAATTGACAAATGAGACTTAATTAAACTAAAGAGCTTCTGCACAGCAAAGGAAGCTACCAAAAGGGTAAACAGACAACCTTCAGAATGGGAGAATATGTTTTCAAACTATGTATCTGACAAAGCTCTTATATCCAGAATCCATAGGGAACTTAAACATGTTAACAATTAAAAACAAACAATCCCATAAAAAAGTGAGCAAAGGACACAAACAGACACTTTTGAAAAGAAGACATACATGTGACTAACAAGTATATGAAAGAATGCTCCACATCAGACTTTAACACCCCACTGTCAACATTAGACAGATCAACGAGACAGAAAGTTAACAAGGATATCCAGGAATTGAACTCAGCTCTGCACCAAGCGGACCTAATAGACATCTACAGAACTCTCCACCCCAAATCAACAGAATATACATTCTTCTCAGCACCACATAGCACTTATTCCAAAATTGACCACATAGTTGGAAGTAAAGCACTCCTCAGCAAATGTAAAATAACAGAAATTATAACAAACTGTCTCTCAGACCACACTGCAATCAAACTAGAACTCAGGATCAAGAAACTCACTCAAAACCACTCAACTACATGGAAACTGAACAACCTGCTCCTGAATGACTACTGGGTACATAACGAAATGAAGGCAGAAATAAAGATGTTCTTTGAAACCAATGAGAACAAAGACACAACATACCAGAATCTCTGGGACACATTTAAAGCAGTGTGTAGAGGGAAATTTATAGAACTAAATGCCCACAAGAGAAAGCAGGAAAGATCTAAAATTGCCACCCTAACATCACAATTAAAAGAACTAGAGAAGCAAGAGCAAACACATTCAAAAGCTAGCAGAAGGCAAGAAATAACTAAGATCAGAGCAGAACTGAAGGAGATAGAGACACAAGAAACCCTTCAAAAAATCAGTGAATCCAGGAGCTGGTTTTTTGAAAAGATCAAGAAAATTGATAGACCGCTAGCAAGATTAATAAAGAAGTAAAGAGAGAAGAATCAAATAGACGTAATAAAAAATGATAAAGGGGATATCACCACCGATCCCACAGAAATACAAACTACCATCAAAGAATACTATAAACACCTCTATGCAAATAAACTAGAAAATCTAGAAGAAATGGATAAATTCCTGGACACATACACCCTCCCAAGACTAAACCAGGAAGAAGTTGAATCTCTGAATACACCAATAATGGGCTCTGAAATTGAGGCAATAATTAATAGCTTACCAACCAAAAAAAGTCCAGGACCAGATGGATTCACAGCTGAATTCTACCAGAGGTACAAGTAGGAGCTGGTACCATTCCTTCTGAAACTATTCCAATGAATAGAAAAAGAGGGAATCCTCCCTAACTCATTTGATGAGGCCAGCATCATCCTGATACCAAAGCCGGGCAGAGACACAACAAAAAAAGAGAATTTTAGACCAATATCCCTGATGAACATCAATGCAAAAATCCTCAATAAAATACTGGCAAACCAAATCCGGCAGCACATCAAAAAGCTTATCCACCATGATCAAGTGGGCTTCATCCCTGGGATGCAAGGCTGGTTCAACATACACAAATCAATAAACATAATCCAGCATATAAACAGAACCAAAGACAAAAACCATATGATTATCTCAATAGATGCAGAAAAGGCCTTTGACAAAATTCAACAACTCTTCATGCTAAAAACTCTCAATAAATTAGGTATTGATGGGATGTATCTCAAAACAATAGAGCTATTTATGACAAACCCACAGCCAATATCATACTGAATGGGCAAAAACTGGAAGCATTCCCTTTGAAAACTGGCACAAGACAGGGATGCCCTCTCTCACCACTCCTATTCAACATAGTGTTGGAAGTTTTGGCCAGGGCAATCAGGCAGGAGAAAGAAATAAAGGGTATTCGATTAGGAAAAGCGGAAGTCAAATTGTCCCTGTTTGCAGATGACATGACTGTATATTTAGAAAACCCCATGGTCTTAGCCCAAAATCTCCTTAAGCTGATAAGCAACTTCAGCAAAGTCTCAGGATACAAAATCAATGTGCAAAAATCACAAACATTCTTATACACCAATAACAGACAAACAGAGAACCAAATTGTGAGTAAACTCCCATTCACAATTGCTTCAAAGAGAATAAAATACCTAGGAATCCAACTTACAAGGGATGTGAAGGACCTCTTCAAGAACTACAAACCATTGCTGAACGAAATAAAAGAGGACACGAACAAATGGAAGAACATTCCATGCTCATTGATAGGAAGAATCAATATCATGAAAATGGCCATACTGCCCAAAATAATTTATAGATTCAATGCCATCCCCGTCAAGCTACCAACGAATTGGAAAAAACTACTTTAAAGTTCATATGGAACCAAAAAAGTGCCCACATTGCCAAGTCAATCCTAAGCCAAAAGAACAAAGCTGGAGGCATCACACTACCTGACTTCAAACTATACTACAAGGCTACAGTAACCAAAACAGCACGGTACTGGTACCAAAACAGAGATATAGACCAATGGAACAGAACAGAGCCCTCAGAAATAATACCACACATCTACAACCAGATCTTTGATAAACCTGACAAAAACAAGAAATGGAGAAAGGATTCCCTATTTAATAAATGGTGCTGGGAAAACTGGCTAGCCATATGTAGAAAGCTGAAACTGGATCCCTTCCTTACACCTTATACAAAAATTAATTCAAGATGGATTAAAGACTTACATGTTAGACCTAAAACCATAAAAACCCCAGAAGAAAACCTAGGCAATACCATTCAGGACATAGGCATGGGCAAGGACTTCATGTCTAAAACAGCAAAAGGAATGGTAACAAAAGCCAAAATTGACAAATGGGATCTAATTAAACTAAAGAGCTTCTGCACAGCAAAAGAAACTACCATCAGAGTGAACAGGCAACCTACAGAATGGGAGAACATTTTTGCAATCTACTCATCTGACAAAGGGCTAATATCCAGAATCTACAAAGAACTCAAACAAATTTACAAGAAAAAAAAAACCCATCAACAAATGGGCAAAGGATATGAACAGACACTTCTCAAAAGAAGACATTTATGCAGCCAACACACACATGAAAAAATGCTCATCATCACTGGCCATCAGAGTAATGCAAATCAAAACCACAATGAGATACCATCTCACATCAGTTAGAATGGCAATCATTAAAAAGTCAGGAAGCAACAGGTGCTGGAGAGGCTGTGGAGAAATAGGAACACTTTTACACTGTTGGGACTGTAAACTAGTTCGAGCATTGTGGAAGACAGTGTGGCGATTCCTCAAGGTTCTAGAACTAGAAGTATCATTTGACCCAGCAATCCCATTACTGGGTATATACCCAAAGGATTATAAATCATGCTGCTATAAAGATATATGCACACGTATGTTTATTGCAGCACTATTCACAATAGCAAAGACTTGGAACCAACCCAAATGTCCATCAATGATAGACTGGATTAAGAAAAGTGGCACATATACACCATGGAATACTATGCAGCCATAAAAAATGATGAGTTCATGTCCTTTGTAGGGACATGGATGAAGCTGGAAACCATCATTCTCAGCAAACTATTGCAAGGACAGAAAACCAAACACCGCATGTTCTCACTCATAGGTGGGAATTGAACAATGAGAACACTTGGACACGGGAAGGGCAACATCACACACTGGGGCCTGTTGTAGGGTAGGGGGACGGGGGAGGGATAGCATTAGAAAATGTAGTACATATATACCATGAAATATTATGCAGCCATAAGAAAGAATGGGATCATGTCCCTTGCAGCAACATGGATGGAGCTAAGTGAACTTACACAGGAACAGAAAACCAGCTGCTGATTGTTTTCACTTCTAAGTGGGAGCTAAACATTGAGTACATACTGTCCCAAGGGAACAACAGATACTGGGGTCTACTTGAAGTTGGAAGGTGGCAGGAGGGTGAGGATTGAAAAACTACCTATCAAGTGCTATACTTATTATCTGGTTGATGAAATAATCTGTACACCAACCCCCATGACGTGCAATTTACCTATGTAACAAACCTGCATGTGTACCCCTGAACCTAAAATAAAAGTTAAAAAAAATAAAACACATATTTTTGAGTTGGTGATGAGGTGGTAGTGGTGCTGGGTATAGGGGGAGGTAAGAGAGTAGGTGGGGATGGTTGATGTCTGACCAAATGAATTCTTGCATCTTCCCTTGCCTGTTAGGTAAAGACTTTGCAAGGTGTAACTGGTCAAAATTGGTGAACTCCTGCAGAACTTCAAAAAAGAGGATTTGTTTATTTATTGATGCTGACTATAGGGTCTTACTGTATAGCTTAAGCTGAAATGTATCTTTGGCCCAATAGATTGCTGATAATTCTTGAAACATTAAACATTTATATTCAAACATTCATCTGCACATTGGTCATGTAAACTGGCAGGTCAGGGTTCTGTACTCTTTCCATTCAACAAATATTCATTGTAGTCTTGCTTGTGAATAGCAAACTTTTAGTCCTATTAGAGAGATAAGCTATAACCCATATAAAATATTAAAATACAGATAAATAATTCAAATAAAAAAAGACCCTACTGTGGTCTGAAAATGTTTCTTGGAGAAGATTGGATTTTGGCTTGGGATCTCTGAAGATTAGGAGGAAAGAAGACATGCATTCTGAATGGTTAGGGCCTGACTTAACCTTTGGAAAAAAATTTATGAGGTACATATATCTTATGTAATTCAAAATAAAATAATTGTAACATTGTAAAACATAAAAATTGCATGCATGATGAAATTAAAACAGTTTATTGCAGATTTTCTGGTTGTAAAATTTTGGATGAGTCTATTATAGTTGAATTCCACCACCCACTCCCCCTTGGCTTATTTTCTTAAGCATTTATTTCCTCTATTGAGGCATCCAACACTGGAAATAGAGAGATTCATGACTTAGAGGAAATAAGAAATAAGAGGGCAATAAGGAGAACTTTTTCCTTATTTGTTTGTTTTTGTTTGAACTGGAGGGTTTAGATTAAAAAATAGTGGGAGATAAATTCAGTGGATTGGTGTAATTTGATTTTAGCCTTTGAATGTTAACTAGATGAATATTCTGTGATGGTAATGAGAATCCATTAAAGATTTTACAGTATGTGGTAGATTTATTTATTTATTCATTTTTTAATTAAAAAAAATTTTGACTCTGTGCATATGGTTACCCAGAGTGTGGTATATTTATAAGAGCAGTGGTTTAGTTTATGATACTTCTACATTAGTGAAAAGATCAGATAAAGGAAGATTGGAGGGGGATGAGACTAGATGATGAGCAAGGAAAATACTGATTAATTTTTTTTTTGTTTCCTTATCCTTCCTGTAATTCACTCTGCCTCCAGGGTTATTTCATCCACAAATTAGTTGGGTTTGTTGCTTCCTTTCTCTTCTCCTTTTTCTTTTTCTTCTTCCCTCCCTTTTTATACCCAGAATGTTCTACATAAGGAAAAACACATTTGTCCTCACAAATACATTTATAAATAAAATAATTGAATTAGTTAGGATATCATTTGGCTTCAAATAAAGGGAAATCTAAACTAACAATAGCTTAAACCATAAGAACACTTATTATTACTTAATAGGAAGTCTGGAAATGGGCAGTTCCAGATTTATTTAATTGCTCAATGATGTAATCAAGGACCAGGGTCTTTCTATCTTTCTACTCTGCTATCCTCTCTGGGTTGATTTTTAGTCTTCATGCTGTTCCCAGTGGAGGGTCTCAATGATGAATTGTCCAGGTCCTTGGCATTTTGAATAAATAATTTAACAAAACACACAAAGTAGCAGAGGAATGAAACGCAGGAAAGAAGCAGTGAAAGCAGGAATTTATTAAAGTGAGAAAGCATTCCGCAGGGTGGGAGTGGGCCTGGGCAAGCAGCTCAAAGGCCCAGTGATATGGTTTGGCTGTGTCCCCACCCAGATCTCATCTTGAATTGTAGCTCCCATAATTCCTGCATGTTGTAGGAGGGACCTGGTGGGAGATAATTGACTCATGGGGACAGTTTCCCCCATACTGTTCTTGTGGTAGTGATTAAGTCTCATGGGATCTGGTGGTTTTATAAGGGGAAACCCCCTCACTTGGCTCTCACCTCTCTCTTGTCTGCCACCATGTAAGATGTGCCTTTAGCCTTTCACCTTTCACCATGATTGTGAGGCCTCCTCAGCCATGTGGAACTGTGAGTTCATTAAACCTCTTTTGCTTTATGAATTATCCAGTATTGGGTATGTCTTTATCAGCAGCATGCAAACAGACTAATACACCCAGTTACAAAGTTTTCTGGGTTTTAAGTACCCCATTTGAGGTTCTTCTCAGCTACCCCTGATCTGTATGAAGGATTTGGTCTATGGCTAATTGAAGGGTGAGGTGAATTGGCACCCTATGCAGTAAAGGGATGGTCCCTGCTTGGCCCATGGCCAGTCCAAGGCACTCTCCCTTTCCATCTGAGGTATGGTGGAAGGGGGAAGGTTGCAGGGAGAGTAGCCTTGATCCTTTGCTATTCAGCTAGGGAAAATGGGGTTTTTCCCTTTTGGTTTAGCTTTAGGAAGTTTGTGTTAATTGGCCTTAGGTTTTCTGCTGCCAGACCCAGGGGTTTTCTTTTTGATCCAGCTTTGTGAAGTCAGCGTGAATTGGCCTTAGATTTCCTGCCGCCACACCTTGGTGCTTTCTCTTTTAAGAAGTTAGGACAAATTAGCCTTAAGTTCCGTGTCACCAGATCCTATTTGCCTGCCTCAATACATGTCACTTCATTGTTGCAAGATAGCAGCCACAGCCCTGGACATTATATCATCACATCTACATTCCAAGAAGAAAAGAAGAGACAGGTACAAAACAGTAGTTACTTCCAAGACTCTCTTTTTATTTCAGAAAGGAAATCCTTTAGTAAACTTCCCCTTACACCGCATTTGATGAAATCAGATCACATGTCTATTGTACAACAATTGATGGCAAAATGGAATGAGATTACCATGATTGGTTTAAACCAGTCATGATTCATTGCTTGGGACTGAGTTAGATCAATGGCTCTATGCTTACTTGAACAAATCAGAATTTTATTGTCATTTAAGTGGGGCTTAAGTGTTGAACAAAATTTGCCATAACCATTAACTTAGAAAATGTAGAGGAAATGGCAAAGAATGGTAACATAGTATAACTCAAGTTTGGGCAGAGGTCTACAAGAAGTTTATTAATTCAGCAAATACAATTATTAAGCTCCTCTTGCATGTCAGGCACTTTTAAAAAAATGCTAGGAATGTACTGGTAAATAATAATTTATGTTTGTTGTATTTGTGCTGGGGACAATAAACATATTTATACTATATATTTAATATAAATGTTGAATATAAAGTCAAGCAGTAATGTATTCAGTAATGTAAGGGAAGGTGAGAGTCAGCATATGATGAGCGACATGTTTTTTTAGATAAAGCACTCAGGAAAGTCTCCTCTGATAGGGTGATCATTGAGTAGAGACCTGAACAAATGAGGGGAAATGTGTCTGGAGGGCGACTGCTCCAGGCAGAAGGAACAATAAGAGAGATGTGATTGGCATGCTTGAGTAACAACAAGGCCGGCAATGCTTAAAGTAGGGTGAGCAAGTTGGAGGGTGATACAAATGCTGATGGTGATGAGATAACCAGAGGCCAGATCATGCCAGGCCTTGTAGATTATGTTAGGAAGTTTGTATTTTATTCTACTAAAAGAGATTGGAAAGTTTTGAGTAAAGGAGTGATATCATGAGGTTTATATTTTTAAAAAGATCACTTTAGTTGTTCTCTGGAAAATAGATTGTAGGGAGGCAGGGATGGAAGCAGAGAAACCAAATAGGAAACTATTACAGTGGCCCAAGCAATAGATAATGCTGGCTGAGATCAAGGCAGTAGTGGTGGAGGGGGTGAGAAATATTTGATATTTGGAGTATGTTATGAAAGTGAAACAAATAGAATTTGCTAATGGATTAGATGTAGGGTGTGGGAAGGAGAGAGGAGTCATGGAAAACTCCAAGTTTTTCACTTAAGCAATTGGGAGAATTAAGATACCATCAATTGAAATTAAACAGTAGGGGAGGAGTAGATTGGGAGAGAAAAATAAACAGTTTGGTTTTCTATTTTAAAAATTTGAGTTCATATTAGGTATGTGGCAATGTCCACATAATATTTTAAGCACTCTATTCTTACCAGCAAGTCATCATGCACACCTATTATAATATTTCCCTTTTCTGGCCCAGTGGTTTGGACAATCAAAATATGGGCAGAAAGGAAGAAGGTTAGAAGAGAAATATTTAAGAAATGACATCATGAAAATTGGAAGAGAAAGGCAAGGTTGGAAGGCAGGAAATAAAACGTGGCCAACAGTAGGGATGGAGGTAGGGAATTGAAAAGGTGAGAATTTGCCTTTCTAACAGCTCGCAGGTATGTCGATGTTGATATTACTAGCTTGCAGACCATAGTTTGAGTAGCACTGTTGTGGACATAATACTACGTTTACATATTTTTAGCTGCAAGAATAGTGGCATATACAGAGAAGCATTTATTTTCCTCATACAATAAAAAATCTGAATGTAGGAAGTTCAGGGTAGGTGTAAAAACTCCATGATACCATCAAATTGCCAGGCTCCTTCTATCAATTCATCCTCTGCATATTGGTTTGGTGCCTCATGGTTGCAAGATGGCTGCTGCTGTTGCAGACTTTTTATCTATGATCTAGGGAAGGGGTAGTGCTAGTTACATCTGCCTTATTTATCAGGAAATACTTTCCCAGTGTCTTATTCAGACAAAACTATTTATTTAGCTATCATTAGTTGCAAGAGAGATGGGTGAGTGATTATTTAGCATTTCTAGCTTCTAGAAGCCTAGGAAGAAAAGGTAGAGATGGATGCCAAGTGAGCCAATCTCCTATAATGACTGCAACATAGTTATTAAAAAATAGCATATGCCGTACCATTGATGACTGAGTTTGTCTCAGCACATGTTTAGTCATTCCCACCTCATGCACTCTGTTCTTAGGGTACCTCTTTACTGGTTTTCACTTGGTGATTTAAGCCTTCTATGGACTTTGCAGTTGCTGAATGTGCATTATCTAATCAATCGATTTCTGGATAGTTTCAAGGTTGCTCTTCTGAAAAAGGTAATTGATTTTATGGAAAACTGGGCACTCTTATCTTACATAACCACTTCTTTTTGCCTGAAATGTTGTTAACATAGACAGCTTTGGCACTATCCTTGAAGCCAAGTTAGAGAATCTGTTTTTTTCATTTCCATTCCATAGTGGGAGATGGAGTTAATTTGGTAATATTTTCAGCAGCAAAGTATGATTCCAGGGCCAGTAGAGGGTTATTGTAGAATTTTCTATTCGTGGGCTGGGCGCGGTGGCTTATGCCTGTAATCCCAACACTTTGGGAGGCCGAGGCTGGTGGATTACCTGAGGTCAGGAGTTTGAGACCAGCCTGACTAACATGGTGAAACACCATCTCAACTAAAAATACAAAAATTAGCTGTGCGTGGTGGTGTGCACCTGTATTCCCAGATACTCAGGAGGCTGAGGCAGGAGAATTGCTTGAACTCAGGAGGTGGAGGTTGCAGTGAGCCAATATTGCACCACTGCACTCCGACCTGGATGACAGAGACATCTCAAACAAACAAAAAATAATGTTCTATTTCTAATTCTTTTCCACATTGTAAAGTGTTGGTTTGAGAAGGTAGAAGCAGATCTACCCTCACCTTCCTAGAGAGAGAACTATTCAAGTGGGTTCTTAATTAATTCTCTAATTTTAATTGACCCTGGCCATGTGAGTTGGAACATTTGGCTAAATGAGGAAAGCATTTAGGACTGGAATGCTACATAGTCTAGTAAGTTTCCTCTTTCAACAACATACAACTGTTAAGCATGTATCAATTCACTGAGTCAACAACTATTTTTTTGACCACCTACTATGTGACAAATTCTATGCTAGGTTCTGAAGATACAGTGGTAGTCAAGAAATACACAGGTCCTGAGGTCACAGTCTAGAGGGGAATGTAGTTAACCAAATGGACAATTACAATGCAGATCTAACCTGGAATGGAGGGAGATATTGAGGAGATTTCCTGGAGGAAGTGATGTCTAAATTGAGACACAAAAGACGAGTAGGGAATAGTTAGGTAAAGGGAGGGAGTGGGAATATAAGAAAGGAAGAGTGTTCAGGTAGAAGGAACAGCATGTATGAAGGTCCAGAAGGGACACAGAGTATTGGCTTGTCTAAGAACCCCAAAGAAGTTCAATGGCACTGTTTGTCAGGTATGAGATAGAGGTACAGTATCCAGCGGGGAATAAAGAAGCAAGTACTGAGATCTACCAGGGTGGAGAGGCAGCAAGGGTGGTGGAGAAAAGAGTTATAGAAGTGAAGCTTGAGCTGAATCTTGTTCATTAATGCAGTCATTGAAAACACACAACTCCACACAAGATCATATGCCAGGTGCTGGCAGAGTGCTGGGTCTAAAAGTGATGAGCCAAACAAATATTCCCTGGCACCTGCCCTCATGCATTGTATGACGTAACCCTAGTGGGAAAATACACTAGAAATAATCACATAAATAGGTACATAGTAGTGGTCCCCAAACTTTTTGCACCAGGGACTGGTTTCATGGAAGACAATTTTTCCATGGGTAGGGGAAATGATTTCAGGATGAAATTGTCCCGCCTCAGATAATCAAGCCTTAGTTAGACTCTCATAAGGAGTGCACAACCTGGATAGCTCGCATGCGCAGTTTACAATAGGACTGGTGCTCCTACGAGAATCTAATGCTGCTGCTGATCTGACAGGAGGTGGAGCTCAGGTGTTAATGCTGGCTCACCTGCCACTCACCTCCTGCTGTGCTGCTCCATTGCTAACAGGGGGTTAGGGACCCCTGGTATATAGTATGAACCAAGGCAAATTCTATGAGGGCAAAGTACAAGATGATATTATAGTGAGATCTAACTTAGATTGGGGTGGTGGTGGCCAGGGAAATTCTCTTTGAGGGAGTGCCATTTAAATTAAGAACAGAAGGATAAATAGACAGGCTAAGACTCACGGAAAGTGGTTCAGTAAAGAGAAAAACATGAACTTCCTGAAATGGAAAGAATTTGTATGTTTGAGGACTTGAAAGAAAAGTAGTTTGGCTGGAGGAAAATAGGAGGTCTGGGAGGTGTGAGATGAGCTCAAAAATGTACAAGGAGCTAGGTGATACAGTGTAATGGTGAGGATTCCGGATTTTTCTGCTAATTTTAATAGGAAGACACTGAAGAGTGTTGGTCAGATTTACATTTCAAAAATATTTTTCTGGCACCTGTGTGATGAATGGATTGGGGAGGGGAAGAGTGGAAATGAGAAGATCAGTCACAAGGCTGACGGTAGTTGATAAGGGAAGCAAAGATGGCTTGGAGTGAATTTGGGTTTAAGGTATATTTTGGAGGTAGAATCAGCAAAAACTGTGATGGGTTAGTTATGGGGAGTAAGGAAGAGGGAAATCTCAATGATGACTTCCAGTTTTCTGGGTTGACAACTAATTTGATGGAGGTGTCATTTATTGAGATGTGGAAGACAGCAGCACCAGGCTTGGATGGGGCAGGTGTAGAAATAATGAGCTCTGTTTTGTACATATTAGATGTGAGAAGCTTATAAGCCATCCAAGTGGAGATGTCAAGAAGGCAGCTGGTGACATGTATCTTGAGGCTGGGAGAGAAACCTGATTTTGAGGTAAAAATCTGGGAGTTAGTAACATACAATTGATGAATTAGTGAGAATGAATGAGATCATCTAGTATAGAGCGAGAAGAGTCTTGAATGAGGACCTGGGATAGTTCCATTCTTCAGAGGTTGGAAAGAGAAGGGAAACAGGAGGATGAGATAAAGCAAGCAGGAAGGCAAGGAAGAAACTAAGGAGACTGAAGTTTCATGGAAATCAGAAGAGTGTTTTGATATGAGGATGCAGTTGTTTGAGAGGCTTAGTAAGACAAGGACTGAAAGTGTCTATGGGATTTGACAACCTTAGTAGGAAAAGTTTTTCTAGCATGGGTGAGTAAAAGTGACAGACGGGAGATGTGGGTATAGATTAATAGATTAAAAAATGAATGAGAGTTGAGGAAGTGGATCGAGTTTGTAGACATGCTTGCAAATGAAATTATCGTCTTTAAGAGTAGAAAAGCAAGTTTATTAGGGGAATGTAGTGGGATTTGTGGGGCAGTGTAGAGTACCCTATTGAAATTTCTGGTCAATAATTTAAAGGGACACCAGTCTGCACAGCTGTGTGGTTTCCTTCAGCAACATCAATTGTTTAGGGGCACACACATTGATGGTGGAGTTCAGGCTGGGATTCTGCCATGTGGAATATTTGCCTGTGAAGTTGAGTAGAAAAAGTGAGAGTTGGTGAGCTTGTGGAGGTTTGGAATAATGTTGGAGTGGGAAGGAACAAGCGTTCTGAGTAGAAGAAATAGGTGCAGGTTTGAGGAGGAACTGGGAGAGACAAGGCTTCAAAGTTTTGAAAAGAGGAAAAAATTGTCACCTCTTTTATGAACTTTCCATTCATATTCTTTTCTTTCTTTTCTTTTTCTTTTTCTTTTCTTTTCTTTTTTTTTTGAGATGGAGTCTCGTTGTGTCACCCAGGCTGGAGTGCAGTGGCGTGATCTCCGCTCACTACAACCTCTGCCTCCCTGGTTCAAGCAATTCTCCTGCCTCAGCCTCCTGAGTAGCTGGGATTACAGGGGCGCGCCACCACACCCAGCTAATTTTTGTATTTTTAGTGGAGATGGGGTTTCACCATGTTGGCCAGGATGGTCTCTATCTCCTGACCTCGTGATCCGCCCACCCAAAGTGCTGGGATTACAGGCGTGAGCCACTGTGCCTGGCCTAATGTCCTTTTCTTATTGGCCATTGTCCTTTATATATTAATAATCTGAACTTTTTGTTGGTCTCATTGTAATTATTTCCTTTGTTTTTTTGTATACATGTTTATTCAGTCTTGTTTGTGGCCAGTAGAAATTAAACTTTTAAAATGTCAAATTGATCCATCTTTTTCAAACCTTCCCCTCTCCATTTTCCTCTGGAGCTTATAAATTGCTTTTTAGAGATTGGGTAAATGTTAATGTATATTTTATTCCTCTAAGGTTTAATTTTTTCATATGCAATTTAAAAAAACGTTTCAACTGGGCACAGTGGCTCATTCCTGTAATCCCAGCACTTTGGGAGGCCGAGGTGGGCTGATCACTTGAGGTCAGGAGTTTGAGACCAGCCTGGCCAATGTGGTGAAACCCCATCACTACTCAAAATACAAAAATTAGCCGGGCATGGTGGCACATGCCTGTAATCCCAGCTACTTGGAGGCTAAGGCAAGAGAATCACTTGAACCCTGGAGGCAGAGGTTGCAGTGAGCTGAGATTGTGCCACTGCACTCCAGCCTGAACCACAGAGCGAGACTCTGTCTCAAAAACAAACAAACATCTTATTTGGGCCAGACACAGTAGCTCATGCCTGTAATCCTAGCACTTTGGGAGGCCGAGGTGGGTGGATCACTTGAGGCTAGGAGTTCGAGACCAGCTTGGCCAACATGGCGAAACCCCGTCTCTATTAAAAATACAAAAATAAGACAGGTGAGGTGGCGGATGCCTGTAATCCCAGCTACTTGGAAAGCTGAGGTAGGAGAATCACTTGAACCTGGGAGGTGGAGGTTGCAGTGAACCAAGATTGTGTCACTGCACTCCAGCCTGGGCAACAGAGTAAGACTCTGTCAAAAAATAAATACATAAATAAATAACTTTTTATTTGGAGATAATTGTAGATTTACATGCAATTGTAAGAAATAATACAGAGAGATCATGTGAACCCTTCACCCAGTTTTTCCCAATGGTTAATACCTTACAACACTGTTAGTACAATATTACAACCAGGAAATTAATATTGATCAAATCCAGTGACCTAACTCTGATTTTACCAGTTTTGCCAGTATTCATGTGTGTGTGTGTGTGTGTGTGTGTGTATTTAGTTCTGTGTGATTTTATCACTTATATGCAATTTTTAAGTAGTTTGTGTATAATGATGGTCTAAATTGCCTTTTTGTACAAGAAGCTGAGAAATAGCATTATTTTTGACTAATTCCTTTTTATATCCTTTATCATTTCTTGAATTGATATATATGTATATGTATGTGTGTGTGTGAGTGTGTATTTAAAAGTTATCTATTCTCACACATTTTGGTCTATATACATTCTGATTTTTTCTGTGTGTCTGTATCTGTGTCTAAGTCTACATTTATATTTATACACACACACAGAGTGAGAGAGAGAGAGAAGAGAGAGAGACAGAGAGAGATTTAAAGAGATTTAAACAATACATTCATATGGTTGGCTGTGTATCAGTCAGGGTCCTGTCAGGAAATCACACTGCAAGGATCATTAAAGGGAGTTTAATGGAGGGGCCATTTACAGAGGTGTGGAACAGGGGTTAGGGGAACCAGCAGGTGTGAAAACATCCAGGGTCTAGATATTGCAGGAAGCTTTTAGCATCCTAGTGCCCTGGGCTTAAATAAGCAGGGCAAGGGAGTTTTCACTGGAACCTGGTGAGAGTTGTTACTGTGAGGAAGGGGCCATTTAACAGGAACTGTGACTTTAGGTAGAGGATCACAGGTATGGCAAACTATATCTCAAGTGGGAAATAAAAAATTTCAATATCTCCCACTTCCTGTCTTGTTGGTGCCACCCATTGGCTAAATGCAACAAAAAGCCACTTTTGCAAATACTTAGTATTATTATGCTTTTATAGGTTTGCCTGTTTGACAGATAAAAGTCTCTTTGTCTCAACAAAATCTTAGTCCCATTATTTTAATATACACTGCTTAGATTAATAGTAATGCTATGTTTATTCTTTGTCTAGTCATCATTTGTATTTAATGCACAGTTAATTATTTTGCATGTTTTCCTAATGAGGCACATTATTTTGTTAAAGACCTTTTTATATATGAGTAGCCAGCCCTTTTCCTGCCATATATGTTATATTTTCCTCCCCCCCCAGGTTTGCCTTTTCTTTTTTGTTTGTGATATTTTCTGTTATAAAGAAGTTTAAAGGTTTTTATATTGTTAAAATTTTTATATTTTACATTTTGATTTATTTTGGTTTGTGCTTAGAACACCAGTTGATTTGAAATGCTACTATTATAATACCTGAGGATTTTCCTGGATATTAAATTCTGTTCCTTGAATCTACCTATGATTACCCAAATTCCAGCCTAATATTTACATTATGGTGGCTTCTTAGTACATTTTATTAGTTTGTTGGATACCTTTCCCCACATTGATTTTTTTCTCAATACTGCTGCTTTTTTATGTATGTTTATTCATGTAGATGAAATTTTGAATCAACTCAAATTGAAGAGAAATCCTGCTGGCATTTTAGTTGTCATTGTGCTGTTTAGATTAATTTCTAGAGAATTGAAATTCAGCACTGAGCCTTCCCTTTCCAGAAACATGGACTATCTTTCCAGTTTTCCTAAGTCTCAATTATGCCCCTCAGTAAAGACTTGTAGTTTTCTTCATATTAGATCTGCATATTTATTTTAAATGTATTCTTAAGTATTTTATGTTTCTGTGATTACTGGTATATATGAAAACCATTATTTTAGCATACATTTTGCAGCAAACCACCTACCTCCTGGAGTTTCTTTCACTAGTCTTTCACTGGACTTACTTTAATCTATTCTAGTAGAAAATCGGTTCATCTATAAATAATGACATTTCTATCGGCTCCTTTTAAATATTTATTTGTTATTTATTTAATTCAACTAGCTAGAAATGTCAGATTAATTTTTGAAAAACCCAAGCCTGTGGTAATAGTGAACATTCTTGGCTTTAATGGGAAACCATCTAGTGTCTTAAAACCATCTAGTGTCTTACCATTAATACCATTCTGAATATCAGTTTGAGATACCTTTTTAAAATCATTTTATGAAATATTCTTCTTTTAGAATTAAAAATGTTAAGTGAAATATTTTTATTTCAATTAATTAACATAATTGATCATATTAATATATTTTCCGTATTATATAATCTTTTAAAAATATTAAAAAATTCTTTTTGCATAGAGACGAGATCTCACTCTGTTGCCCGGGCTGGTCTTGACCTCCTGGGCTCAAGCAGTCCTCTTGCTGTGGCCTCCCAAAGTGCTGGGATTACAAGCATGAGATGCCATACCCAGCAAAATTTCTAATGTTTTATTTAGGATTTACAAAACAGCTTTATTGAGGTACAATTGACATAAACTAAACTGCATCTATTTAAACTGTAAAATCTGATGGGTTTTGACATATGTATATAATTGTGAAATCAATAACATTATCAGGTCCAAATATTTCTTCATCCTTTAAATTTTTTTATTTTGAATTTCTTTTCTTAAATTTTGAATTTCTATGAATACATACGTGTACATATTTATGGGGCAGATGAGATGTTTTGATACAGGCATGCAATGTGAGATAAGCACATCATGGAGACTGGGGTATCTATCCCCTCAAGCATTTATCCATTGCATTACAAATAATCCAATTACACTTTTTAAGTTATTGTAAAATATAGAATTAAATTATTATTGACGATAGTTATAATCTTTCTCTCCTCACATTCTTCCCCATGTCTCACCCCCAGGCAACCATTGTTTTGCTTTCTGTCATCGTAGTTTTCAATTTTTTAGAATTTTCTATAAATGTAATCATACAGCATAAGGTTTTTTGGGGGTCTGCCTCTGATGTGGTTTGTATCTGTCTCTACCCAAATCTCATGTGGAATTGTAATCCCCAGTGTTGGAGGTGGGGCCGGGTGGGAGGTGATTGGATCATGGGGGTGGGTTTTCCCTTTGGGGCTGTTCTTGAGTTAGTGAGTGAGTTCTTGTGTGAGCTGGTCATTTAAAAGTGTGTGGCATCTCCCCTCCTTTCTCTCTCCTCCTCCTGGTCAGTCATGTAAGGCATGGCTGCTTCCGTCATGATTGGAAGCTTCCTGAGGCCTCCCTAGAAGCTGAAGCCGCTATGCTTTGTGTGCAGCCTGTAGAACTGTGAGCCAATTAAACCTCTTTTCTTTATAAATTACCCAGTCTCAGGTATTTCTTTATAGCAGTGTGAGAATGAACAAATACAGTCTTCTTTCATGTAGCATAATTATTTTGAGATTTTTCCATGCTGTTGTATGTATTGATAGTTTATTCCTTTTTGCTAATATTACATTGTATGGATATATCGCTTTTGTTTATCCATTCACCTGTTGATGGACATTTGAGTTTTTTCCAGTTTTTAGCTATTACCAGTAAAGTTGCTATGAACATTCATATACAAGTCTTGGTATGGACATATGTAGCACAACCTTCACATTTTATGAAGAGAAAACCAAAGTACAGAAAGTAAGTGCCTGCTTGAAGCAACTGCTAAGTGGCAGAGCCAGAACTCGGAAGGTGCTGGACTGACCTCTTGTCTGGTAATCCTCCCACAAACTCCAGTGTGGAAAGACCAGTGAGTGGCACAATATCAGTTGGAATAGGGGTTTATTTTAGTATCCTCACTAGGCCAAAACTTTCTTTCTTTCTTTTTTTTTAGACAGGGTCTGGCTCTGTCGCCCAGGCTGGAGTGCAATGGCATGATCTCGGGTCGCTGCAACCTCCGTCTCCTGGGCTCAGGTGATTCTCCCACCTCAGCCTCTCAGGTAGCTGGCACTAAAGGCATGGGCCACCATGCCCAGCTAATGTGTGTAATTTTTTTTTTTTTAGTAGAGGTGGGGTTTTGCCATGTTGCCCAGGCTGGTCTTGAACTCCTGGGCTCAAGCAACCCACCCACCTCAATCTCCCAAAGTGTTGGGATTACAGGTGTGAACCACTGGGCCTGGCCCATAGTTCTTTAATAAGTCTTGAAATCAGTGTTAGTCCTCTAACTTTGTTATTTTTCAAAGTTGTTTTGGCTGTTCTAGGTTCTTTGCATTTCCATGTGAATTTTAGAATTAGCTTGTCGATTTCTAAAAAAACTTCTGGAAAATTGATTGGGATTGCATTGAATCTATAGACCAATTTGGGGATAATTGGCATCTTAATAATATTAACTCTTCCAATCTAGGAACACGGTATATCTCTCCATGTATTTTGTTCTTTAATTTTTTTTCAATGTTTCATAGTTTTCACTACACAGGCCCTTGACATTATTTGTCCTCTACATCCACAGATTTGTTCTTAAAATATTTCATTTTTTGGTACTATTATAAATAATATTTTTTCTAAAATTTCACTTCTGATTTTTCATTGCTAGTATATCCAGAAATAAAATTGATTTTTATGTATTGATCTTGTATCTTGTAACATTTAGACTCACTTATTCATTCTAGTAGCTTTTTGGTAGATTCCATCAGATTTTTACAGACAAACATATCATTTGTGGATAAAGACAGTTTTACTTCTTCTTTTCCAATCAGAATGCTTTTTATTTCTTTTTCTTGCCTATTGAACTGGCTAGAATTTCCAGTACAAGGGTAAATAAAAGTGGTAAGAGTGAACATTCTTGTCTTGTTCCTGATCTTAGGTGGCAAACATTTAGGCTTTTACCATTAAGTTTGATATTAGTTGCAGGTTTCATAGATATTTTTTATTGTGTTGAAGAAGTTCCCTTCTATTCTTAGTTTGCTGAGTATTTTAGCAGGAATGAATGTTGGGTTATATCAAATGCTTTTTATATGTTTACTGAGATGACTTTTAGGTTTTTAGTTTGTTTACATGGTGATTTGTGTTAATTGAATTATGAAAGAAAATTTTCCAAAAATATACTTCTGTGTTACAATTTTCAAATTTTATGTAAGATCTAAAATCTCTATTTATATCTTAAATAATTATATATTTTCACTTTTACTTAGGTTTTAACATCAAGTTTATACCATCTGGTAAAATGAATTGGTAAACATTTCTTCTTTCTCTCTACTCTTTAGCATATAAATTATGTATTCCTCTTTAAGATTTGAAAGAAAAAAAATCTGTGAAACCACATGGGACTGTAACCTGGTATCATTGGGGGAATATATTTTGACACATTTAAAAATTTCTCTCTTTGGTTATTATTCTATGAAGTTTATCACCTTTTCATAGAAGATTTTGTAGTATACATATTTCCAGAATTGTTTTGTTAATAGAGACTTTAAAAATTTATCTACGTTTGTGTCTCCTTTCTCATTTCTTATATTGTATGTTTGTATAGATTCTCCTTACCTTGATTAGACTTACCAGAGGTAAGTTTTATTGGTCTTCTTTAAAAATAAACCATCTTGGACGGGCATGGTGGCTCATGTCTACAATCTCAGCACTTTGGGAGGCTGAGGCGGACAGATCACTTGAGGTCAGGAGTTCGAGACCAGTCTGGCCAACATGGTGAAACCCTGTCTCTACTAAAAATACAAAAATTAGCCAGGCGTGATGGCAGGCGCCTGTAATCCCAGCTACTTCAGAGGCTGAGGCACAAGAATAGCTTGAACCTGGGATGCAGAGGTTACAGTGAGCCAGGATTGTGCCACTGCACTCCAGCCTGGACGATAGAGCGAGACAGTCTCAAAAAAAAAAAAAAAAGAAAAAGAAAAAAGAACCATCTCTTAAACTATTTAATACTTTAAATTGTTTTATTTCTGCTGTCAGCTGCTGTATTTTTTCTTTCCTCATATTTCCCTTAAGCTTGTCTTGTGGCTCTTTTTATGGCTCCTTGAAATGATGTGTATTTAACTTATTTTTATTTTTTTGTTTGTTTAATTATAAATACTTGAGACTTCACATTTCCTTCTGAGTACTTTTCTGAGGAAAAGTTTAGATAACTAATGTTTTACTTATTTCCTAAAGAATTTTTAACTGCAGTTTTATACTCTTTTTCTGTTCCAATCTACTTAAGATGGTGTTTTATAACCCCAAATTGTTTATTTTTTGTTCATTTTAAAAAATTAATTGCTAGTTTATTAATTGTATTGTGGTTAGGAAATGTAAACTGTACAATTTTTAGTTTTTAGAACTTATGATTTTCTTGTTCACTAGGATGTGATATAGTTTAAAGTTCATGAGATACAAAGTGTGATATATATATTTATTAACACAAAGTTTTAATTATACTTTTATAAACTATGTTTGCTTTTGTTAATTAGATCTATTCTGAAAAGAGGGGTATGTTAAAGCCTATTATAGTTCTAATTTTTCACTTTTCTCTTTATTGCTAGAAACTTTGGCTTTATCTATTTTGATGCTATGTTATTTGGTGCATGATAATTCATACTGTATTTTTGGTATGGCTCCTTTTTATCTATCTAACATGACCCCCTTTCTCATTTAAAAATTCTTTTTGGCATAAATACTGTTTTGTCTAATATTAACATAGTGAGGGTCCCAGATGACCTTAAAATTTGTTTCAGACATTTTTACATGAAGCTGACTAGCCAGTAAGATCAGGCATGTCTTTTGCTACAATGCCTTTTGCTATGTGAATGGTTGCCTTCCATTGTTTCCAGCAGTAATATAATATGTTTTCTTTTGTATTTTTAAATTATTCCAATGGGAGTAGATAAGTGAGTAGTAATCTGATTCCCATATCAGACTAGAAACCCCAGCCTCCAGGCTTGGTTTTTTGTGTAGCCCATCCCCTGCATGGATCCCCAAGCATCTTTCTAAAATGCACATCTAATCCTGTGTCTCCCTGTGTTAGTCCATTCTTACACTGCTGTAAAGAAATACTCGAGACTGGGGAATTTATAAAAGAAAGAGGTTTAATTGACTCATAGTTCCACGTGCCTGGGGAGGCCTCAGGAAACTTACAATCATGGTGGAAGGCGAAGGGGAAGCAAAGACCTTCTTCACGTGGTGGCATGAGAGAGAAGTGCAAGCAGGGGAAATGCCAGATGCTTATAAAACCATCAGATCTTGGAAGAACTCACTCACTATCAGGAGAACAGCATGGGGGAAACTGCCCCCATGATCCAATCATCTCTCACCGGGTCCCTACTTTGACCTGTGAGGATTATGGGGATTACAATTCAAGATGAGATTTGGGTGGGGACACAAAGCCTAACCATATCACCCCCAAAAGGCTTTAGTAACTTGAGGTTCTTCTTTGTGTCCAGTATAATACTCCTGACCACGCCAGACTCATGGCACTCCAGTTGCCCTGAATACATGGCCCTTTCCTGATGCCTCACCTTTGCACAGGCACTTGTCTCCTTCTGGAGTGCCTTTTGGCGTATTTTTCACCTTTAAAAACAAAGTCCTCCTAAATTCCATTCATCCTTGATCCAAGTCAACTGTATTTCTGGATGGAACCCTCCCACTTCCCCCAGGCACAGTAACTTTCTTCCTTTTCTGTGTTATCATGTTAAATGGTTTATGCCTCTGCAGCAGTGGTTAAAAGTGAGGACCCAGGAATTAGGCTGTTCTTAAACTAGCTGTGTTACCTTGGGCAACCTAACCTTACCAAAACCCCACTTCACAGGGTGGTTGTGAAGATTAAATGAGAAAATGCATGTAAAGGGTTATATAGTGCGTGGCACATAATAGATACTTGGTAAATGTTAGCTTCACTATTATCATTCTGAATTTTCATCTATCTGCTTTTATATTTCTATGTCCTTCACTGTTCCGTGAGTGCCTTCAAGGTAAAGGCTCTATCTTAGTCACCTTTGCATCCTCCAATGCCCAGCACAATGACTAAATAATCATTTGTTAAATGAATGATTGACCTCCTACATACTACACTTCTGTGTTTGGGGAGGCAATCTTCCATCACATAAAACTCCCACTCTCCCCTAATTGCACCTCAGCTGAATGTTCAACTCCTGAATAAGCAAGAGTTGACATTGCTTTAAGAAATAATTGTAGCATACTTAAAAGATCTGTGGTTTTCCAGAATTCAGAAGTTCAAATTTAGATGTGTTGTCCACAAAACAGCTGGAAATGTTTATTTTCCATTTTAAACATGTAGTTTATGGTTAAACATACAATTAAATACTTGGAAAAATGCAACATGGCTTATTTAATTATTGGCATGAATAGATGGAGCATTTCATAATAATATGGCAACAGAATAGAAGTTAGTTTTTTGATGAAAGGCACTATTTTGATACAAACTATAAATAAATATGCAGTTCTCCCTAGTTGAAGATTATACCACTTGGTGTTTGGTTTGACTGATTTTTAAAGGAGCAGTACTGGGTTTAGGATAAGCTGCCCATACTCTTTTATCCATATTAAAAATAGTGAAGATAATACTAATAAAAATAATAGCTGCTGCTATGTACTGTATGCCTACTATGTGCCAGACATTGAGCTAATATTTTGCATTAGTTAATTTTTGTTATGACAACAACCTAGCAAGGCATATATTATTATCTCAGTTTAACAGATGAGGAAACGGAGGCTTAGCAGGTGTATTAGTTTCCTGTGGGTGCTGTAACAAATTACCACAAACTTGATGGTTTAAAACAATAGACATTTATTCTCTTACAGTTTTGGAGGTCAGAAGTCAGACCTCAGGGTGTCAGCAGGGCTGTTCCTTTTGGAGGTTCCAGGGGAGCATCCTTTCCTTGCCTCTTCCGGCTTCTGGGGGCTGTTGCATTCTTTGGCTTATGGCCGCATCACTGCAATCTCTGCCTCCATCTTCATATTGCCTTCTCCTGTGTGTGTGTGGTGCCTATTCTCCTTCTGTCTCTTTCTTATGAGGTCACTTGTAATGGCATTTAGGTCCCATCTGGGTAATCAGGATAATCCACTCAGACCAAGATCCTTAAGAACTCACACCTGCAAAAATTTACTACATACGGTAACATTCACAGGTTCCAGGGATTAGGATGTGGACAAATTGTTGGAGTCATTATCAGCCTACTTCAGTAGGATTAAGAAACGTGACTCAAATTCATAACCAGTAAGTGGCAGCTGTGAGAGCTGAACCCTAATCTATTTGACTTTAGAGTTTGTAGTCTTTGCACCATTTCTCAAAGTAGGCATTTGTAAGATAGCTTTCTTATCAGGAAGCAGTGATAGGCAGTGGTGATGGGACAGAGACAAAAGAGTTCAGAAGCAGGGATTCACCCGTCAGCGGGGGAGGCAGTGTGGTGATCTATTTTCTCTTTGTTTCAGTTTCTTTATTTAAAATGGTAACTCTCCAGAAGGACTGCATAGGAAGAGGGCCAGATCCTCTGGGGAGATTCACTGGGTCTTACCCAGAGTGTTTCTAATAAAAAAGCCAAGTGTCAGGAAGCCTCTGTGGGGACCCTCGGTTTTGGCAGGCAGGCAGCGTTCAACATCCAGGAGGACTGAGAATCACAACAGAAGAACTTGTGATTGTGGTGGCTGAAATGATCTTATAATAATCCTTAATGATATACTGTTTTTCTCCCTGATCCTATTTTTTGTTTTCTATAAGGTATGGTTTGGCCATAAGGCCAGAAAGATTTCACAGGCCTGAACAAAAATTCTGCCAGGAACAAAGACACTATGATTGTCTCCTAATGTTTGGTTTGGATCATTAACTAAGCCAGTGAGTATGAAACTAGAATGTTTTTCTGCTTCAATTCACAAACTCTACACAGATCCCAAAGGGTGTCTTATGGCCTGGTTGTCATCTTGCTGTGTCTAGCAGAGCTGATATTAGGAACACATGCAAATTTAGATTCTGTTTGATTTTTAAAGTAATCATGTCACAGTTTCCAGAAAAAAAGTTGTTTAAAAAGCCCATATTGTGAAGAAAGTGAAAATATGTCAAATTAGGTACCATGTAGATGGAAACAGTCAAAAGGAAATAACTTAATTTGAAAAGTCACTGCTCTCAACTTTAGGTAGTGTCAGTTTTAAATAACAGAATGTTAAAAAGAAAGCCTGGAAAAAGGTACATATGCTATTTATAAAATAATAGTACAACAAACATCCATCTCCCCTTTCCTGGCAGAAATGGAAAGGTCACAATTAAGTAGAAAACCATTGTGTAACTCCGGTGGAGAAAAGCAGAGAGGAATATTTTTATCTTACTATTGCCAAGGACTAGCCATTTTTGGATCAGTCATTCCTGATCAAAACCAAAGACTTCAGAAAATTAGATATTTAACTTTTACTAGCTATAACAAAGAGCATATACAAAAACAAAAACTTGGGGACAATTTATAAGCTTTTAATATTTAAACCTTTGCATAATAGTTAAAAACCTTTGGATAACTCATAGACATGGTTTTCAACATTTTATTCTGAAAGCTTTAAAGCATATAGAAACATTGAAATAATTTACAGTGGGCATCTGTATACCCACCATTTAGATTAGGGGTTGGCAAACCCTAACTTGGCCTGTGGGCCAAATCTAGTTGCTTGCCTGTTTGTTTATTTGTTTGTTTGTTTTTGAGACAGAGTCTTGCTCTTTCGCCCAGGCTGGAGTGCAGTGGCACAATCTCGGCTCACTGCAAGCTCTGCCTCCCGGGTTCACGCCATTCTCCTGCCTCAGCCTCCTGAGTAGCTGGGACTACAGGCACCTGCCACCACGCCCGGCTAATTTTTTGTGTTTTTAGTAGAGACGGGTTTCAACATGTTAGCCAGGGTGGTCTCGATCCCCTGACCTCGTGATCTGCCCACCTCGGCCTCCCAAAGTGCTGGGATTACAGGCGTGAGCCACTGTGCCTGGCCCACTTGCCTGTTTTTGTAAATAAAGTTTTACTAGAACATGACCTTTCTCATTAATTCAGATATTGTCTCTGGCTGCTTTTGCACTACAATAGCAGGCTTGAGTAGTTTCCACAGAGACCGCAAAGATTAAAGTACTTAACAATCTGACCCTTTACAGAAAAAGTTTGCCAACCCCGATTTAAATGATATAGTTAACATATTGCTGTATTTGCTTTATCGCCTATCCATCCATCAGGCATGATAAACTTATTGTTAACAGTGAAAAAAATATAAGATAGTTATTTGGCGGTCAGACTCATTCCTGAAACAGTTAAGGATTATTACTATAAGTAAAAATTCCAAGAGAAAAAACTAAGTTCAAAAACGGGAAAAATCACTTGACTTTGCTATTTGTCATTATCATTAGGCTTATTCTCAGCCATCATGTGCAATAACATTAGTTACAATGTTAGATGCAAAAACCAGATTAACTGAATTTCTGAATTTTACTTTATTTCTGCTTGGATTATATTGATTTATTTAGGTTTTCATCTCTCAAATTGGAGTACTTAGTGGCTTTTTATCAAGGCAATATTTACATTCCAAGAGACACACTTCCTCAAAAAATTGGGTAAAATTAGGTAAATTATTATTTATGAAAATTATTATATATAATATGTATTATATTATAAAAATTAAGTGAAAATGAGTAAAAACTAAATTTTAATTAAAAAAATTTTTTTAGAGACAGTTAGAGGTTTTTGCTATGTTGGCCAGATTGGCCTTGAACTCTTGGCCTCAAGCAAGCCTCCCACCTTGGCCTCCCAAAGTGCTAGGATAATAGGCATGAGCCACTGCGCCCAGCCGTTTTTTACACTTGAATAGTATAAATATATATTGTTGGTTAGTTGTTAATGAAATTGATTTGTGTAGTTAGGAGTGTTACCATTTGTGCATTAAAGTCTAAAAGAACTAAAAGAGTCCTTTCTATGCTGAAGAGAGAGTTAGAGTTCTAGGTGTTTTGGGGAATGTGAAGATGGATCAGACCAAGAGTCTGTCCTCAAAGCATATAGTTGAGTGTCAGCATGACTACTGTAAGACAGCAGAGAGTGTTTCTATTCAACATCGTAAGAGTACTGTAAGTGCTGGGGGAACAGAGGAGAGGTGAGACTTATGTTTTATTCTCCTGGATAGGTGAGTTCCTGAAAGAAACAGCATTTGATATGGGTCTTTGAAGACATTCAGAAATGAGGGGAGGAAAATGAAGAGCAGTCTTTGAGAAGTAAGATTGGGAGAACATTTGCAAGCATTTGGCTTTTTGGTGGAATATACAAAGCTTGTGAAATTTAAACACACTTATGAAACCCGTATAGGGTTTTCATTATCATTGGCTCCTAATGACCTGTAATCATGTGACAACTTTTAGTAAAACAAACAATAATCTTATGACATTGTGGTTTACTGGAGGGTAATTGCTAATCATTCTCTTCCTGCTAGCACATTAGCTGGTTAGGTTCTTGGCAGTGATACAATTTAAACAATCATTTGCCATGTAGTACATTCAATGGCTTAAATGAGTTAATGCAATCTCCAGTAAAGACATTGCTATGAATATGTCTTAAGAAAACAATTAAAAAGTGTAGATAAATATTTAAGTGTGAAGATAATCATATTAGTTTGGTACAAAAGTAATTGCGGTTTTGCACCAGCCAAATAGTATTATTTATATGAAACACTGAAAAATATAACCATGTTTAATGTAGAGGGACTGCTAAATAAATGATGATACTGCAGTGTAATAAAATGCAGGTCATAAGTATTAGTTTTTTGATACATTGTTAATGATACAGGAAATGGTAATGGTCTAATATTTCAGGATAAAAGCCATATACAAAGAGATAGCTTATAAAATTGTATAGCATGTGCCCAATTTGGGATCTAGTACTTACTCTTAACAAAGGAATTTCACCTGAGGAAATAAACCACAATAATTTGGGAAATGAAAAAATAAGAATAAGAATTTTGCCAAGATAATGTATGTTTTCCATATAGGAAAATATATTTAAAAAATTTATCCTGGGTTCTGGTGACATGGCTGACTGAAATACCACCATATTATCTTCTTTCATCACTTCCAACACATATAAATATAAGACAAAGTATTACAACAAAAAATTTAAATTTTAAACTTACAACAAAGTGAGAGAACTCTCTTGGTGCAAAAAGCAATGAGGAAATGTGAAGCCAGCTGTGTAACTTCATGAGCCGATGCCACAGTGGCTCAGGAAGATATGAATCTGGAAGTAGACCCATGAGACTAGTAGCTAGGGATTGAATGTCTGTTTTCATTTGAGGACAGGAGGTGTGGGCTTGGACCCTTGTAAGACAGGAAACTAGTTCTGAGAGCTAGAACACTTAAATGGCTGCACTGTAGGTAAAATAGAACTAGAAGCAGTTTGTTTGCTTACTCAGGGAAGTGATCCAAAACATCTCTCCGCCTTAGAGAAATCAGAGACCCAGCTTGTGTCTTGTGTGAGCGGAATTCACATTTATATTTACCCAAGTAGTCCTAGAATTCTCAAGCTAAGAAATAACATAAACATAGGTAACAACCCAGTGCAACTTGTGGAAGCAAATACCAAACCTCTCTGTAGCAACTCTTCTGTAACACAGGTCCCTCCTACCTACCTCCCACTTGCCCCCTGACCAAATCCCTCCTGGAAATATGCTCACAGTAAAAAATACAAACCCATAAGGAAGAAATACTCCCAGAGGGAGAGTTAACAGACCAAATGGAATGAGTAACCCACATATTTGAGATCAGTGAGCTAAAGGATACTATAAAAATATGTTTAAAATGATAAAATACATAAAAGGCAGCACCCCATGGCCAGTCAAGCTGACACGTAAAATTAACTGTCACAGTCTTGAACCCAGACTGGTGTGTCAACTCTGCACTCCAGGCTCCTCTACTCAACTTAATCACGGTAGTGAGAGGACTCACCAGGAAAGTAGAAGGTGAAGTCTTCTGAAGGGGACAGAAGAGAGGGCCTGTTTTTGATGCTGCTACTATCTGGATTCTGATATGAGGAATTACTTGTATTTTCAAAAGAAATGGGCTAAGAGCACATTGACTACAATGGACTTAATAAGGTCTTTGAAAGGTGCAGTTTTTAGACTCCCTTATCTAAAAGACCCATACGTCAACAAGGCTGTCTAACCTTTAATTGTTTAGTTTTTAAGACTTAAATAATTGAAATGTTTAAGGAAACAAACAAATAAGACCCAACACTCATTATGCTCTTTTGATTATGTCATTACTCTGGAGCTTGACCTCATTCCTTTCTTGGATTATACCCTTTTGGGAAAAGTGTATCCTCACGGGTAAGAAAGTGTGCCACCAGGAAACCTCTTTTCCTTTTCCCCACTCACATCAGTTCCTTGCACTTGACCAGCCTGATGCTTCATCAGGATGAACTGAAAGGAATCTCTGAATGACAAAAAGGGACACAAGAGTAATCCACTTAGAAAACTTCAGGCACAGTTAATCCTCCAAGAATGACCT
The DNA here is from genome assembly GCF_000001405.40 of Homo sapiens. Taxonomy (NCBI): domain Eukaryota; kingdom Metazoa; phylum Chordata; class Mammalia; order Primates; family Hominidae; genus Homo; species Homo sapiens. The sequence continues at coordinate 91,707,434 of NC_000010.11, read as the reverse complement.
CAAAGTAAAACAACAAAACAAACAAGCAAAAAGAAGTGAGAGTTTTTTGAAAACATTTGTTGGTCATTACAATCTTTTGCACCTAGTAATTTACACGTGCCATTTGTTCACACAGTCAGTTAATAGTGCCAGTCATTGCTCAGCTACTGGGCATTTACCAGTGAAGAAAACAGACAAAACCCCTGACCTCGTGAAGATTACTCTGTAATTGAGCTGGACAGAAAAGAACTAAAATGAATAAGGAAATTTTATAGATGTTAAAATATGATAAGTGATATCTAGAGAAATAAAGCAGAGGGAGAATTTGCTATTTTAAATAGACTGCTCAAGAAAGGCCCCACTAAGTAGGTGATATTTGGGCAAAGACCCAAAGGAAGAACTGAGAGAATGAATCATGCAGATATCTGAGCAGAGTATTCCAGGTAGAGGGATCTGCGAGTGTAAAAACTGAGCACAGAATCTATGATGATTAAAAAAAAAGAATATGGAGGACTTATAATAAAATACAACAGACCCTTGTTCCATCCTTTTTTCTGGCAGCATCAATGCCCAAAGGTGATTGTCTTATTTCTTTTTAATTGTTTCTGGTTTTAGTTCTGTCACTTACTTCCAGATCCTAATTAATATACACATATATCTCCATCTTGATTTATCAGTTTTAAATGTTATCTGTTAACCTCCTGCATCAGATGAGGATTTTGCTCATATCATTCTGCCTCCTCTCCTTATTCCATCCTATATTTGATAGATATACATGAGTTTTAGTCATGACATTAGCTACTATTATAACTTTAATGCACTCAGACTTCTATTTCTGGTTCCACTGATTTTGTGAGGAAAGAACTGCTGCAATAGGGGAGTGAAGACAGATCCCTGGGGTTAGGCAAAGGTCAGAGGTTTGGACATGGGCACAGAGTCCAGAGCCTTTGAAGAGACACACAGAGTTCAAAGCTGCTCAGCATCTGGATTGGCCTCCAAGGACAAAGATGATGAAATGTCAGTACCGTTGATGAAATGTGAGTACCATTGGTCAAAGTGCAAACTGAGATTAAGAGTGGGAAGTTCAAGTGGGCTTGGGTCTGGTGTGGGGGACCCATTCATGGGAAGACTAGAGTTTAAGGATAAGAAATTTGAATATCTGGAGAGACCAAGGTACTGGGCTCTCTTCCATGAGCTGAGAAGGAGTGCTCTCCTCATGGCAAATTCTAGCTCTTGGCTGAGCAGCTTTGAACTCTTGCGTTTTTTGCCATTAAAAGCAATGGCAAAAACCTCAATTACTTTTGCACCAACCTAATACTTCCTCTCTTCTGCTCTAAATTCCAAGAGGGCTGCCCTGTACACTGCATTTCCTAAGCTTCTTTGCCAACTGGCTTCTGTCTATGTTTTATCCATGGGGAACCCAGTGGGGAAGTTGGAGAAAAATAGAAAAAGAGAAATCAGGGTATTCCATTTCCTATTTCTCTGATTCAGAGGGTGTCTTGAGTTTCTAGTTTCTGTCCTGTTGCCCTGGCTTCTGGATTTTGATAATATGGTTGTAGCAACCTCCTGCTGTTGTGAATCCCTGAATTATCTCATTTTCCTTTGTTTGGCCTCTCAACTTTTCCAAAACATTTTTAACTGGTTCTCTAAAGTAACTTACCTCCATGGAACCACCTGGCGTGGGCTCCATTTTCCTGAGTGGACCCTGATTAATATATGTTCCAAACACTGAAGACATTTTCTTATTACTGAAATAAACCTACTGCTTCCTAATTAGTTAATAAAGATAGTACTACATTTTAGGCTGATTCCTTATGATTATTAATATTTTTTAAAGCCTTAACCTTTATTTTCCTTCCTTTCAGTGTTGTGTTTTCACACATGATTATTGTCTAGTGCCTCTGACACACTCTAGCAATGGCACCTCAGAAAAGAGGCTGGACACTTTGACTTTGGTAACTGTCAACCCAGATGGAGTAGGGCTAATGGTGATATGCACAAAAAGTGTTCTTGAACATAAGGACGATTTAGATGTAAATAAATCATTTGAGCATATGGCATCTACCTAGCTGTTCCTGGAGATAAAATTGGGGAACTGTTGACTAAAATATGAACCCTATAATTACAAAAGACTACCAGATAACTAGTGAATTAGCAACATAATTCATATCTATTAGGAAGTTCCAGAGAAATCATGGCAATTATGGGCTGGTAAATTATTTTCACAGTAATTCTGGAAGGTACAACATTTCTGGAAGATAATTAGGCAATATATATCCTAAATCTTCAATGTGTTTAACTGCATTTTCACTGCTAGAAATTTATCCTATAAAAAAATGGGTTTATGCTTTCTCATTCCATTTCATTACAGTCTAATTTCTGACTGAAAGAAAAAAATTCACCTATATCTACATCAAAAGAGACTTCATTAAATATATTAAGATATATCTATACAATAGAATAATACACAGTAATAACAATGATGTGTAAGAATAATAATGATATGGGGAAATGTCTATGATTTATTCATAGGTAAAGTAGCAAGTTAGGTGATTTTCTTTTTTTCTATGTGCTTGTCTCTTTTTTTAATAGTCTAGAATAAGTTTATTTTATAGATAGGTAAACAAAAATGAATATTATAAAACTTGCCTTGAATTCTAGTTTTAAAAGTCAGCAACTGGTGGTTTTTTTTTAACTTGATAATTATGGAATAGAGGACATGTTTTGTCGTGGTAGCGAATCTCATTAGAGTTAAAATACCCAGGGTTTCACTGTACTAGGAAACAAAGGGTAGGGCAAAAAAGTGACTCTGTTGCAGATAGAGGTTTGCAAATTTTGTTAAGCATATATTTTTCCAAATCATTTTATTAAAATTTGAAAAACTAGTAACCAAATCAGCATGGTACTGGTACCAAAACAGACATATAGACCAATGGAACAGAACAGAAGCCTCAGAAATAACGCCACACATCTACAACCTTTGACAAACCTGACAAAACAAACCTTTTTGACAAATCTTTGATAAACAAATCTTTGATAAACCTGACAAAAACAAACAATGGGGAAAGGATTCCCTATTTAATAAATGGTGCTGGGAAAACTGGCTAGCCATATGCAGAAAACTGAAACTGGACCCCTTCCTTACACCTTATACAAAAATTAACTCAAGATGGATTGAAGACTTAAAAGTAAGACCTAAAACCATAAAAACCCTAGAAGAAAACCTAGTTCAGGACATAGGCATGGGCAAAGAGTTCATGACTAAAACACCAAAAGCAATGACAACAAAAGTCAAAATTGACAAATGGGATCTAATTAAACTAAAGAGCTTCTGCACAGCAAAAGAAACTATCATCAGAGTGAACAGGCAACCTACAGAATGGGAGAAAATTTTTACAATCTATACATCTGACGAAGGGCTAATATCTAGAATCTACAAGGAACTTAAACAAATTTGCAAGAAAAAAAACCCCATCAAAAAATAAGTGAAGGATATGAACAGACACTTTTCAAAAGAAGACATTTATGCAGCCAACAAACATATGAAAAATGGCTTATCTTCACTGGTCATTAGAGAAATATAAATCAAAACCACAATGAGATACCACCTCACGCCAGTTAGAATGGCGATCGTTTAAAAGTCAGGAAACAACAGATGCTGAAGAGAATGTGGAGAAATAGGAATGCTTTTACACTATTGGTGGGAGTGTAAATTAGTTCAAACACTGTGGAAGACAGTGTGGCGATTCCTCAAGGATCTAGATCCAGAAATACTGTTTGACCCAGCCATCCCATTACTGGGCGTATACCCAAAGGATTATAAATCATTCTACTATAAAGACACATGCACACAATTGTTTATTGCAGCACTATTCACAATAGCAAAGACTTGGAACCAACTCAAATGTCCATCAATGATAGACTGGATAAAGAAAATGTGGCACATATACACCATGGAATATATGCAGCCATAAAAAAGGATGAGTTCATGTCCTTTGCAGGGACATGGATGAAGCTAGAAACCATCATTCTCAGCATACTAAAACAGGAACAGAAAACCAAACACCACATGTTCTCACTCATAAGTGGGAGTTGAACAATGAGAACACATGGACACAGGGATGGGGAACATCATACACTGAGGCCTGTTGGGGGATGGGGGCCTAGGGGAGGGATAGCATTAGGAGAAATACCTAATGTAGATGATGGGTTGATGAGTGCAGCAAACAACCATGGCACGTGTATACCTATGTAACAAACCTGCACATTCTACACATGTATCCCAGAACTTAAAGTGTAATAAAAAAATTTGGAAAACTACATATTACTCTCATAAACCATTGTTATTGACATCTTCTTGAAATGTTTCCCAGTCCTTTCTTTGACAGCATGAAAGTTATAATGTACCTTTGAATTGTGTCTCTTCATTTAACACTGTATTGTGAGCATTTCTGTGATTTGGGATTATCACAGCATAATGACTGCAGAGTATTCCAGCAAGGGGGACAGTCACAGAGTGCTAATTTAGTGGTGGGACTCTCTCATGGGTCAGCGCTATGATGAGACAGCACATTCCTTAGTGACCTGGAAGAGGCCCCACTTCTGGTTTCCCCTGGCTGTGTGGTAAATAATAAGCTAAAGGTGACCCGTTGAGGAGGTGTCTTGCAAACTGTGTTGTGTGACAGGGCAGGAGCACAGTGGGTTGATATCAGCTTGGATGTGAGGTTCTGCCCTCGATGTGTGTTCAGTGACCCAAGGAAATTTGTCATATGATCAATGTTCCAGGAGGGACGCTGCTCATTTCTTCCCTCTGCCTGGATTACCATTGCTTCCTCTTTCTGCTTGAGAATTCATCCTTTAACTCCCAAATGGCTAGAGTCATGTTCCTCTGCCCTGTGCACCTGTGAATACACTTTCCTGTTATTCAGGGGCTGAACTCTGTTCCCCGTCTCCTGATTAATATGTTGAAGCTCTAACCCTCAGTAGCTCAGAATATGACTGTACTTGGAGATAAGGCCTTTAAAGAGTTAGAATCATTAGAAGAATTAGAAGAGTAGAGTTAGAACCAGGTTTTTAGGATGGGCCCTAATGCAATATGACTGGTGCACTTATAAGAAGAGGGGATTAGAAAACAGACCCACACAGCCAAAGGATGACCATGTGAGCACACAACTGGAAGGCAGCCAATTCTCAGGACGAGGAGAGAGGGTTCAGAAGAAGCTAAACCTGCCAAAACCTTGATCTTGGACTTCTAGCCTCCAGAATTATGAGAAAATAAATTTCTGTTGGTTAAGGCACTCAGTCTGTGGTATTTTGTTGTGGCAGCCCTAGCAAGCAAATCCATGGATGGGAGAGAGGACTAATAAATGGGCCAGGTAGGGGCATTTATGGCAGCAGAGTAGCACTTAATTCTTGGCCTCCCTCTCTGACCACCTTACTTCATTTCTAAAATGGAGCATTTGGATAAGATGACCCATCTGCAAGGCCCCTTTCAGCATTGACATTCTAAGCTTCTGTACATCATTTGATTTTCTGTTAGTTATTTCTTATGCAGGTTAAAGCAGCACGCTCTCAATAGATTTGGCTCCCGTATGATCTGTTCTTATGCAGCCAGAGTGTTTGCACAAATCTGATTCTATCACATTAACATTCTGCAAGGGCTGCCCATCTCCTTCAATGTGAAGTCTGATCACCTCAGCATGGCCCACATGGCCTTTCCTTACCTGGTCCATGCCCTTCTCCAGACCTCGCTTCTCCATCCTATCCCCACCTGCCCTCCAGCCATGCTCAACTGTGAGGAACTCGTAGTTCCTCAACACACCATCATCTCTAACACTCTGTGTCTTTTCATGTGCCACATTTCCTACCTAGAATGTTCTCCCCTCTCCTCCATCTTGGTTAGTTCTACTCACTTTTAAGAACCGACTCAGGCACTTTCTTCTTGGAAGCCTACCTGCCCCATCTTTCTTCTCTTCCACCCTCAATCCATTTGGATTAAGCAGCTTTGGATCCCTTTAGCTCCATCATAGCCTTGATCACACTATTGGATAAAGCGGGGGTTCCAGTATTTGGTGCACACATAAGTACCCTTTGAAAAGAATGCTGATTATAGCAAGAAATAGGTCATATTGGAGTCTCTAAATTGGAAGAGTTGGTATTGCTTGTCAGAAATTTGGCCTAAAATCAAGTCTTAAAGAATACATGAGTCAGAGGGCAATGTGAGGCAGTGAGTCAGAAAATACGCAGACAGCAGATTTTCTATCAATTTGCCAAACATTTATTGAGCATTGTTAGAAGCATGGCTTAGTGCTGGGCAGAAATTGGGACTTAACACTGAGATGCCACCATTCAGAGGAACAGTAGCGAGTTAGAAATGGCCTGATCACCCTTGCCCCCTTGGGAAGCGAGGGGCCAGGTAGAGAAGAGTGTGGGGGAAGGTCAGCCTCCCAGGTGTGGGTCCCAGGGACTGAGACTCTGGAGGAAGTGCTATTTACCTGGAGCTTCCAGTGTTCTGAATCCAAGGTTTGCACCAAGACAAGGAAGAGATCTGCGGCAGATATTAAGAGATAGAGCATGCAGCCTTGGGTTTAAAGAAAGGGGGTGGTTGGGCAGGTACAACTCAGGAGACCCAAGTTGAATTCCTGCATCTGCCACTACTAGTTTTATGACATTGGGCAACTTATTTAATAAATTAATTAATTTTGAACTTCTATTTTTTAAATCATGAGAAAACTCATGTCTACCTTGCCTGCTTCTCAAGATTTTTGTATCAAATGAGAAATTGTCTATGAAAGAACTCTGCAAGCTACAAAACCTGGGCACAAGTAAGATGCTGTGAATGAGAAGGGTCCATTCTGCAAAGGGGCAGGCACTGGGGCCGTGGCCTTCCTCGGCCTGCAGGGGCAGGCAGAGAAGGGGTTGCTCTTGGCCAGAGGGAATACGTGGGCAGATCCTGGCAATGGGCACTGGCAACAAAACTAGGGTTGCTGGCATTTATGAGCATCCATCTCAGGAATGACATAATTGGGCTGGGAAAAGTCCAGGACTAAGTGCTGAAGGGAAAGGAGCACGTTCTGGGAGAGAATACATTGATGGGATAAGAACTCCCCCTCATAGAAAGAAAAAGCTTGAGACTCCGTGAATGAATTCAAGATAAGTGTTAAGTCAGCAATGGTAAAATAGAATGGAACAGTAAAGAGGTAAAGTTCAGGAGGGATTTAGATGTTCATGGATGATAAAATCGAAATGGATTATTGAGCAGCTTGGAGGACATCTAGGGTAAATTACCACCATGCAGTCTCCGTTATGAAGGATTCCCAAGCTTTTTCAAAATAGCCTTTTGTTACCTCTTGTGAGCCTAGGGTTGGATAGCTGCTAAGTCTGATGTCTATTTTTCAAATTCTATTCACTAACAGAAGTTTTCTGCAATGCTTAGTGCATCTGTAATTTCTACTGTAATATCTATAATTCCTGCTATGTGGGAAGCTCTGTGAGGACAGAGATTAGGCTGGTCTTATTCACAGCTGTACCCCAATGCCTGGCATGGCTCCTGGCATATATTGGTACCTAGTCAGTATTGCAAATTGAATGCTGTTTTACCAAGAGTGGCTATTGGGATCCTTCTTGTCCAGAGGAGCTGCCCCTTGAGGACTCTGGCAGCCAGGGCTGGCAGAAGAATTCTAACATTTCCAATGGAGATGTTGGGGCTGGAGTCTGGCTCCATGAGCTTTGCCTTGAACTATCCACGCTGCACACTCAGCGGGTCTGCCTTGTCGCCCCATGTCTGACTCTCATTGTTTTCAGGTCCTGCTTTCTTTTGCCCTGTTTGTTGTGTTGGAACCTCTGTTTTCTGTTTATGAGCACCAGTGTCTTTTCCTGCTCAGGCTGCCATAACAAAATACCATAGACTGGGCAACTCAAAGAGTAGACATTTTTCTCACAATTCTAGATGTTAGAAGCCTGAGGATTAATTAGGGTGCCACGGTGTCAGGTTCTGATGAGGACCCTCTTCCTGGCTTCTCACTGTGCCCTCACATGATGGGGCAGGGGAGAGAGGGAGGCAGAGAGTAACCTCCTGGTGTCTGTTCTTATAAAGGCACTCATCCCATCATGAGGGCCCCATTCTCAATACTTCATCTAAACCTGTCTCACGACTTCATCTAAACCTAAGTAACTTCCAAAGGTCCCATCTCCAAATACCATCATACAGGAGTTAGGGCACCAACATATGAATTTTAGGGGGACACAATTCAGTTCATTTCAACATAGTCCATAAATCTCTAAGTTGATGGCCTGTCTTCTTGGATTCCTTTCTTAGTCATCTGACTTCTCGGATCTAGGCATTTGCAAATGTCTTCCTTGGGAAGCCCTAGTGGCTCAAGCCCTAAGCCCAGGTTTGGGGGCAGGTGCTGCTTTCTCCCTGGCCTTGGGGACCAGGGGTTTGGGCATTATTCCAAGGGTCCATGGTCCCAGGGGCACCAGGGCAGCAAGGAGAGGAGAATGAGCAGAACCTAAATCAGTCCCTTCTCTTTGCCTGAAGAAGGAGCTGCCCCGAGGACAGATGCTCACTTGATGAGAGTGGGGGGCTTCTAGAGGACCGTTATCTGTCCTGGATCAAGCGCTATCTTTCCAGCAGCATAGCCACAGCCATGTGTACAGCCTTCCCCTCCCATACAGCCAGATGCCCAATTTGTCTGGGTCTCTACAAGAGCTAGAAATCATTGTGGGCCTGTGGGCCACCATTGTTTTGGGGAGGCTGTGAACAGAGATTCTTAGTGCCCTCATCAATAGGGCCAAGAGGTTGGTAATTGTTTTGTTCCTACAAGGAGCCTCACATATGAAAGCTATCATGGGCTCCTGGACAACATGCCCCCACACAAGCCTGCCCCTGGCAGAATGCAGCAAGACCCAGTCTTAGGCAGAGCCTCTTGGGGTCCAATTGCCCCAGGAGAGCTGGGCCTGGTCCATGGCCTATGACTTGGCCTGGAGCTAAGCCATCCTCTGTTGGTTCCACAAGGGCCTGGCTGGGATGAGCTGTCATGGACCCCCAGGTTTCTGGTGGGAAAGGAGGTTGGCCGCTGTCTGCATTTACTCATTGGTTCTCAAATCAACGCTGTCCTCACTAGGGCCTTACGCAGCCTCAGCAGAGGCCTGGGACTCTGGCTCCTTGCCTGAGTTCCTGCAGCAGTAGGAAAACTTCATGGCCCTGGGCTTCAAGAAGTTTTGTCTCTAAGGTATCTGAGTAGGAGAAGAAGGCTACCAGACAAGGTTGATGGCAGCCCAGCAGTGCTTGTGGCCTCTGCCTGGCAGGCGCATATTTGATTGTTCGATGAGGAAAGGTCTCCCCAACTCCAGAACCGGAAAGCGAGCAATGATAATAATAAAATAATAAAAGATGAACATTTATCAAGTATTTCCCATCTGTGCCAGAAAAGGGCATCTTGTACTTGATACTCTGACTAAAGTCACCAGTATTGGCCTCTGTTTTATAGGCAAGAAAACTGAAGCACAGCTGTGGATTAGTAACTTGCCAGGGGTCACGCAGCTGAGTGAGAGGCAGGGCTAGAATTTGAACAGAGGCAGCCCATGCTCTTCCCCACCATGCTACCCATCCTGGTCAGAACACTACCCTGGCCCTGCTCCTCGAATCCTCATACTCTTTCCTCCTTATTGGAATGAATTGTCCTGGGAAATCTTGGACATAACCACCTTCATAGAAACTCAGAATGGTGTGTATTTGAGCAGGCCGAGGCTGAGTTCTTGGCATACATCTTTTCCCTGTGGATGCTCCAGAGTGTCCCAAGGTTCTGGAATGTCAGGCTGTGGGCTATGCGGTAGCTTCTGCAGCATCTCACACTTCCCCACTGTGCAGCTAGACTGGCTCAGGGATGGTAAGTGCACCTTGCCCCAGCCAGGCCCGAGCATCTGGGATGTCAAAGGCACCTGTTCCCAGTCTGGATGAAAACATTTTAAAATGCTACTTGTCTTCAGATTTCTGACCAGAAAGGTTCTATATTCTTGCCAGTGGAATGTGAGAGCATCTCTTCCTAAATACTTTGCTAGTACAGAATGTTATTTGAAAAACATAACTATTAAAACATATTTCATTATTATTTTGATTTGCATTTCATTATTATTAGTGAGGTTAAGCATTTCTCCTGTTTATTAACTGTAACATTTCTACTTTTTGTACATTAGCTATTTTATGTCCTTTAATATTTACATTGTTAGTGTTTTTCTTACTGACTTACAGAAGTTCTTTATGTATCAAGAATATTGTTTCAGGGCTGGGCACAGTGGCTCATGCCTGTAATCCCAGCACATTGGGAGGCCAAGGCAGGAGGATCGTTTAAGCCCAGGAGTTGGAGACCAGCTTGGGCAACATAGCCACGGCCTTGTCTTCTGAAAGAAAAAAAAAAAAGAATATTGTTTCAGACCAGAATGAAGAGTTAGCAAAATTCTAAAAAGTTTTAAAAAGAATATTGTTGTTTCAAATACTTTTCCAGCTTGTGATTTAGTTTTATTAATGACATTATTTTGAAGTATAGTAATTAAAAAATTGAATGGAAACAAATATATTCATTATAATTTTTAAAATTTAATTTTTAAATTTATAATGACATAATTTTACATATTTATGGGATACAATATGATGTTTCAATGCATGTATACATAATATAATGATTAAATCAGGGTAGGTAGTTACCATATCTATCACCTTAGACATTTATCATTTTTTTGTGGCAACAATACTCAAAATATTTTCTTCTAGCTATCTTGAAATATATACTGCATTGTTATTTGCTATTGTCTTCCTGATGTATAATAGAACACAAAAATGTATTCTATCTAACTATAACCTTGTACCCATTGACCAGCCTCCCCCATCATCCCTCTCTCTTCCCTTCCCCAGCCTCTGGTAACTACTATCCTACCTTTTACTTTTAAGGAATTAACTTTTTAAGATTTCACATATGAGTGAAATCATACAGTTTTTGTTTTTCTGTGCCTGGCTTATTTTACTTAACACAATGGCCTCTAGGTTCATCCATGTTGCCACAAATGACAGGATTTCATCCTTTTTTATGGCTAAATAATATTCCATTATATATATACATACACCACATTTTCTGTATCCATTCATCTGTAGATGGGCATTTAGGTTTATTTCATATCTTCACTTTTGGGAATAACATTGGAATAAACATGGGTGTGCAGGAGTTATTGCGATATACTGATTTCATTTCCCTTGGAAATATACTGAGTAATAGAATTGCTGGATGTATGGTAGTTCTATTTTTAATTTTTTGGGTAATCTCCATATTTGTTTCCATAATGGCTGCACTAATTTTCATTTCTACCAACAGTGTGTAAGAGTTTTCTTTTCTCTGCATCCTTGTTAGTTTTTTTTTTTGTCTTTGATAATAGCCATTCTAATTGGGGTGAGGTAATGTCTCACGGCAGTTTTAATTTGCATTTCTCTGATGGATTTGTGGTTTTGAGCATATTTTCACAGATCTGTTGGTCATTTGTATGTTTTCTTTTGAGAAATATATTTTCAGGTCTTTTGCTCATTTTAAAATGAGATTATTTGGGTTTTTTTTTTTTTTTTTTTTTTTTTTTGCTATGGAGTTGCTCAAGTTCCTTATATATTCTGGATATTAATCCCTTGTCAGATGCATAGTTTGCAAATACTTTCTCCCATTCTGTAGGTTGTCTCTTCACTTTATTGTTTCATTTGCTGTGCAGAAAGTCTTTAGTTTGATGTGATCTTATTTGTCTATTTTTGCTTTCCTTGCCTGTGCTTTTCAGGTCTTATTAAAAAAATTCTTGCCCAGTCTAATTTCATGAAATGTTTCCCCTATGTTTTCTTCTAGTAGTTTCATAATTTTGGATCTTACATCTAAGTCTTTATGTTTTTTCCCATTGTTATGTTTAGAAAATCATTTCCCACCCAGCAATATGGCATAATCACCTATGTTTTAAAAGTTTGAATTCTACATCTTTTTGTGATCCATATAGAATTTATCTGTGCATGAGCTGAGTCTCAAAGCTGACTTTTCCCCAAATAGTTAATTTCTAAACTGCCATGTATTTGATAATTCATGTTTCCCACTTGTTTGTGATGCTTTCTTTATTATATACTAAATGTTTTAGAGCTTGGTGTACATTGCTGGATTATTTACTCTGTTTAATTGATCTGTGATAATTTCTGTGCTAAGACCACATTAACTTATGTCAGCTTTATAGTATGATTTCATGGCTAACAGAGTAGAACCTTCTCGCAACAGTTCTATTTAAAAAATTTTGCAGCTGATTTTTCTTGTTGATTCTTTTATATATGTTTAAACTTTATTTGGCCAAAATAAAAAAAATCCAATTGAATTTTGCTTGCATATAGGGGAAGAATTGACTTTTAAAAAAACTAACCAGAAATAGCATGCATCTTTTTAAAATAAAATATTCGATATATCTCTCAATAATATTTTTTATTTAGATATTTTTGAATGAGTAAATGAAGCAGTAATTTGGCTTCCTGAAGTGATGAATGGAGTGTGGAAACAGAGTTTCATTGAGTATAACAAAAGACTTGGTGAATGAGTTCTTGGAGGTCTTGGGTTGTATCTTACTTTCTTCTCTAAGCACTTTTCCAAAATTACCTGACTGATCCATACCTTACTTGTTTCTCTGCTTGTGACTCCCAAGATTACCAACTTTGCTGCTCATATCACCAATATAGCTTTTCCTCAGACCTTTAGTTCTTTGAATGTTGTCATCTTTTCCAATCCCAATGCAGAATACTCCCTTGGCTGTGCTTTCAGCTCTTAGGTCTCGTTATACGTTCATGGACTGTCTTGGGTAATGTTTTTCCAGGCTTAACCAGGCACCTGGAAACATCCCACCTCTATTCTGTTCTATATATGCTCACTCGCTGTGTCCCAAACTCATGGGTTATACCTGAACAAACAAGTACAAGTACAAGTCAACCAAACAAGGATGAAAATGACCTTGTATCCTTTACCTTTTCCAATAAAACTTCTCTATCAGTACCTGCATGTCCTACCTTCTTCCAGTAGGAGGTGCTGGTGCCCTCTATTTGTAGACAGTTTATCACTTACTTGGCTCAGTGTGGAATGAATATTCCTGCCATAAACCTGTAATATACCTGGACACCTGAATGTACACAGAGACAAACAACTCTCCCTATGTTCTTCTCTAGTTCATTGACTAGCTTTCCAGCTCCCTGCTGACATTGGAGTTAGAAAAGGATAATAAAGTTGTCTATTATTAATAATATGTATTGAGTTTCAAATGTATAACAGATGTCTCATATCACAAGCTAGAGACATTTTATTTATCTGATATGGTTTGGCTGTGTCCCCATCCAAATTTCATCTTGCATTGTAGCTCTCATAATTCCCATGTGTCATGGGAGGGACCCAGTGGGAGGCAATTGAGTTATGGGGGTGGGTCTTTCCTGTGCTGTTCTTGTGACGGTGAATAAGTCTCTCGAGATCTGAAGTGTGTGTGTGTGTGTGTGTGTGTGTGTGTTTTCCAACAGAGTCTCGCTCTGTTGCCCAGGCTGGAGTGCAATGGTGCGATCTCTGCTCACTGCCTGCAACCTCCGCCTCCTGGGCTCAAGCAATTCTCCTGCCCCAGCCTCCCGAGTAGCTGGGGTTGCAGGCGCCCACCACCACACCCACCTAATTTTTGTAGTTTTAGTAGAGAGGGGGTTTCACCATGTTGGCCACTCTGGTTTCGAACTCCTGACCTCGAATGATCCGCCCACCTGGACCTCCCAAAGTTCTGGGATTACAGGTGTGAGCCATCTTGCCCGGCCCTGATGGTTTTATAGAGGGGCGTTCCCCTGCACGCACTCTCTTGCCTGCTGTAGTGTTAAGATGTGACTTTGCTCCTCCTTCGCCTTCCATCATGATTGTGAGGCCTCCCTAGCGCTGTGGAACTGTGAGTCAATTACACCTCTTTCCTTTATAAATTACCCAGTCTCTGGTATATCTTTATTAGCAGTATAAGAACTAACTAATACATCATCCAACCAAACAATAATACTGATCACTTTGTGAGAGATAAAGATGAAGAAGAGATAGTTCCTATGTACAAGTAATTTATTGTTCATGTAGGAGACAAACAATTTTATAAAAAACTATAAGGCAAGGTAGAGAAAGAAAAGTCCTATAAGAGAAGTAAGAGTGCCATGGGGGTTCAGATTACTTCCATTTAGGGTGATCTAAGACAGTTTTACGGAGGAGGCAACAGGTGTATTGAACCTTCAGGGCTGACTATTCAGGAGGCAAGGATTCAGGAAAGCACCAAGCTTGTAGGAAGAACAAGGCATGGTTTGATCTGAGTAGGATGAAGGAAGAATGAAGGAAAATGGGAAAGAAGCTTAGGCATGGCAGTTTGACCACATAGGGCAAAACTCTAAACAAAAGCATCGGTTGTTTGGTTTAACTTTTGCCATAAACATCTGAAATCACATAAATGTTTTTGCCCTAGCCAGAAGTTCTCAGAAGGCCAGAACAGAGGATCAAATCTATATCTTTCTGGAAAAGACATTTCAAGGAAACGCAGCTCTTCACTTCTCTGTCAGGAGCAACTATGAACAGCAAATACCAGATACATCATCTTAGCTGCTTGGACACAAATAAGCAAAGAGAGGATGAAAATTCTGGCCAAACCCACCAAATAAAAGAGTGTGTGTATGTGGGAGAAATAAGCTGCAATGATCTGCGATTGGTCCACTAGCTTGGGATGGCCTGATTGGATGGAAGTTCAATGGCTGTGGAGAGGCACGAGGATGGAGACTAGGGTCATTGACCAACCATCAGCATAGTCTTAATTAAATATTAATATTATATTGAGAAACAGTGGCTAATGGCATTCATTATAGTGACTTTGCCCAGATGGTTTCTGCTAACACAAAAATTGGACTGGTCTGAAGGACTCTATTGAACATTTTTGTACTTTTAAGTTTCAATTTGATCTTAAATTCTCTGGGGTTAATGGCAAGATTGGGTAGAAGTAATGCAAAAATTCCAAGGAACAAATGCGTAATGGAAATGGAGAAACTAGCCTAGACTTGGTGAGTAGACTAGAACATGTACGTAAGTGTTGATTAAAACGATTTATCAAATCAGGAAAGAAATGCTAGGAAGGACGAGAAAATGCCAGAAAGATAAAGACTTTCCAATTTCTGTGCTCACAATTACTCAGGTTATGTTAGACATATAAAAATAATAAATTGTTCCCTACGATCCTAACGAAGTGTTATAAGAAGGAGGCTGATGAACAGGAAATGTTCACTTAGTCATCCATTGCCCCATTTCGTCCCTGGGAACTACCAAAGCAAGCTAATTTTTCTTTCATATATGTTCACTTGTTTTTGCTTTAATAGATGAAAAGTTATAGAATATTAAAACTAGATCATTTGATATCAATTTATTCATTCATTAATTTAAATGGATATTTACTGACTGATGACAATGTACCAAGTGCTGGGTATTCAATGGGATAATCAGATCGCCCAAAGGGGCTTACACTCTAGTGGGGAGCACAGACTAAGAGCAAGTAAAAAGAAAAATCCATAAATCAAATGATTACAAACCCTATTAAGTTATGAAGGAGTCAAACAATGGGCTGAAACAGAGAAAAAGGAGCTCAGAAAGGGAACAGAGGTGCGGAAAGGTGAAGGGGCCTACCTCAGGTCACCACAGTTAGTGGCAGGGCCAGAACCCCCATCTCCTAACTGCTAGGATCTTTTGACTATGTGCTAGGATCTTTTGACTATGTCACGTGTGTTGTCTGCTTTGACATAGAATCTGCCGTCTGTTCTCTGGAAATCTGTGTGGATACTGGATGATGTCTTGGCTGGTTTCTAAAAGCAGATGGGAAGGCTGAGTAGGGGGAGAGGAGAGGTTTACAAGCTGGAGGTGTGCTACGTGCTGCTACCTGTCTCTAAACAACTCACAGAGACAAGTCACAGCAAACTTTTAGAGGGCATTGCCCTGTCCTGGAAAAGACCTATAGTGTGATGTAATCCTTAGCAATAGAACATGTATGTAGGGGGTGGGGAGGGGCTTGCTGCTTTCTCTCCCACCTCCATGGAAATCATCTGAGATCCCTACTGGTCCCCCTCTACTTACTGGTTTAGGGAGAGTGGCTTGTCAGCATTTAGATTAGGCAAAGCTAAAATCATAGTGAATAGGCCTCTAGTGCAAGGAAGGTGTGGTTATGAATAGAGAGATTGGGTGGGTAAAGAGAAATTTCACAGCCTGTAGCATTTTGTGAAAGAACAGAAATTGTGTTTTCACCATAACAGAGTGGAGTGGTATTTCTCTAACAATGAGAGTTTCCACTAATGAATATAGTGACTTTGCAAATGATGTTTTTAAAAATACAATGGCTGATCCCAATAGAGTGGGAGCAGAAATAAAAATAAAATAAATAAAAAATACAATGGCTAGGTCTATTCCTTCTGGGTTTCCAGCTTTAGGCATATGGTAGATGAAACTTCAAGGATGGAGTAAGACAAGAATGAGTTTACTGGCTTCAGGTTGTGCCCTGGGGAGTCAGCAGGTTCTATGATGTCATCTGAGCAGAATGAACAAAGATGAGTGACGACCCCAAAATGGGAAAAGGTACATTTTGTAGGTTAGATTATTATTTCCAATGATTCCTTCCCAATACTTGATTGGCTCCCTGTTATAATATTATACCTCTATATGCCTTGCCACGGCTTTGTTGACACTGTGGAGGACAGGGTATATTCCCTGCTCCACTGATATTGATCTTGGCCGTGTGACTTGCTTTGGCTAGTGGAATGTTAGCAGATCTAATGTGTGCAGTGTGCACACATGTAGCTCCCGGCTCCAGAATGAGGAAATGTGTGTAGAGCAAACCTGAACCCAACTTGCAATTTGGAACCAAGGCTCAGCCAAATTGCTGCCTGAAGCAGAGCTGCCCTAGCTGAGTGAGAAAAATAAATGTTCATTGTTGGAGATTGGATGTGTATGTGTGTGTGTTTTGCTGTGCACCATTATTATAGCAATAGTTGATTAATACAGTAAACATGTGTGGAGCAGGCAACAGATATCAACTGGGGCAACCACAGTCTGGAATTCACTTATTTATCATATGTGTGCTAAATTGCCCCTTTTGGCAAGCCTTGTGCTGGGCTTGGAGCATCAAATGAAAATAAATAGCATGGTCATGGCTGGAGGGGCAAAGACAATCTAGTAACATAATAGACATGTAACAGACAATGCCAACGCACAAGGGTGATAGCAAGGCTGTGTACGGTATGTTCTGGCCACACAGCATGCCTGGAGGGACTTGGAGAAAGTGACACAGAGGATGACATTTGGATCAGATCTTCAAGGATGACTAGGACTTGATCAGGAGGGAAGGAGAAAAGAGCACTGCAGGCCTGGGGAACAGTGCAGAGGCAGGGCCACTGGAGAGTCCCTAAAAGGGAAAGCAGCCCAGTGTGGTTAGAGAGAATGGAGGGGAGTGGCAGGAAATGAGGCTAGAAAGTTGGACTGGGCTGTGTTGGAAGGGCCTGAGACTAAGGAGTGAGGACTTTATTTAGTAGCTTTAGTTCATGGACTTTTAAAAGGAACTCTCTGAGATTTTTAAGCAGTGGATGATGCAATCAAAGCCATGCTTTAGAACAGTGCTTTGTTTTTAACTTTTATTTGAGAGTTAGGGGGTACATGTGCAGGTTTGTTACAAAGGTGTATATATATATACCTTTGTAACAAGGTGTATACATATATATGTATACATATATATGTACACATATATATATGTGTGTATATATATATATATATATAAAATTTTTTATTTTTTTTGAGACAGAGTGTTGCTCTGTTGCCCAGGCTAGAGTGCAGTGGCACGATCTCAGCTCACTACAACCTCCACCTCCCAGGTTCAAGCGATTCTCCTGCCTCAGCCTCCCAAGTACCTGGGATTACAGGTGCATGCCACTACGCCCAGCTAATTTTTGTGTCTTGGGGGTTTCACAATGTTGGCCAGGCTGGTCTCGAACTCCTGACCTCAGGTGATCCACCCGCCTTGGCCTCCCAAAGTGCTGGGATTACAGGCATGAGCCACCGTGCCTGGCCTACAAAGGTATATTGCATGATGCTGAGGTTTGGGATATGACTGAACCCATCACGCAGGTAGTGGACATAGTACCACTATGGTTTTTTTTCAGGTAGTTTTTCAGCCCTTGCTCCCCTCCCTCTCTCCCCTCTCTTCACTAGTAGTCTCCAGTGTCCACTGTTACCACTTTATTAGTACCCAATGTTTAGCTGTCACCTATAAGTGAAACATGCAGTATTTGCTTTTCCATTTCTGCCTCAGTTCACTTAGGTTAGTGGCCTCTAGCTGCATCCATGTTGCTGCAAAGGACGTGATTTCATTGTTTTTGTATGGCTGTAGTACATGGTGTACATGTATCACGTTTTTGTTATCCAGTCACTCTTGATGGATACCTGGGTTGATTCCAAATTTTTGCTATTGTAAATAGTGCTGTGATGAACATATGAATGCATGTGTCCTTTTGGTAGAACAATATATTTTCCTTTCGGTATACATCCAGGAACGGTGTTGCTGGGTCAAATGGTAGTTCAACTCTTAGTTCTTTGAGAAATCTCTAAATTGCTCTCCACAGTGGCTGGACTAATTTACATTCCTACCAAGAGTGTATCAATGTCCCCCTTTCTCTCCACAGCCTCATGGATTTTGTTAAACAGTCAAAAAATAACAGGACAGTGTTTCTTAGGGTGTGTTCCCAGGACCAGTAAATTGTTAGAAATGCAAATTCTTGGTCCAAACCTACTAAACCAGAGACTCCAGAGTGGGCCCAGAAATCTATGTTTTAAAAAGCACTCCAGGGCTGGGTGCAGTGGCTCACGCCTGTAATCCCCACACTTTCGGAGGCCGAGGTGGGTGGATCACCTAAGGTCAGGAGTTCAAGACCAACTGGCCAACATGGTGAAACCCTGTCTCTACTAAAAATACAAAAATTAGCTGGATGAGGTGGTGGATGCCTGTAATCCCAGCTACTAGGGTGGTTGAGGTAGGAGAATTGCTTGAACCCAGGAGGCGGAGGTTTTGGTGAGCCGAGATGGCACCACTGTACTCCAGCCTGGGCAACAACAGCAAAACTCCATCTCAAAAAAAAGTACTCCAAGTCTATGTTTTAAAAAGCACTCCAGGTGATTCGGATACATGCTAAAGTTTGAGATTCACTGCTTAGGACAATTCTCTTTCAGCTGTCAAGAGTCTGGAGTGAGGGCCTCATGCTGGGAAGAGTTTCTGAAGAGCCACAGTAGAATCAGGAGGCACCTCCCTTGAGGGTAAGGAAATATGAGAGATTCTAACTACTCATCTGGCCCCAGAGCAACAAGATCAAGGTGGTCAGGGTGTAGGCAGTATAGGCATTCATCCATTCACTTCTTTATTCATTTGCTCAAGAATCCTTTCTTGGCAATGACTATGAGCAGGTGTGGAACTGGGTCTGGGAGATAGAATTCTAGAAAAGAGGATGTTGTTGCCCTGTGAGGGACTCACATCTAGTGGCATCAGCTCTGTTCTGGGTGGAGCAAGATTCCAAATGCTTACTCATCTCTTTCTCTTTTCCTTTTTCTTTAGAGGTTAATGAGCATTAAATTTTTGATGAACATCAGGGTCTTCAATGAAGAGGATGATGATAATTGCTATCATTGATTGAGCACTTACCATGAGCTAGACCCTGATCTAAGATCTTTGTGGCTGTTAAATCTTCACAATAGCTCCATGAGGTAGATCCTACGATTATCCACATCGTACAGATAAGTGAATCAAGGTACGTGGAGGATAGCATTCTGTCTACTTTCCTACAAACCATTAAGTGCAAAAATGGGATTTGATCTCAGCCAGTCACCGTGCTGATGACATCTTTCAACCTGCTGGGCTAGCAGGATATTGAGAATTCCAGGAGAAACGAGGTAAGTAGTATATTGTAAGAGGAGAACCTTGGAGGGCACAAGGAGAAAACAGCTTCATTCTTTTCCCCACCATGTGCTTGAACCTGCTCCTTGGAACTAGTTCCCCTCTGCCCTCTGGGTGTGTCTAGGGCAGGTCCCCTGATGCTTCTAGTCACCTGTAGATAATAAAAAGTTTTCCAGTTACTTATTGTCACAAAGATAATCTCATTTCAGTAAAAAAAAATCCATTCATAGGTGTTAATCAACACTTTAGATTTCACTTAAGATTCTTCTTGCTGGGCCTGGAGTAGGGCAGGGCTAGCTTCCTCTAGACTTCCTCACCTTGGTCCTCCACCCTCAACTCCTGCTACTTTCTCCATAGCTCCAGCTACTCACTAGGAGAGGGAATACGGAGGACATGTCAGGGACAGGAAAGGTCAAGTTTGACTGGCACCAATGTCATATGGCGATGGATTCTGCTGGCTGTGGCGGATGATTCAAGCTGACTCTGGGCTTGGGGGAATTTCAAAGCCGATCTTTTTGGGGCTGTACTTGTGGGTTCTCTGGAGGCCTACACTGGGAACATTAGACTGTACTGCCTGTGTCATGCCTCAGATGCATGTTCTCTGTGACTGTTTATGTTTTTTCCCTCAGCTCCCCATAATCCTGGGTCCTTTCCCAGCTTAGGTTTGAAGCCCCCTCCAGGCCAGTTCTCTCTCCTGAGCAGTCTTCTGGTTCACAGAGAATATTCATGTATCTTTTGTCCAAAAAACACTGGGAATACTGGTGTGTCTGCACTCAGCCACTCTTCCATTCAGTTGCTCTGGCTACTGGCTGCTGCCTTTCTGCTTGAGATGGTTTGGCTATGTCCCCACCCAGCCAAATGATTTTATAAGGGGTTTCGCCTTTTGCTTGGTTCTCATTCTCGTTGCCTGCCGCCATGTAAGACTTGCCTTTCTCCTTCTGCCATGATTGTGAGGCCTCCCCAGCCACGTAGAACTGTGAGTCCATTGAACTTTTTCTTTATAAATTACCCAGTCTCAAGTATATCTTTATTAGCAGTGTGAAAACAGACTAATACACTGCTTTTCCAATATGCATCAGATTAGTCCACTGTGTTCACTGCCTTCTGCAGACTCGATGAACACATGTCAAACCCTCTAAGTACGATGGGAGGAAAGTACCTAACTCTCTAACAACTTTTTGTAAAGAAATGCTTCAATTTCCAATCATACTTCAACCCCAATCCTTTTAGATCTCAGAGGTATATGAGGGATAAGGGTAATAAAACCGGGCTAGCCATGTCCTTTGCAAGTTTTGCTTGGTTGGCTTCAGCCACTACCAAGACAGAAAGAGTCCCATGAAAGATCCTTATTATTATTATTATTATTATGAATTATGCATTTCTTATGATTCCCTTAAGAGCTCCCTTTCCATACCCTTTACTCCCAAGGACTTGAGAGCTCTTTTATTTGCATTTAAAGAGAACACTTCAAGAACTTGAGAAGTGTGTAGGCTGAGCTGTTTATTTATTGTTTAAAATTGTAGCTAACAATTCATTAAAGGTGTATCAATCTTTAAAATTGAGATAGGAAATAAAATAAGAAAAAAAGGGGCATAACCTCATCAAGGTTATCCTAAATGTGGTGGGGCAGAGATCTACTAACACACTGTATTGATTCACTGATACCATAAATCAATTTTGTATGCCCCTCCCCTGACCCTGACTTCTCTGACAAACTTCAACAGACAGCCACAATAGCAAGATTCATATACCTTTTCCTGAATGAGGGAGAAAAGGAAAGTGTACCATATGATATAAATTTTTGAAGGGAGAACTAAGGAAGGGAATAGGGAGAGAGCTCTACCATATGTTGTTGGAAATCTGATTTAAAGTTTCCCTAGCAGTCGGAAATGGGACTAGGAATTACAGCACTTTTTCATTTAAACTCCTAAATTGTGCAAGTTCTAAATTTGGGATTTCTACGAAGCACTTCAGAAGGACTGAGATACCTATATTTTTCTACCCTTAGGCTCGCTAAAGAAATATGAACAATCTAAAGAGCAGAATGTACTTCATTTTGAAGTAACAAAATTACTTATTGTTGATGTGTAGTCATTTAAAGCATTAGTATTGATTAAACAATAAATTAATTTAGCAAATAATTACTGACTACCTAATATGTTGCTTACACTGTATTAGGGGATTGAGAATACAATGATGAACAAGGAGATTTACCATCACAGAATTTTATAATTTGCCATCAGGAGTCAGATAAATAAAACAGCAGTTAAAATGTGTTGTGATAAAGGCAGAAGTCCAGAGAAGGATAGGACCACATAAGCAGCCCTTAATTCTGTCTGGGGCATGGTGGTAGTGCCAAGGAGGCTTCCGGGAGGAAGTGACATTTGCACTGAGGTCTGGAGGGTGACGAGGAGTTAGTCAGATGCAAAGGAGAGATGAGTATTCAAAGAATACACACACTAAAAAATGTAAATAAAGGAGGCCCATTTGAGATGTAGAATTCTTTGATCACCAAAATATAAACTAGATCTTCCAATGCAAGCATATTTTTTTTCTAAAGTATTTGGGGGCAATGAAGAGATAAAGAACAAAGAGCCAGATTGGCATCCAACGTCCCTAGAGATGACGTGGCAACCTCACTGTGCTTACACATGGTGGCATCTGTCTCTGATCAATAGCTGCTCTAATGGGAACAGGCATGCCCCAAGGCCCACTGGGAGTGGGATCTTTTGCTGACAGTCCTAAAAAGGATGCCAACCCAACAGACATAATCTAAGGAGTCAGAGCAGGAGTCAAACTTGAAGATGGAGATGCTCTAAAACCCTGTTGCCGTCCCCATCTTCAAGGAGGGGTGGGTAGAGTGCGAGTGTGCCTAACTCTGCATTTTTCCTATGGCCCCTGCTGACTTCAGTTTTGGAAGATAAATATGCATTATAAGAGTTAGTTGAGAAATACCTAGCTCTATCTTTCTAGAACATTTGTTAAGAATTCCAGGTAGCCGCACCCCCCTCCAAAGTTTCAAGTATGATGAGTCAAATAGAAGGTACTCAGTAAATGTTCATTAAGTCAGTTAATTAACAGGCAAGTTTGCTCAAAGGCAGAAGGCTTATTGCAGATTGGATGGTGTTTGGGGCCTTGCTTTCACTCATCTTCCTGCAGTCTCCCTTTGTCTTTCTTCCAGCTCTCTCTGCTGAGCTGAGTCAACACCTGCTCATCCTTAAAGGCTGACTGCAAATTCTTCAAGGATTGCAAATCCTTAAAGGCTTTCTACAAATTCTCTATGCAAAATGGGAAACCCCCTCCTCCAGGCTCGTGCAGCGCTTGTCCATGCCATGACCTACTTTCCTAACAACACTGTACTGGAGTGATTTGTCACTGTGTTTGTTACCTCCGTTCGGAGCCCTTGTGTGCCTCATTCAGTTCCGTTTCTACAGTGCCTAGTGTGCCTTCCTGGGGAGGGTTAACAGTTGTGTTGTGAGTGATTAAATCCCACTGTCCATATATCAAATACTAATTGTACACAGTGTTTTCCTCCAGCATACTTGGGATCATAATTCAACACCTCTCAGCACCTTGGCCGAGGTGCCCTGCACTTCCCTCCCGCGCCGATGCTGCCATGCTTTTGGAGGGGCTAGGATAGGGCTTGAGCCCTCAGAGAGCCTTGGCATCATGTTATTGGGAACAGAGAAGCTCTCACTCATTCCTTAATTGGAGAGATTTGAGTTGAGGACCTGACATGGCCAAATAAAGAGTGCCTCTGCAGCATAGAGGAGGCTCACACACGGGGCTCTATGATTGTTTTCCAGAAGTGTGTTACTTTTTGTTTTTTTTTTTTTGACACAGAGTCTCACTCCGTGGCCCAGGCTGGAGTGCAGTAACATGATCATAATTCACTGCAGCCCCAAACTCTTGGGCTCTAGCTATCCTCCTGCCTCAGTCTCCCGAGTAGCTGGGACTACAAGTGCGTGCCACTACGCCATGCTAATTACATTTTTTTTTTTTTTTTTTTTGGTAGAGATGGTTTCTTGCTATGTTGCCCAGGCTGGTCTCAAACTCCTTAACTCAAGCGATTCTTCTGTCTTGACCTCCCAAAGTGCTGGAATTACAGGCATGAGCCACCATTCCCGGCCTGTGTGTTACTTTTCTCTAGAGTAAGAGCAATCCTTGGAAGAAGAAAGGCTGTTTCTAGCCTGACCTAAAGCCTTTTAGAGACTCCTGAGATACTAAAAAATGATGAAATGTCAAGTGTTTCCATGCTAAGAGGTAGATGCTTTTAATGAGTAACATTGCAGTGTGATTGTGCTATTAGCAAGGATTTATTTTTAAAAACCCTTACTTCAGAGGATAGTGATTCAGCATGGGGACACTGGAGGCTGGACAGCCTGAGTTCAAATTGTGGCCTAGCATTTATTAGCCATGTGATCTTGGGCACATGATGTGGTCTTTCTGTACCTCAGTTTCCAATCTATAAAATAGGCATAGTAGTATCTCCTCATAGGGTTTTTGTGAGGGTTAAACGTAAGTCTTAGAGAAGTACCTAGATTCTTACAACAGTTTGCACTATGCAAGTGTTAGTTGTTATTATTGTTGTTATTGTTTTAATGTACTCCCAGCAGTGTCATCTAGTTGACGCTGTTGAGTTTTGTCTTGAATGCCAGTTTTTTTCACTCTTGTCAGGGTATCTCTATGGCTATAAGTTCTTTTTGCTGATAATTTCAAAATTCTAAGTTTAAGGCCCTTTGTGAGCTGAGTCCTGGGTCAGATGGTATCTTGGCACCCCCTTGTGAAATGGGATGCCTGCCTCTGCTTCTGAGAGTGGTAGGGATTCCACCTCAAATCTTCCACTCAAGGGAGCGCTCCCTCCCTGCCCCCAGTGGCATACAACCTCAGGAGTAGGGCTGTGGCTGGGCTTTCGGGATGAAAATTCAGTGACTAAGGTCAGGGTGGTGAGGGTGAACCTCCGACAAAAGCTGTAGACACACTAGTTGTTGGATTCAATCATTCAGCTGATCACCAGGGTGTGACTCTTTCTTTCTCTTTAAATGTCAGATTCTGTTCTCCCTCCTGCTAATATTAAAAGTGATCGTGTGTCCAATTGGCACAGAACAAATTTTACATTGCTAACAGGTTCCATGGCACAATGCAAAGGGCCCATGTATCAGTACTTGCAGTATCCACAGAGGGCTGTGGTAATCCCTTTCCCTATATATAGCTGTGACTGTCACCATCCAACCTGTGGGTGGTATGCTGTCGCCACCTGCATACCTTACAGGATTCATGTGTCACCTAACAGCTTCCCGCTGCTGCCCTAGCTAAAGCCTGGTATGTAGGAAGAGTGGCACAAAACTGGCATGGAAGCTGAGTGAGTGGGACTCAGGGCACAGACAGGGAGGGGTGTCCTCTCCTCCAAGGTCACACTGAGCTTCGTGGTGACCTTGGCTCCTACCCCATGGTCAGAGCTTTGATGCTGGCACCAACACCCCAATTTAGATGCCTGCTCTGCATCCTGCCAAATCTTGGCCACATTCCAGCACCACCAATTATCTTGCCTAGCAGCAGTGAGGCGGCAGTCACAACGCAGAAGTGTGTGGGCGGCTGCTCTGTGTTTCTAGGCCTGTGCTACTGGGGAGCATTCCTGCAAAATCCCTGCCACTCTTCACCCAGTGGCAGGGGCAGTGGCACCTTGGGAGCTTAAAGGCATGAAGTGCAAATGAGAGGAAGGCATTTAGTTTTGGCAAAACATTCCAAATCATTACAGTGGCTGTGAGGAGACATTTTACTGAAGCCTTCTGGGGGGCTGGTGTGCATCATTAGCTGCTGGCAAGCATGCCATTACTTTATGCCTCGCAAGCGTGGGCCCCTGGAGAGGTTTGGGCGTAGGATGCCCATTGATTGAGTTATTTCTAGGGCAATTATATTCCTGGTTTCTCTTCCTGCAGGAAAAAAAATTACCCACGTCAAGGTAGCACGTTTGAGCGCCCTACATTTCTAATGTGTTTTGCCTGGAGCAGACAATGAGCCTACCCACCACCTGGTGAGGAGAGGTGGGTGGACAGGGGGCAGATGAATGTGTTCAGCTCCCTCAGCCTCCAAGCTGGAGCAGGCAGGGCATTTGGCCTTGAAGTTTTCAAATTTCTAACTGGGAAGGGCAACATTTAAAATTTTTGCTGTGACTATTGAGAAAGACCTAAGTAAAAAAAAAATTCTCCTCTAGCATTTATACTCTGCATATAATCAGGAGAAATTCTCTAAAGAAGTGGCTTCCAAACTGTGTTTTTAAATTGGAGGGATTTTTTAGAAAATGTGAAATCTTATGCTGCATAATGTACAACAACAACAACAACAACAACAACAACAACAACAACAACAGGAAGCCCTCCCTGATGGTCATAGAGGCTGCACCAACTCTTTCTTCAGGTACTTGGAGGTGGCGCCACAGATTTCCAACATCCATGGTGGTGCCAAACCCTCTCTTTGGTTTGATTTCACAGTTATCCCCCTTATTCCCAAAGTTTTCCTGATTTAATCTCCCAGATTTGCAAGGGGGCCTTGTCTTTGGGGCAATCAGGTGTCATCAGTGAGTTTTGACACAGAAGCTCCAGAAGCCTGGGCATTTTATTCTGCATGATTCCAGCGGTGAGATTCCAGTGGGGTGCATGGAGATCTGAGGCTCCTCTCCTCATCTGACTTGGTGATGGCCAGTGCTTGGCAAAGCTTAGTAATTTGTTGAATCATCTGTTATTCAATACATATGCACTGCACACCTTCTTCATGCTGCCAGCATCCCAGATTGAGCTCACAGATCTTAAATTCTCAAGTGGGAAGAGAAAAGAAATAAGGAGACAAGCAAGCCGACAAAAATGATTATTTCAGTTAGTGATAAATACTATGAAGAAAATAAAGTAGGTTAATGGGATAGGGAGAGATTGACAGGTCAGATGGAGTTGGAGACGGGAGCTGGGGAGTCACTCTTTAGATTAGGGCTCAGGGAAGGCTTTACTGAGGAGTAACATTTAAGCTGAGACCTGAATGGTGAGAAGATATCCAGCTAACAGAAAGCCCGTGGTATTCCTGGCAGATGAAACAGCAGGTATAGCCCATGAAGGGGAACATGCCTGGCTTGTTTGAAGAACAGAAAGCTGGCTAGTGTGACAGAGACCTTAGGCACCTGGGGGAACAGTGGCACAAGATGAGGACAGAGGCAACATAGAAGGCCTCATCACACAGGCCAAGTCTAGGCATTTGAGTTTTATTCTAAGAGTAATGAGACTGCATTGGAGGATTTTAAGGTTTTCTCTCAGCTGAGCCTCATTCCCTTTTTTCAGTGTGTGCAATGCAATCATATCCAAAAGATGTGCAAATTTAGTATTGCCACCCTGTTAACAACTAAAACCTACAGCTTCAGCACCATAAGATGGTAAGGAAAGAAAGGAAAAAAAAAAAACCCCAAAACCAAACATAAAAACAAACAGAAAAAAACCCACAGCTACCTCAATTGGACAAAATAATGGGATCCTAAAGAAACCACGAATGCTAGAATTTATTCATTTGACAAATTTTGTTGTTGATACCCAGTCTAGGCTTTAAGCGGTGTGACCTTAGGCAAGTCACTCACTTATCTTTGCCTAACTTTTCTCATCTGTAAAAGGGGGAGAATAATAGTACTTCTCATATAATGTTGTTTTGAGGATAAAATGTTTGTAAAATGTGTAGATCACATGGTAAACATGATATGTGTTTGCTATTATTCTATATGCAAAGGCACAATTGACTGATACATTTGTTCATCTATTTTACAAATATTTCTTGAGTACCTGTCATGTGCTTGGTGCTGTACCAAGTGCTGAGATGCAATTATGAGCAGGCCAGACTTTGTCCCTGCCTGGCACCTGGCTTCTTGCACCTTACTCTATGTGAAAACAGGCATGTGGTTGCTGAGGAGGGACCCACCAGCTTTGGCCAATGTATGCGGAAAGGGGCAAGGAACGGTACAAAGGTTGCTTTATTACACCGGGAGCCACTGGGAGTCCAACCCAGGTCCTATCCCCTAGAAGGCCCCCTGGAGTCTGCAGATAATATTCAAATATAAAAAGAATTTCCTTGGAAGAACCATCTGGTGGCAGTGAGCATGGGCACCCATTGGGTCCTCAGCCTCTGCTGCCATCTAGTTAGTTGACATCATGTTATCACTGAGTGCTCTTAAATCCTAAGTCTTGATTTAGACTGAGTACTCAGGGAAGGCTTTACTGTTTCTCAGCTCTAGTCTTTTGCTCCTGGCTTCTGCTTCAATTGGTATCCGAAACAAATAGTACTATTGCAGTTCATTTGGGCTGCTATAACAGAATGCCATAGACTGGAGGCTTATAAGCAGCAGAAATTTATTTCTCACAGTTCTGGAGGCTGGGAAGTCCAATGTCAAAGTGCCTGCAGATTTGGTGTCTGATGAGGTTCATTTCCCCGTTCACAGATGGTGCCTTCTAGCTGTGTCCTGACATGGCATACAGAATAGAGGCTCTCTGGTGTCCCTTTTATAGGGGCACCAATCCCATTCATGAGGGTACTGCCTTCATGACTTAATCTTACTTCCCAAAGGTTCCACCTCCAAATACCATCACACTTGGGATTAGGTTTTAACATTGAATTTTGAGGGCACACAAACATTTAGACGTAGCAAGTAGTATCTCTCTTCCCAACTTAGGCATGGCCACCAGGCATGTTCCAATAGAACAGTATCAGGCATGGATATGTGGTGAGCCAAATTAGCTTCCCAAATGACAGCAGGAGTTACTTGCAGGTTCCTAACAGTCTAGACTCAGACAAGTTATTGTTATTTTAAAATTGCACCAGTTCCTTGATTCATAGTGTTAGAGCAGGAAGGGTCAGAGAGCTCACTTGAAGAAAATCACCTTACGGATCTTTCTAAATGACAATGATTCTCACATTACTCCCCCTTGAAAAGTGTTCTGCAGCTCTTCATAGCTTTTGAGGTGGTCTGGACACCTTAGTGCCTGGTCTTCATGATGTGGTTTCTCTATACTGCAGTGACCTGGCCCCTTCATATCTTCTCCCCCCTAAATTTCCTACCATACCTCACTACTTTGTTCTCCCAGCATGCCCTGCTTCTCTCTCTGCTCCCCCTGCCACCCCCTACCCAGATTTATTTTCCCAAGGACATCTAATCAACTTGGTATCGTCTCTTCCAGAAAGTCTTCCTTCCTCCCTCAACATTAGATCGTGCTCTCTGGACCACAGCACTCTGCACACTGTGTAGGCTGTCTCCTTGGGTGCCTCTTTTAGTAGGCCTGGCCTCCTACAAGGAAGGTCTCACCTCTTCATCTCTGTATTTCCCCTGGGCTTAATAAATGACTGTTAAGTGAATAAGTAGTGAAATATGATAACTATTTTCTAAAATTCTTATTGCAAATAAGTACATTCCTGTTTATCACTTCCTATGTGTCAGTTTTAGGGTTAGAGGAAAAAATAGTCATTATTCCTATAAAAGGCCTTGGAACTCTTGTGTGGCTTATTTTTTGCTGTGATATACCTTTCCGTATATCAGATGGTAATTGATTCTCCTTTCTCTGATGCACCCTCAGTATCTTATGATTACAACTATTTTGAATGTCCAGTAGGGTTGATTTTTCTAGTTTTTTTTTTTTTTTTGAGACAAGATCTTTCTCTGTCTCCCAGGCTGGAGTGCAGTGGCACGATCTCAGCTCACTGCAACCTCTGCTTCCTGGATTCAAGCAATTCTTGTGCTCAGCCTCCTCAGGAGCAGCTGGGACCATAGGCACGCACCACCACGCCAGTTAATTTTTTTTTTTATTTTTTATTTTTTAGTAGAGATGGGGGTTTCACCATGTTGGTCAGGCTGGTCTTGAACTCCTGACCTCAAGTGATCTGCCTGGCTTGGCTTCCCAAAGTGCTGAGATTACAGGTGTGAGCCACTGCGCCTGGCCTATTTCCCCAGTTTTTTGATTGGGCTTGAACCAAAAGGAGTATTAGAAATGTCTTGTAATTAGGTAAGCATAACAGCTTTCACTACATATAACAGAAACTACATATAACAACAATACAACACTGGCTTAAACAGAGAAATTTATTCTTCTTCCATATAAAAGAAGTCTGAAGGTTGAATGCCATCTTCCATTTCCTCGCAGTGAGGCCTTGGGTAAGTTAGTAACTTCGAAATCCTTCAGATAGCTGTAAATTAAACTAATAATATTATTACAGGGCTTTTGTGAAGACACAATGTGAATGTGAACTAATACTATTATCACAGGGCTTTTGTGAAGACACAGTGAAACCCTGGCCTGGCACAGAGTAAATAATAAATGTTAGAAAAAAAATGACAACTATTATTTTATTATTACTGCTAGTTGTTTGCTTTATCAGCCCCTTTACATTTGCTGCTTTTTAGTAAATTAATAAATGTCCAGATTTGTGTAATTTTCAGACATTAGCTGCAGGCATCTCTCTGACACCATGTACTGTAAACAATTGTTTTAAGTGTTCTGTTATGAACCCTGACACAGCAATATCACATCGTCCTGCCCTCAAAGAATCCTTTAGAGGCAGTGCTTCTTGTGCAGAAATAAGACTTTTGCAGGAATCAGAATGGGGCCAGCTGCCTTTGGGCCATACTCCTAGGGCCTATAGAAATAACTACCATTGGCATCCATGGTCATGGGTTACGTGTTTCTGGAAGATGGCATCCATCATTTCTTTTGATTTGAATTTGACAATTAAAGTAAGATGGCCCAGTGGTTAATGATTCATCTGGATAATGTTTTTAGACAAAGTATACAAAGGTAAATTCACTTTCTTTGTCTTGTCTAAGCTCTCCAGATTGAAAAACCTGAGATAAAGCATGTATGTGCTATTTCTATTAGAGCAGGATGAAGGGACAAAGGAAGAGTGGCAGGCAGGGAGGGAGGGAGTCAATAGGATGGTGTGTTGCCAAGTTGGTCACTGCTAATTGTTTGATCCCAAGGGACCATCATAACTGTCTTCCAAGAAGCCAAATAAATTGTGTGTCAGAATAGTCCATTGGAGAGAAGAAAGAGCAATCTGTTCATTGATTCCTGTCTCCCACTGGTCAAAGGTTTTTCCCATGAGATGTTAACTCCTCCATACTTTCATTTTGCACATGCACAGGTGCCGGGGAGGTGTCATGGTGCCCCAGACCTCTGTGTCAAAAGAGAACCCCCAGAGCAAGAAACAGGAAACATCGAGTGCAGGTAAGGCATGCCCTTTTTACCTATGTGAAGTTGCTCAGAGCCTAATGTAGTATTGGTCTCTGCAGCAGCTGGAACAAGGGACAGGTGAGGCTGAGAGAATGTGAAGTGGCCTAAGGAGTATCTGACAATTCATTCAACAAGGTGTTATCACAGACTTGCTATTTGCCAGGTAAGGTGATAAGAAATGGTGATGCAGAAGTGACCAATACAACACAAGCTCCACACTCAGGGAACCCACTGTTTTTGGTTGTAAGCTTAAAAGTACACAAGTATTTAAAATAAGGTCTGTTAAAGTAAGTGCTCAATAGTTATTTGCTGTTATTAGTTTTATTTGTGGCACTGTTGGAAATGAGTAACAGAGCTCCAAGATATCTCTGTTGGTGACCTGCTCATAAGCCAGGGCACAAAATGATTCCATGATTCTTAAAATAATGTATATTTAATATATGCTTATCAGAAATTCAATAATAAGCACCATGTTTTACCCTAAATATGTCAATTTTTAATCCTTAGAGTGCTAAAATGGCAAAAAGAATAGAACACCTGAACAGATGCCAAAGGTCTCAAAAGGGAGTTGAGTTTTAGGAAACTGGCTGTAAGTCATGTGACCTTATTCCCCTAAAAATACCTTACAGAACGCAGCTGATTCTCACATTTGTACTGATTGGTTGAATTTTGCCAGGAGAAGGATGTGAATTCAAGTTTAAATTCAGAGCTTCTGTTGACTTAAAAAAAATAGGGTATGTGCCCCCTTCTATCTTCCTGTTGTATGGTGCAGAGTCTACCGATGGGAATACGCCTAGCAAAGAACTTCGTTTATGGAGTCATCTAGACCTGGATTCAAATTCTGGCTTCACATTTTCTAGCTATGTGATCTTGGACAGGTCACTTAATCTGTTTTAAATTTTCTTATTGATACACAAAGGTTGTTGCGAGGATTAAAGGAGATATGTACAGTACTTAACATAAGGCTACTTACTGATAGAGTTTGAGCTCCATAATAATCAGCTCTTATTAGTTTTATTTTGTGCTAACAATGCACAATACATCTGTTAGCTCCTTTCTTGGGAACTTCTGCTATATGTTCACAAGCCAGGATGAATGGTTGGGAATGTGAAATGGTTAAAGTTCAGCTGTAACAATTGGACAAACAATATTGACTTAAACATGGTAGAAATGTATTTCTCTTTTACTTTAAAGTCAGGAAGTAGGCTCTTCTTCATGAAATCCCCAGAAATTGGCACCTAGTCTACTGTGTAGCCTCCATTTCCCAGTCATCTCATGGTCCAATATGGTGGCTCTAATTCTAGCCATCAGATTTTCATTCCAGCCAATGGGAAGGAGGAAGGAGATTGAATAGGACAAAGAGTGATGCCAGCTATTTCTTTAAGAAGGTGCTGCATGAACTTCTGTTTACATCTCATTGACCAACATGTAGTTCCATGGTTTCACCTAGCTGCCAGGGAAAATGTAT
Source organism: Homo sapiens (assembly GCF_000001405.40). Taxonomy (NCBI): domain Eukaryota; kingdom Metazoa; phylum Chordata; class Mammalia; order Primates; family Hominidae; genus Homo; species Homo sapiens. Next base: position 91,674,725 of record NC_000010.11, on the reverse strand, counting down.
TATTCTGGGTAGCTGTCCAGCTAAAATTTTTATTACTATGGAAAAGAGGGAGAATGGACAGTAGGGGCCAATTATCAGACGGTCACAGAGAGCCATTTTCTGGGGCAGGGAGGCTTTTGGGAGTCTGATGGAGCTTAATGACACAGGGAAAAGTAATGATTAAAAGTAGTTGGTGTTTGATAAATTTGATCTTATCAAGAAAATATCATCCAGAATTACTCTAATACTATAAGGAGTTCATCCCTGCTTGCTGACCAGCAACCCCTCAATGTATCGTCCACTGCAATGGCACTGGCAACATGTGACAACAGAGCATTTGAAATGTGGCTGGTCCACATTGAGATGTGCTGTAAGTGTAACATACACACTAGATTTTGAAGACTTAGTATAAAAAGTGTAAAATAGCTCATTTAGCTTTATCATGCCTACATGTTGAAGTGATATATTGTCTGTATTGGATTAAATAAATTATATTATTAAAATTAATTTCACTTGCTTATTTTTACTTTTTATTTATTTTATTTTATTTTTGAGACAGGGTCTCGCTCTGTCACCCAGGCTGGAGTGCAGTGGTGCGACCTCAGCTCACTGCAACCTCCACCTCTTGGGCTCAAGCCATCCTACCACCTCAGCCTCCCAAGTAACTAGGACCACAGGTGTGCAACACCACGTCTGGCTAAATTTTTGTATTTTTTTTGTGGAGATGGGGTTTCGTCATGTTGCCCAGGCTGGTCTCGAACTCCTGGACTCAAGCGATCTGCCCACCTCAGCCTCCCAAAGTGCTGGAATTACAGACATGTGCCATTGCCCTGGCCTGTTTTTACTTTTTAATTTAAAATTATATATGTTGTTTGTGTTATATTTTTACTGGAAAGCACTGACTGTCCTAAGTCTAATAGAATCTGTGTCCTCAGAAAGCAGGTTCTATATAGTCCTGAGAGGGATCACTCTCTAAATGACTGATTAAATGGATGACAAATTCTCTAACATGGGATTCAAAGACCAAGATTTTGGTAACATACTTGGAAGTGCTGTCTGAGGGAGATGGTTCTGTGTTCCTTGCTCTTGATAGGCTTGTCCCCATCGGGGACAGATCTCAATGTCACCACACCCAAGAGCATCTGAGTGGACTCCACCTCGTGCTGTGGGTCTGGTTCAATGAACCATTCTAGGATTCCATTTTAGGATTACCTTCAGCATTTCTATGAATATTTTCCACATAGTGAGAAACTGGCTAATATTGCAAGTGATCTCCTGGGGAGGGGTGACATGTCTGAGCTTCAACTTAGAAAACTGGAATGTTAAGGAAATATATTTGCCAATCTAGTCTGTGTATTTTTATTTCTCTTCCTGTCAAGGATCCCTAATTGTCCAGGACGGTGATTCTAGCGGCAGCATCAGTATCACTAGGGAGCTTGTTAGAAACGCAAGTTCTCAGGCCCTATCCCAGACCTAATGGATCAGAAACTGTGGTGGGGCCCTGTGGCTCATGCCTGTAATCCTAGCACTTTGGAAGGCTGAGGAGGGAGGGGATCCCTCGAAGCTGGGAGTTTGAGATCAGCCTGGGTGACAAAGTGAGATGGCATCTCTACAAAAACTTAAGAAAAATCTCCAAAAAATTAAAAAAAAAAGTTGGCTGGATGTGGTGGCACATGCCTGTAGTCCCAGCTAATCAGGAGGCTAAGGTAGGAGGATCACTTGAGCACAGGAGGTCAAGGCTGCAGTGAGTTATGATCGAGCCAGCCCTGGATGTTTTAACAAGCCCTCCAAATGATTTGATTTAAGTTAGTTTGAGAACCATTAATTTAAAGCTATAGTTTTCTTGCCACATGTATCTTCACCCCCATAAGGCATATTCAGTATATTTTTAAGTTAAAGGGTCATCCTGTTTAATGCTGTATATTATGAGGAGATATACCATGAGAGGACAGCGTATGCAGGAATTGTTACTTCTAGGCTGTAAATAAATGTGATATTACATTTCTTGCTGGTTTCTAAGTCAGTAAAATTTGGTAAGAAAAATAGTTTTGAAAAAAATCTAAAAAAATAGAAGCAATGGAGGCTGTTTTTTGGGTTTTGAGTCTCCTTAGCCCACCTCACACAAACCTCACTGCTGAGTCCCACTCCTGGGTTTCCTGGAATTCCACCCTGGAAGCGGCCATGGCTGCGAGCAGCCAATCTGTCCATGCTCTACTTGCTAGCTCTGGTGGCCACTCCCTCTTCCCATCTGCTTACAGCCTCTGCTCCTCATCTCTCCACTTCCTGTCCTGATTCCTATCTCTGAGTGGCATTCTCTAAACTGTACTCAATTTCACTTTTAGTCATCGTGGGCAGTTTCCTGCTGCAGGGCCTTACCCATTCCTAATCTCTTAAGTCTGTCCTCAACTCCACAGATATTCAAACTTTGTTCTCCTTCCAAGGCACAGATTCTGTAACTCCGCTCTTGAAATTTGATATGTCATGACAGGTTCAGCCAGTAGCAGCAGCAGCAGCAGCAGGGGAAATGTCTGGCACCATCCATCACTAAACACTTGGGAACACAGATGGCAGGTGCAAACAATGGCCGATATCCCTGCTTGCTGACCAGCCACCCCTCAAGCCCACCCTGGGGGACTGACCTTTGCCCCAGAAACTCTTAGTGTTCTTGAGTTTCTTGAGCTGCTGATGGAAAGTGCTGCCTCCCCAGCCCTCCTGCCAGCAAGCCTTCTTGCCCTTTGGGACAGGGATTAGGTAGGATGGGTGGGGTAGGGATGGGATATTAGTGGATCTGAAAACGGATGCCATGGCTTTTCCAGCTCTTTCGTGACAGGCATCAACAATGTGTGCGGCATTTTAGAGTTTACAAACCACCTTCAGGTAGCATCATTTACAAAGCCTGTCAGCCACTCTAAGCGGGTAGCCAGGAGTTACCATCATCACTGTTTTACAGATGAGACAGTGGAGAACCGGAAGGTTGCCGTCTTTCCCCGAGGGGGCTCAAACAATAAAAGCAAAGTTGGGCTTGTATCCAGGTTTATGTCAACTTGACCTTTAGTTTACCAACTCCACCTTGCTAAGTGGATAAAATCTCACACTAATGAATTCCAAAGGGCCTCTCAACGGCTTTGTTCAGTGAAGATTTGACATAGTAAATGCATTTATGGCAATCACATTTGTATTCAGTTTACGAATAGCAGTCAAATCCATGACTTTAGGTAATCTCTACAATGACCTTATGTAGAAGCGTTTTTATTCTTGTTTTACACATGAGAAAACTCACACTCAGGAAGGATGAATAACTTGCTCAAGATTACACAGCTACTGAGTATCACAGATGAGTGTCAATTTTCCTCACAATAGAACCTCTATCCACTATGTACAGCTCCCCTCTGCTATGAATTCTAAACTGAAAAAAAAGGGAGATGAACATAGTGAGGCAGGTTTCCCAAACCTTTCTGTTTAGAAACATAGATGCTTGGGTTTCTCCCGTATCCTTCCACAAAGTCTCCCACGCTCTAGGAGTGGTAGCAGGTAACCCAAGTGATGCTTCTGATTGGCTGAGGCTGGGAGCTTCTGATTGGCTGAGGCTGGGAAACGCTGCTATAGGGGAAAGCTGCACGCAGAACACTGCAATTTAGTTTCCTCCAAACAACTCAAGTTTTTCATATGGAGTGCTTCCTTTGGATGGGTTTTTTGGGTAGGCCTTTGGGGAGGAAATCATCGGGAGGACTGTGACCATTAGATCTTTTCAGGCCTGTAATCCCAGCACTTTGGGAGGTGGAGGTAGGAGGACTGCTTGAGCCCAGGAATTTGAGACCAGCCTGGGCAACAGGGCAAGACCCTGTCTCTACAAATAATAATCATAAAAATAGCCGGATGTGGTGGTGCCCGTCTGTGATCCCAGCTACTCAGGAGGTTGAGGTGGGGGGATCATTTGAGCCCAGGAGTTTGAGGCTGCAGTGAGCTGGGTTCATGCCACTGCACTCTAGCCTGGATGACGAAGAAAGACTCTGTCTCAAAAATTTATTTTTAACTTTATTTTTAGAGATGAGGTCTCGCTCTCTCACCCAGGCTAGACTGGAACTCCTGGGCTCAAGTGATGCTCCTACCTTGGTCTTCCAGTTAGCTGGGGCTACAGGTGTGCTACCGCTCCTGAATCCTTTTCTTTATTCTTTATGCACAATTTCTTATTCATCAGATGTTTGGCTTCCCTGTATAGCAACATGACTCTACTGAAATTTCATCTGGTGAAACACTGACCTTGTTAAGATAATGTTAGATTCAAATTGCATCCTCTAAGGGCTAGCCACATCTTTCATCTTGCAAATTCCATGTAGTACCACGAGTTACAACTGTTCTGAAAACAGACATCACTTGTTAAATTGGTTATTAAATTTTTTTGTCAAGGATTCTCATTGTCAGAAGACTCTAGAATCTTCAACCAGCATCAGCATCATCTGAGAGCTTGTTAGAAAGGAAGCAGCTCAGGTGCTGCTTCAGGTGTCCTGAATGACAAACTGCATTTAACAAGATCCCCAGGTGATTCACATGCACCTTTAACATTTGGGAAGCAGTGTTTTAGAACACCTTTTCATTTGGTTACATACAGTTACAACTTGCTATCTCTCAAGGGAGGTTCTTAAAATTTGTTTTAATTTGAAATTCAGGGGGTTACATGTGCAGGTTATAAGGATATATTGCATGATGCGAGGTTTGGGCTTTCGATCCCATCACCCATAACGTGAACATAATGCCGAATAGGAAGTTTTTCAGTCCTTCTCCGACTTCCTCCCTCCCTCTCCCACTTTTGGAGTTCCTAGTGTCTATTGTTCCCATCTTTATGTCCCTGTGTACCCAATCTTTAGCTCCCACTTATCGGTGAGAACATGCATATTTGGTTTTCTGTTCTTGTGTTAATTCACTTAGGATAGGCCGGGTGCAGTGGCTCACGCCTATAATTCCAGCACTTTGGGAGGCAGAGGCAGGCAGATCTCTTGAGATCAGGAGTTCAAGACCAGGCTGCCCGACATGGTGAAAACCCGTCTCTACTAAAAATACAAAAATTAGCCAGGTGTGTTGGCGGGTGCCTGTAATCCCAGCTACTTGGGAGGCTGAGGCAGGAGAATCGTTTGAACCTGGGAGGCAGAGGTTGCAGTGAGCTGAGATCGTGCCATTGCACTCCAGCCTGGGCAATAAGAGTGAAACTCTGTCTCAAAAAACAAACAAAAAAATTCACATAGGATAATGGCCTCCAGTTATTATGGTTGTGTAGTATTCACAGCCACCATCGACAACCACTCTTCCGCCTTCAATGCTGGGGCTGTGAATGGTTTATGGTTTGTAGTATTCCATGGTGTATATGTAACACATTTTCTTTATCCAATTCACTGTTGATGGTCACCTAGATTGAGTCCATATCTTGCTATTGTGACTAGTGCTGCGAAAAACAAATGAGTACAGGTGTCTTTTTGGTAGAGCAATTTATTTTCTTTTGGGCATATACCCAGCAATGGGATTGCTGAGTAAAATGGTAATTCTACTTTTAGTTCTTTGAGAAATCTCCAAACTGCTTTCTACAGGGGCTGAGCTAATTTACATTCCCACCTACAGTGCAAAAGCATTCCCAGAGAGGTACTTTACATTTGTTTTATGTGGTCCTCACAACAACACTTCAGGGAAAGTATTATTATCCCCAATCCCCAAAGAGGAAACTGGTTTTGAGAGATTTAATCACTCGACCAATTAGTAGTTAATGGCTGAAATGGAATTAAAACTAGATCTGTCTACTCCTTAAAACATTTGCCTTAATACGTTTTCTTTCTTTTGTTTCTCAAGCCTCTTTATTAAGTCAGTTTCCAACCCCCGGCAATGTCTCCAGGTCTCTTTGAAGGTGGCATGGTAAAAAAGCAAACAATAAATAAGAAACAAAATTTTATATCAAAGTATTGTGAATAAAAATTGTAATTTGTTTGTGGGAATGTAAATTGGTACAACTATTATGGAAAACAGTATGGAGGTTCCTAAAGTAGTTAAAAATAGAACTACTGTATGATTCAGCAACCCCTCTACTGGGTATGTATCCAAGGGATATGAAATCAGTATGGTGAAGAGATATCTGCACTCCCGTGTTCATTGCAGTACTATTCACAATAGCCAAGATATGGAATCAACTTAAGTGCCCATCAATGGATTAATGGATAAAGAAAATGTAACATATGTAAACAATGGAATACCATTAGCCTTAAAAAAAAAAGGAAATCCTGTTTTTTTTTTTTTTTTCTGTGACAACTGGATGAACCTGGAGGACATTATGTTAAGTGAAATAAACCAGGCATAGAAAGACAAATGTTACATTTTCTCACTTACAGTGGAGTGTAAAAAAGGTGACTTAATAGAAGCAGAGAGTAAAATGGTAGAGGCAAAGGAAGGCGGATTGAGGAGATGTTGGTCATATGACACAAAATTTTAGTTAGGAGGAATGAATTCAAGAGATCTAAGTGCATCATGATGAAAAAAGTGTATTAAAATTAAAAATCTGAAACAAATATATTTTTTGTGTATGCATTTGTAACACATATGACAAAAATGCTAACAACCCTAATATATAAAGAGTGTTTATACACCAATAAAAGCACTTTCATAGAAAAGATAAAAGACCGATTAACATGAAGAGCCTCACTAGCAATCAAAAATATAAAGGAGAGATATCTTTTTCGTTCCCTAAATTGGCAAAGATTTAAAAGAAAAGATAAAACCCAATGTAGGTGAGAATGAGGGCAATAGATCCCCAAATTTTCTATTATTAAAAATGGTGTTTTAGAAGAATACTTAATGAAAAGGAAAGATGCTTGCCATATATTAGTAAGAAAGGCATGTAGAAAATGTATACAATTACTCTCTGCTCCTCCCGTAAGACAGACAGCTGCATCTTGTCATGCAGCACCAGCTGTATCCCTGAGACACCATGGTGAAGGTGAAGACCAAAGTAAATGGATTTGGCCATGTTGGGTGTCTGGTCACCAGGGCTGCTTTTAACTTTGGCAAAGTGGATACTGTCACCATCAATGACCCCTTCGTTGACTTCAACTACATGATCCACATGGTCCAGTATGATTCCACCCATGGCAAGTTCCATGGCACCATTAAAGCTGAGAATAGGAAGCTTGTCATCAATGGAAATCCCATTACCATCTTCTAAGAGCGAGATCCCACCAAAATCAAATGGTGTGATGCTGGTGCTGATTATGTTGTGTAGTCCACTGGCATCTTCAATACCATGAGAAGGCTGGAGATGTCTTAGAAGAGGGAGCCAAAAGGGTCATCATCTCTGCCCTTTCTGCTGACACCCCCTTGTTCATGATAGGCATGAATCATGAGAAGTACAAAAACAGCCTCAAGATCATCAGCAAAGCCTCCTGTACCACCAACTTCTTAGCCCCCCTGGCCAAGGTCATCCGTGACAACTTTGGCATCATAGAAGAACTTATAACCACAGTCCATGCCATCACTGCCACAGAAGACCCTGGATGGCTCCTCTGGGAAACTGTGGCATGATGGCCATGTGGCTCTCCAGGACATCATCCCTACATCTACTAGTGGTGCCAAGGCTGTGGGCCAGGTTACTCCCGAGCTGAATGGGAAGCTCATTGGCATGGCCTTCCATGTCTCCACTGCCAAATTGTTGGTCATGGACCTGACTTGCCATCTGGAGAAAGCTGCCAAATATGATGACATCAAGAAGGTGGTAAAGCAGGAATTGGAGGCCCCCTCATGGGCATCCTGGGCCACACGAGCACCAGGTTGTCTCCTCTGACTTTAACAGCAACTTCCACTCTTCTGCCTTCAATGCTGGGGCTGGCATTGCCCTCAACAATCACTTTGTCAACCTCATTTCCTGGTATGACAATGAATTTGGCTACAGCAACAGGGTGGTGGACCTCATGGCCCACAAAGCCTCCAAGGAGTAAGACCCCAGACCACCAGCCGCAGTGAGAGCATGAGAGGAAGAGAGAGGCCCTCAGCTGCTAGGGAGTCCCTGCCACACTCAGTTCCCCACCACACTGAGAATCTCCCCTCCCCACAATTTCCACACAGACCTCCCTGAAGAAGGAGGGGCCTGGGAAGCCCACTTTGTCATGTACTATCAATAAAGTTCCCTGTACTCAAAAAATTAATTAACTGATTAATCAAAATGTATTGAATACTAACATTATGCTAAGGAGAGTCAATTCCTGCTTGTTTTTAAAAATATAATTCTTCATCATTCAACTTGAAATTACTGCCCTTGAAGAGCTAAACTCAAATAGGAGAAACTGGCATTTTCCTCCTCAATATTTTAATATGAAAAATTTCAAACATACAGAAGAGTTAAAAGAATTTATACACCACCTAAATTCTACAATTAACATGTTGCCACATTTACTTTATCACATATCCACCCTCTATCTCTCCATCAAGCCACTTTTTTTTTTTACTTTGCAGAATTTCCAAGTAAGTTGCAACTATCTGTATACCTCACCCCTAAATGCTTCAGTATGAATATCATTAACATGAGTTCAATCTTTGTTTATGGTTCTTTTAAATTTTTGGGTTAGTTGTCATATAGTGAAATGCACAAATATTAAATGTGTCATTGGAGGGATTTTTGTTGTTGTTAGAGATGTGATCTCACTATGTTGGCCAGGCTGGACTCTGACTCCTAAGCTCAAGGAGATCCTCCTGCCTCATCCTCCCAAGTAGCTGTGACTATTTGGCACCATGCCAGGCTTTGGAGGAATTTTAACAAATGTAGACATCAGTGTAATCTAAATTTCTATCAAGACATAGAACATTATGAAACATTATGAGAACTTCTCTCTTCTTCCTTCCCAGTTAATCCCTGTCCATCTGCCCCTCTACCCAGAGGTAGCTTACCACTGTTGACTTTTTAAAGAGATACATAAATTATTTTTGGCTGTTCTAGAACTTAAAACAAGTGGAATGATACAATTACAATATGTGCTTCTAAATATAAGGCTTTGTTAATTTAACATAATGTTTTTGAGATTCATCTATGTTATTTTGTGTATCATTAGTGAATTCTTTTTTATTGCTGGGTAGTCTTCTGTTGTGCAAGTACACTATAGGTTGTTCATCCATTTTCCTGTTGACAATACTTAGTCTGTTTCCAGTTTTGGAACATTTTGAATAAGGCTATATGTATATTATTTTCTTTTTGTGGGCACAGGCTTTCATTTTTCTTGGGTAAACATTTAGGAGTGAAATTGCTGAATCATAAGGTAGGGGCTACATTTAATTTTAAATGAAACTGCCAGACTATTTCCCAAAGTTATTGTGCCATTTTATACTCCCAACAAGATAAGAGACTTCCAGTAGCTCCCTATCTTCATCAACATTTGGTATTTTTGGTCTTTTTACTTTTAGCCATTCTAATGGGTGTCTTTTAGTATCCCACTGTGATTTTATTTTGCATTTCTCTGTTGACTTAATGTTGAATGCTTTTTTATGTGCTTATCAGTCATTTGTATATCTTTGTGAAATGTCCATTCAAAACCTTTTGCCTAATTAAAAAATTAGATTATTTTTATTATTGAGATGTAAGTTGTATTACTGAGATGTAAATGTAAGTAAGTGCTTTTGTCTGATATGTCTTGTCAATATGAGAAATTGATTTTAAGGTAGTGAAAAAGATTTCAGGTAATGTGGGAGAGGAGAATATTGCTTAGAAAATCAGCTTTTCCCTGAAGCTTAGGGAAAAGTGATTTCTACAGAAATCACTGCTGAACTTTGCTTTTACCTAATCAGTTAGTCTTTGTTTCCCAAATTGGTTTGTTACCTCTAATTTGGAGATAAATAGTAGTTTTTCTTTGATATCGAACATGCCATTAAACCTGGATTGTTGGTTGTCCACCTGACTGATTCATTCAGTTTGCGGTCTCTCTTCTGGCCACTATAGTAGTGTCTGCCTGATCTCTTCATTTGCCTCTAAATATCCCTCACAGTCTACTTTCCATATAGCAACTATCATGCCACATTTTAAAAAATGCTCAAAATTCCCCAGTGGCCTTCCATAGCTCTGAGTTTATTTCCCATCCTCTTTGGCTAACTCACTGACTTACTCAGCTTGCCGTCTTTGGAAATTCCAAGCATGCCCCTGTCCCAGGGTCTTTGCTGTTAGTCCAAACTGCATCATTTTGTAAGCTTCCCACTATTTTGCAGACCTTGGTCAAAGTGAAACATTTCACAGGGGTTTGGGCCTTGAGAAACATCATGCCTAACCACCTGACCACAAGGCAGACAAAGGCCCAAATCCCAGGCCAGGTGTGGTGGCTCACGCCTATAATCCCAGTACTTTTAGAGGCCAAGATGGGCGGATCACCTGAGGTCAGGAGTTCAAGACCAGCCTGGCCAACATGGCGAAACCCCATCTCTACTAAAAATACAAAAATTAGCCAGATGTGGTGGTGGGCGCCTATAATCCCAGCTACATGGGAGGCTGAGGCAGGAGAATCACTTGAACCCGGGAGGTGGAGGTTGCAGTGAGCTGAAATCATGCCATTGTACTCCAGCCTGGGTGACAAGAGCGAAACTCTGTCAAAAAAAAAAAAAAAAAGAAAGAAAGAAAGAAAGAAAGAAAGAAAGAAACATCCCAATCATAGCTTGCTGGACAAAGGTCCAAGGAATATCACGATGACATCCCACCTGAACAAGGGCCAGAACCACCTCATCACGAGAACATCTTATCAGTATCCTGCCAGGAAGCAAGCCCTACTGCCCAGACCCCTCCCTACTCATACCTATAAATTGTCCCAGCTTGTAAGCAGCAATGGGCTCTGGCATTAGGCTGGTCCCCCACTTCTGTAGGTTTTATGCTGGACGTAAAGTCTGAATTTGCTGTTGAGCTGCCCTCTTACTGTGTGCGTGTCTTTCTTTAACCCTCGCCTTCCCTTCAAAACCTAACATTTGCACTAGCTTTTCCTCCACAGCATGCGTCTAATCCCATATACAAATGTATTTCCATGGCACACCCCTCACTTCATTCAGCTATCTTCAAATATTACCTCTTTGGAGAGATCTTCACTAACTACTCATAAACTAGCAAAGAGAAACGTTCTTCCAAAGTCTTTTTATCTCCTTACTCTACTTTACTTTTTTCATAGCACTCATTTCCATCTTTACCTGAATATTATCATTGAAAAATTATATTTGTTTATCCCCCCACCCTACTAGAATATAAGCTCCTTGAGGACAGGGACTTTGTTCACTTTATTCTTCACTCTGTCTTCAGAATCTAGAATTGTGACTGACACATAGTAGATACTCTACATAAATAGTTGTTGAATGAATAAGAAAAAAACTAGATCTGAATATCATTCAAACCAAGAATTCCATAACTTAGGGTATGGTGGGTGGCTTTGGAAATCCAGCATTGAAGACAATGAGGTGCTATTAGACAACGCACTTCTACCTGAAGGAAGCCCCAAACTTAGTTGCCAAGCAACCACTATTAGCATATAAACAAATATTAAAGCACACATCATAAATAAAATAGCTAACAAGGCAGTTTTTCTATACCCAACCAGGCATTTTCTTGTTATTGTTCAATATACTTGAGTCAAAAAGAGAGATGCAACTAGTTATTTCTTGCTATAAAAGAAAAAAAGGCCACAAGTTGTTTATTGCCAAGAAGAATAACTCAATTGCAATTTAGTATTTGGAAAGTGTCCATCTAAGCAAGCCAGAATTTTCATTGATTTTTCTTTTCTTTTTTAGTTTTTCTTTTAATTAAAGACTATTTTTCAGAACTGGTTTAGGTTTACAGAAAGTACAGAGAGTTCCCATATACCCCATTCCACTTTCAGTTCCCCCTATTATCAACATCTTGCATTGGTGTGGTACATTTGTTACAAATGAAAATCAATAGAGATATGTTATTATTAACTAAAATCCATAGTTTACATTAGGATTTGCTCTGTGTGATGTACAGTTCTATGGGTTTTACTAAGTGACAATGTAATTCACTGCCCTAAAAATCTGCTGTGCTCTAACTCCCTTTCCTTCTGTACACCCCTGGCAACCACTGATCTTTTTATCACCTCTATACTGTAGTTTGGTTTTCATTTTACTAATTAAAAAAGTGGTCCTCGTAAATGGGAGAGGAGTTGAAGAGAAGTAAATGACAAAAAACTGAAGGCGTTCTGTCCATGTAATTCTCCATTGTATCTTCTGTATCTAGAATAGTGACTCAGGGATAACTCAATATAACCTGTTTACATTTTAACGTATATCCTTACATATGTGATTACATATATGTATATATATACACACACACATATATGATCATATATATTCTTATATGAGGGGTCTTTAAAAAATCATGGAAAATGTATATTATGAAAAAACCATGGATGCATTTCAAAATGTTTTTGCACTAAAATAAAATCACAGTAAATTGTTGCAGTATGTCTGAACAGCATCTAGCTTGAGGCATTAAGAAGGATAAGACATTAATTTGAAATGACTCCCTATCAGAACAGATGATTTCTACAAAAATTGAAGCAAGAACAAACGCCAAATTTATAGTGAAGCTTGGGTGGAAAAATGGTGAAATTACTGATGCTTTATGAAAAATTAATGGGAACAATGCCCAAAACAAATTATTAGTTTACAAATGGATAATTCATTTTAAGAAGGAATGAGACTGTTGAAGTCACGTGAAGCCCACGTGACTGACCATCCATATCAATTTGTGAGAAAAAGATTAATATTGTTCATGCAGTAATTGAAGAGGACTGATGATTAACACCAGAAAATAGCCAATACCATAGGCATTTCAACTGGTTCAGCTTAAACACTTCTGACTCAAGAATTAAAGTTGGGCAAACTTCCGCTCAATGGTGCCAAAACCACTGTCCCCAGATCAGCTGCAGACAAGAACAGACCTTTCAATGGAAATTTTAAACAAGTGGGATCAAGATCCCGACGCATTTCTTCAAAGAATTGTAACAGGAGATGAAATATGGCTTTACCAGTATGATCCTGAAGACAAAGCACAATTGAAACAATGGCTACCAAGAGGTGGAAGTTGTCCAGTCAAAGCACAAGTGGATCAGTCAAGAGCATAGGTCATGGCAGAAGTTTTTTGGGATACTCAAGGCATTTTTCTTGTTGACTTTCTGGAGGGCCAAAGAATGATAACATTTGCTTATTATGAGATTGTTCTGAGAAAGCCAAAGACTTGGCAGAAAAACACCTGGAAAGGTTTCACCGGAGAGTCTTTCTCCACCATGACAATGCTCTTGCTCATTTCTCTCATCAAACAAGGGCAATTTTTTGGGAGTTTTTGTGGGAAATCATTAGGCATCCACCTTACAGTACTGATTTGACTCCTTCTGACTTATTTATGTTTTCTAATCTTGGAAAGATCTTTAAAGGGCACCCACTTTTCTTCAGTTAATTATTTAAAAAAAAAAACACATTGACATTGTTAAATTCCCAGTTCTTTAAGGATGGACTATATGGCTGGTATCATTGCTTATAGAGTATCTTAACCTTGATGGAGCTTATGTTCAGAAATACAGTTTATATTTTCTATTTTTATCTTTTAATTTCATTTTCCACTAACATTTTCTTTTCTTTTCTTTTTTAAGAGACAGGGTCTCACTATGTTGCCCAGGCTGGTCTCAAATGATCCACCCACCTCTGCCTCTCCAGTAGCTGGGATTACAGGTACACACCACTGCACCCAGATTCCGTGAACTTTTTGGAGTCCCCTCATGCATACAGTCTAATATGTATGAAAAGATAATCCACTTATACCAAGATTTTTAAAATGTTAAATATATTTTGGACATCCTGCTAGGCACTTCATACATACCGTTTTCAAATCTTCACCCTGTCCCCTAAACCCTGTCAAAACTGAGAAATTACAGTTAAGCTCAAGGTACTTTTTAACTTCCTGTTGGAATTTATAATCTAATAATAACAACAATAATAATGGACATTTGTAGTTTGCAAAAAAATTCTCACATAAATGATCTTATGCTCACACCAATCTTTTGAATTATTATTTGCCAGGCATGGTGGCTCATGCCTGTAATTCCAGCACTTTGGGAGGCTGAGGCAGGTGGATCATTTGAGCCCAGGAGTTTGAGACCAGCCTGGCTAACATGGCAAAATTCCATCTCTACAAAAAATACAAAAATTAGCCAGGCATGGTGGAATGCACCTGTGGTCCCAGCTACATGAGAGGCTGAGGTGGGAAGATTGCTTGAGCCTGGAGGCAGAAGTTGTTGTGAGCTGAGATCATGCCACTGTACTCCAGGTTGGGTGACAGAATGAGACTCTGTCTCAAATAAAATAAAATAAAATAAAAAATGGAATAATTTTTAACTTTATTTCGCTGTGAGCTTAAGTGGCTTGTCCTGGAAACAGATCCAGTTTTAAGTTTTCTGTCGCCAAATCCTGCACCCTTGCATTATTGATTAACACAGCTTGTGGCAAACCAAAACTTTTTTTCCCCCTTGTCTCAATGTTTAACCATGTCAACTGCATTTTAAACTTGTGCAGTTGTTTAAGTTCAGTAATGTGCATACTTTTCTTTCAATGAACATTCAAAAATATTTACTTAGCAGCTATGATTCTCCTGGGAGCTTTGTTTACATTGATAAATAAGACATATTTTGTCTTTGCTCTTGTGGGGCCTAAAGTCTGTTCAGTTTACATTCATTTGGTTGTCTAAGTTACAGTGGTGAAGGCTTTTTTGAGTTCCTTTTCACCATTAAGCTATTAGATTCACTTTTGTACCATTTGCACATTTGGAAAACATATTTTATGTTTTCATGGAAGTCTTGGATCTTTATGTCAAGTCCTTTATTTTCTTTCTTGATGGATTTAAAGAAGAAAGCTAAAGATGGAGTTCTGTTTGGGCAAGGTTGCTCAACAAGTTTTGTAGCTGCCTAACATTTCTTTGTCTTGTTCATAAGGATATCATGAAAGACTTTATCAAATGATATTCCAAACATGTAGGTCACTGTAGACATCAGGAAAAACTGTCACATGTCAGTTTTTCCTGATGTCTAGTGGTTAAATGCAGGGATTCTGGAGCCCAGATCCAAATCATGGCCCTACCAGCTATTAGCTGTATGATCTCTGGCATGTTACTTGATTTCTCTGTGCCTCAGTTTTCTATGTTTATAAATATATTTATACATTTGAAGTTTATTAATTAATTGTAAATTGATAAATCTCAGTAAATCTGAAAGTCTAAACAAAATAGATGATTTTCTAGGAAAATATAAATGAGTAAAATTGGTACAGGAAGATATATAAAAAACTCAGATACACCAAAAATGACAGAAGAAATGCAAAAGATTGTTAAAATTTTCTTTTTAAGGAAACAAAAACCTACTTAAATTGTTTACAATGGAATTCCATCTAATCTTCAAGGAAGAGTTAATTTCTGTGTTAGTCAAATTATTTCAGACTCTGAAAAGGTATGGAAAGTTCCTCAATTAATAATATGAAACAAGCATAACTTTAATATTAAAACCTAATATATATATATCACAAAATGCTTCTGTAGTTCACCTTATGACTAAACATGAAAAAATTTTATGTAAAACTGTAGCAAGTCCATTTGAAAAATAAAAACAAAGTTGGAAGACTTTCGTACTACATGATTTCAGACTTAACTGTGAAGTCATGGTAATCAAGAATGTGTTATAATGAGGCCTGGCGCAGTGGCTCATGCCCGTAATCCCAGCACTTTGGGAGGCCGGGTGGATCACCTGAGGTTAGGAGTTCAAGACCAGCCTGGCCAACATGGTGAAACCCAGTCTCTACTAAAATACAAAAATTAGCTGGACGTGGTGGTGCATGCCTGTAGTCCCAGCTACTCAGGAGGCTGAGGCAGGGAGAATTGCTTGAACCCAGGAGGTGGAGGTTGCAGTGAGCCAAGATCGTGCTACTGCGCTCTAGTCTGGGCAACAGGGCAAGACTCCATCTCAAAAGAAAAAAAAATGAAGAACACGTTATAATGGCAAAAGGATAGTTTTATAGAACATAGAATAGAATAGAGACTCCAGAAATAGACCCACACATACTTATGTACAATTGAATATTGACAAATATGCAAAGGAAATTCAATGGAGAAAGGGTCATCTTTAAAAAAATGGTGCTGGAATAATTGAAACTCCATATGTAAAAACAAGGACAAAAGAGTAACAAGAACAACAATAACATCTTAACCCTTACTTCACATCTACGAAGATACTAAATCAAAATAGATTATAGACAGAAATGTGAGAGCTAAAGCTATAAAACTTCTAGGAGAAAATATAGGAGAAAATCTTTGTGGTCTTGGGTTAAGCATTTGAAAGACATTAAGTAAATAAAAAAAGGAAAGCACAGACTAAGAGAAAATATTGGTAAAAAATCTGTTTAACAAAGGACCTATATCCTGAATATATAAACAACTTTTGCAGCTCAATAATAAGTCAAACAACCTATTGACGACATAAAATGCTGGTGACGAGTTGGAGCAACTGGAACTCTTATACCTTGCTTGTGAGAATGCAAAATAGTATAGATACTTTGGAAAAGTCTGTCAGTTTCTATAGTGCTGAACTTATCAGATGCCCCAGCAATCTAACACTTAGGTATTTACCTAAGGAAATGAAAGCATTTGTCCACAAAAAGACTTATACCTAAATTTGTACAGCAGACGGATTTCTAATTGTTTTTAAAAACTGGAAACAAAAAGTCCAAAAGTTTACCCACTAGTGAATGGATGAACAAATGGATGAACTCATACAATACTATTCAACAGTAAAAAAGGAAAAAAACTCTTGATATATGCAACAACATGGATGAATTGCAAAAGCATTATGTAGAGTGATAAAAGCCATTTGTAAAAGCCTACATATTGTATGACTTTATTTAGAGTATGACATTCTGGAAAAGGTGAACCTATAAGAACAGAACTCAGACAAATAATTTCCAAGGATTTGAGGTAGGACAGAAAATTGACTGTGAAAGGGTATGAGGAAACATTTTGGTGTGATGGAAATGTTTATATCTTTATTGTGGTGGTGGTTATATGACTGAATATACTTGTCAAAACTCATCAAACTATATACTTTAGAAGTATGATTTTTACTACCTATAAATTATTCCTCAATAAACTGGACTCACAAAATTTAGTAGTTCTAGTAGTCTTGTTGAAAGAATGATAGACCCCAACTAAGTGTATTTTAGGAGTGCCAGAAAGGTTTGCCATTAGGAAGTCCAACAATATAATTCCCTACAGCAACAAATTAAGGGGAAAAATGATGTAATCAATAAATGTCAGAAAAGGGCTTGATACAATCAGCAAAAATGTTAATTAAAATATTAAATATACAAAAGAAACTCTTACAAAAATATACCAGGAAACATATACAAAAATAATCACAACAAAAAACTGGAAACAACCCAAATGCCCATCAACAGGAGAATGGGTAAGTAGCTTGTGGTTTCACACAACGTACTATTACATGGCAGTCAAAAGAATAGCTCACAGCTACATATGAAGATATGGATGAATCCTGGCAATAGAATATAGAGTGAAAAACAGAAGTCCTCAAGGGTTACCTGTAGCACAATACTGTTTTTATAAAATTAGGAACAACTAGAGGACTTCTGTTTCTGGCCATCAAGGTGTTACTTACCTACCTTAAACTGGACAAAATATCAATTGTCTTTAGACATTGGCAACAGGCATCACAGGACTGTGATCCCTTAGAGAAGGGAAACAAATGAGGCTAACCCTATAATTGTCCTGGTTTTCTGCCTGGAGGCACGTTCTGGATCACAAAGCAAAAAGAGGAATCCCAGGCAGAACATGGTAGACTCACTGAGTTGAGACAGAGACTGAAGTTCAAGTAGTCTAAAGCGACTGGAAATTGTAGGGCAGAGTTCTGGAGAGGAGGAAGCTATGTAGAAAAAGCCCTCCAGAAATCTGCGTGGCGCTCCCTGAGTCTTTGCTGAACACTAAGCCTTAAATGTGTACAGTGAAACTCTATGAGGTATGGGCAAAGAGCTGAAAAGTTTCTAGAGCTCACATAGGACTGGGATCACTGAGTTCCCATAGGCCAGGGTTGAGAGTTCTTGTTGATCATTTGGAGCATTCACTAGAGACCCTAGAATGGCCATAGCTTTTTTTTTTTTTTTTTTTTGAGACAGAGTCTCACTCTGTTAACCAGGCTGGAGTGCAGTGGCCCCGTGGTCACAGCTCACTTTATCCTTGACCTCCCAGGCTCAAGTGATTCTCCTACTTCAGCCTCCTAAATAGTTGGGACTACAGTCATACACCGCCATGCCCGGATAATTTTTAAATTTTTTGTAGAGATGGAGTCTTCTTATGTTAACCAGGCTGGTCTTGAACTTCTCAGCTCAAGCAATTCTCCTGCCTGCCTCAGGCTCCTAAAGTGCTGGGATTACAGGCATGATCTACCTTGCCTGGCCACCATAGCTTATTAATGGGCTAAATTATCCATAGAGTGAAGGCTACTATAGACATGCTCTAACAAATCTGGCAAACAATTGCATTGAACCTCAAATAAATTTTCTTTCTTTCTTTTTTTTTTTTTTTTTTTGAGACGGAGTTTCGCTCTGTCTCCCAGGCTGGAGTGCAGTGGCACGATCTCGGCTCACTGCAAGCTCTGCCTCCCAGGTTCATGCCATTCTCCTGCCTCAGCCTCCTGAGTAGCTGGGACTACAGGCGCCCGCCACCACGCCCAGCTAATTTTTTTTTTGTATTTTTAGTAGAGATGGGGTTTCACCGTGTTAGCCAGGATGGTCTTGATCTCCTGAACTTGTGATCCACCCGCCTCCCAAAGTGCTAGGATTACAGGCATGAGTCACCGCCCCTGGCCAACCCCAAGTAAATTTTCTACTTACCAGAACAATGCCAAACACTCTTTAAGGGAAGACAGTATAATTTAGTAACTCAACAACTTAAAATTATAATGTCCAACATCCAATAAAAAATTGTTGGCCGGGCGTGGTGGCTCACGCCTGTAATCCCAACACTTTGGGAGGCTGAGGCGAGTGGATCATGAGGTCAGGAGATCGAGACCATACTGGCTAATATGGTGAAACCCCGTCTCTACTAAAAATACAAAAAATTAGCCGGGTGTGGCGGCGGGCACCTGTAGTCCCAGCTACTCGGGAGGCTGAGGCAGGAGAATGGCATGAACCCAGGAGGCGGATCTTTCAGTGAGCCGAGATCGTGCCACTGCACTCCAGCCTGGGCGACAGAGCCAGACTCCGTCTCAAAAAAAAAAAAAAAAAAATGTTAGACATGCCAAGAAGGAAAATAAGACTCATAACCACGAAAAAAATCAGTCAATAGAAACAGACTCAGAGATGATAGGGATGATGCAATTAGGAGACAAGAATGCTAAAACAACTAATATAACTATGTTCAAGTATTAAAGAAAAACGTGAATGCAGCAAGGAGAGAAATGGAAGATACAAAAAAGAGCCAAATGGAATTTCTTGATATTTGAAATTTAAAAATTACTAGATGGGATTAACAGCAAGTTTGACACCGCAGAAGAAAAGATAACAATGCATTATAGGCTTTATAATATTTCTAGAAGTAAAATGTGCAACAACAATAGCATAAAGGATACGAGAGTGAAATATACATATACTGTTAAAACATTATATTTTTTACACTATAAATTGGCATAATACTATTTGAAAGTGTACTGCAATAAGGGAAAGAAGCACAATGTAAACCCTAGAGCAATTCCTAAAAAAAAAAAAAAAAAACCACCAAAAAGCATGGGAAATAAGCATTTAGTTGAGATAAAATTCTTTAAAAATACTCAATTGACTTTAAGGTAGGCAAGGAAAGATGCGAAAAGGAATAAATATGCTAGACGCAGTGGCTCATGTCTGTAATCCCAGCGATTTAGGAGGCTCAGGCAGGAGGATCACTGGAGCCCAGGAGTTCAAGGTTGCAGCAGTGAGCTATGATCACGCCACTCTAGCCTAGGCAACAGAGTGAAACTCCATCTCAAACAAACAAACAAAAAAAGGAATAAATAACAGATGCAACAAATAAAAAACAAATCTCAAATGGCAGATTTAATTCCTACCACACTAGTAATTATATTAATAAAAATGATCTAAACACTCCAATTAAAAGGAAGATTTTTGTCAGACATGATTTAAAATAAAACCAAGCCATACCCAAATGTATACTTCTGCAAATAGC
This sequence comes from Homo sapiens, assembly GCF_000001405.40. NCBI lineage: Eukaryota > Metazoa > Chordata > Mammalia > Primates > Hominidae > Homo > Homo sapiens. Next base: position 91,654,480 of record NC_000010.11, on the reverse strand, counting down.
CCACTTTAAATATAAAGACACAGGTTAAAAGCAAAAAGATGAAAAAAGATATACCATGAAAAGATGAATCTTGAAAAAGCTTGTCTGATATATCAATATCAGTCAAAGTAGACTTTAGACGAGAGACATGGTATCTACGAAAACATAGCCAACTGCATACCTAATGTAATACAGGTAAAAACAGTCCCTGCTTTTGTGTCTGTAGGTACAAGTAAAGGCACCTATTTTTGCTTCTCAACTGCTTTGGTGATGCCCTATCCTTTTTCTAGAAGCATGGGGAGTGCTATGCTTTGAATGTGTCCCCTCCAAACTTTGGGTGTTGAAACGTAATGGCCAAAGTGTGAGGATTAAGAGGTGGGGCCTTTAAGAGGTCATTAGGCCATGAGGTCTCCTTCTTCACCAGTGCAATTAAGGCCCTCATAAAAGAGGCTTTATGCAGGGTTTGATTGACTTGCTTCTGCCTTCCATCATGTGAGGCCACAGGGTTCCGCTCCTCTGAAGGACGCAGTAACAAGGCGCCATCCTGGAAGCAGAGAATAGCCCTCGCTAGATAGCAGTCCTGGTGCCTAAAGTTTGGATGTTCACAGTAATCACTTTATGTGTTTATCTCCACTGTGTAGGGATTGTTTTTCTCTGTGCGCTGCTAACCAGCTAAGGAGTGTGAGATTATTCTTCTATTCAAAGACATTTGATCAGAAGTTGGTTTAAAAAAACTCACAGGTTCTGTCCAACTTTAGGAAACTATGAGTCTATTGTCTGGAGAGATGCCAAGATGACAGCTCTGAATCATCTTTGTAAGTATTCAGGAAAAGGAGTCTACCTGGATGTGGGTGGAAATAAATCATTGCAGCTGATAGATTAATTTGTGCCACTCCAGAATTAATAATCGAGTGCATGAAACCTTTGGATCTTTCATTATTCAACTTTCCCGTGTGCATTTGCATTTTTGGACAACAGAATAACAGAATCTTGGCATTAGCATGAAACTTCCTTGCCATTGAGGCTGACCTCCCACATAAAGCATTTCTGCCTTTAGTATCTCTGACGTATCTTCCAGGCTTTGCCTGAGCAAGTCCAATGAGCAAACTCCTGCTAGTTTTCCAGTCCAACTGGACAGCCTAGTCATTTGAAAGGCTTCCCTTATAGTGAATCAAAATTTGGGCTTTACCACTTTATCCACTGGTTCTAGTTCATCTTAGGAGCCACACAGAATTCATCTTTCTCTTCCACATGCGAATTCTACAGATCTATTAAGATACGTCTTGTACATTCTCCTAGATGTCATAGGCCAAACTCCTCCAGTTCCTTTGACAGCGTATGGAACAATCCTCTTGTTCTCTTTCAGATTTCCTGTTTGCCAGTGATACCCCTTAAATGCAGTATGCAGAATATACTACTTTCATATTTAATTATAACTACCATTTACTGCCAGGCACCTTAGTTATAGATGCTTTTCATGTATTGTCTCACTTAATCCTCCTAACAATCCCAAGCAGGTGGTTCTTATTGTTTTTTATTTTATAGATGAGGAGTCTGCAGTTCAAGTAAGTAAAGTCACTAATGGGATCAAGCTTATGGAGCAGTGAAGAGCAGGACTGGGTGTAACGGCTTCCAAAACCTACAACTCTCCACCACTATGGTTATTTTACTACCTAATGAGCTACTTATAATAAATAGAAATTGAATTTCTTTTTTCTGCTCTTCAGGCAGTGTACATAGTGCCTCGGTTAATGTTGAATGTGATCCAGAAGTCTAGTGGCTGTGAGATAACTGGCTCTGCCCTGGTTGGAGGGCCCAGTGCTGTGGTCTAAGCAAATACTGAGGGGAACTCTGTGACTCATCACTAGTTGAGTCCCTTGATGGCACATTGCAGGCATTCCAGTGTTCACTCATTAATATACTGCAAGTGCTTACTTGAAGCAAGTAATTGTCAGGGAATGGCCGTTGGGAAACTACGGACAGGCGCTTGGGGTAATTGACGGTGAGTCAGACTTAGATTGCCCTTTTAATAAAAAGATGATACAGGCTAAGCAGCAAGGATATGAAGCAGAGGGTGGTGATGCTATTGGAGATGCATTGCAGTGCCTCAGATTTCAGAGGAGGGAGGAATCGTGTTCAAGAGTGTGGGGAATCTGGCAAAACTTTGTTGAGGAGGTGGCATTTGAGCTAGTTTCTAACTTTCTCTGCTTTAGTTTCATACCCTGAAGATGATATTTAAATTGTTTCTTATCTCATTGGGTTGTTACCAGCATCAAATAAAACAGTTTGAGGGAGTGCTTAATACCTGTCACTTAGTAAGTCATCAACAAAGTTAACTATTGCTATTTCAGGGGCAATGTTAGGTCAGGATCAAACACAGGGTTTTGAAGGTATCCAGGCCTGGGTTCAAGCCCAGTGTGGTGTGATTATGAGCACTTAACAGCTCTGAGCCCAATTCCTCATCAGTAAAATGGAGTGAGTGACAGTACCTCCTTCATAGGTAGGCCAATTATATGAGCTAATGCTAACATAATATCTGGAAAATAGTAAGTTGTCAGAAATTGTTAGCTATGGTTACTTATTATCTTTTGAGCTAGTCTTGGAGGATGGGTAGGATTTGGGTGAGAGGAAGAACATTCCAGATAGATAGTGTACCCCAGGCACAAGGTGTACTGTGATTGGTGAGGCAGTCACTGCGATTGGTGAGGAGGTCACTGCAGCTGGGCAATATAAACTCCATGAGGCAAAGAAGAGAGTGGAGAGAGCCCGGTGGTCTTATGTGCATGATGTTGAAGATCTTGCTGGGCTTCTGTTGCTCCCTTGTCCCTCCTAGTTCTGTGTCACACCTCTGTAGCCAGCCTCAGATTTTTCCACTGTGGCTCATCATTTGCCAACTTTGTGACTCTAATTGCCTCATAACCAGACTCCCTTTCTCCTCTTACACCTCTTCCATCTCTTCTCTACACAGAAGCTCTTAGAGTGATTTTTTTTTGCATTTTAAAATTTTTTATAGATTTAGGGGATACAATGCAGTTGTGTTACATGGATATATTGTGTAATGGTGATGTCTGGACTTTTAGTGTAGACATGACCCAAAGAGTGTACATTTAAAAAATGCAAACTTGATCACCTACCTCATCTGCCTAACCCCTTCAGAGGTTTCCCATGGCATTCAGGACAAAAATCTAAAGCCCTTATAATAGTTTAAAACTTTCTGAATGATCTAGCTTCTTATTTGCCCTTGTATCAGTCAGCGTTCTAGCAGGAAGATAGCATAATCAAAATGGGTAATTACAAGGGTGTGGACAGGATCTGAGAAAACTGACAAGAGGTGGTGCAGTCCCCTGTGGGTAAGAGCTCAGGGAGCTGTTATTACCTCTTAGTCTGTAGGAAAAGTGGAGAGAGCCATTGCAGGGCCCATGGAGCAGCTCCACAGAGAGGACCGCCAGATAGAAGCCATGGCCATAGGTAGAGGAGTGAAGCCAAACATAGCCACCTGTCAGGGTGGAAGCTGGGAGAATAAATACTTTGATTTCATTCTCCTCCTACCCTCTGCTCTCTTGCCAGGGCCTCTTGTTGACAGAATAACCAGAAGCTAGAAGGCAGGGAAAGCCATCAATATAGTTCATACAGGCACAAAATAGGTTGTAAGTGTGTGGCAAATGCATCTGGAGGGGCAATTGGAAGTCTCTAGTAGGCCCTTGTATAGTTTCTCTAAGGTGCCATGTACTTCAAATATGCGGCTTCTTTTTGTCTCCCCATACTTCCCCCTTCACCTAGGGATGCTTGCTTTCTTCTACTTTTAGTCTGCGTATCACTCACTCACTGAGGAAGCCTTCCTTAACATCCCTCAGTTTAGGTCATCACATGTTCTCATGGCATCCTCTAGTTATCTTTTGATATGCTTATGAAAATTGCATCATAATTAATTGTATAATTATTGGATTAATCATAGTTTCTCTGTTAGCCTGAGAACATAAGACCCAGTGGTCTTTTTTTCCCACAGTATCCTCAGCCTTGAGAACAGTGGGCTTCGTAGTAGAAGACCAATAAATATTTGTTAAGTAATTAAATACCTAATACTCATATAGTCCAATCTTTAAATTTCTCCTTATATGCTACCAAACCTTGATTAGAGTCAGTCTTCCTAACTTTAGGAGTGAACTTGACACCTTAGTGAGCAAATAAAGCAAGATAGTTCAATAATTTTTTTAAAAATTATATTTAAGTTCTGGGATACACGTGCAGAATGTGCAGGTTTGTCACATAGGTATACACGTGCCATGGTGGTTTGCTGCACCCATCAACCCGTCATCTACATTAGGTATTTCTCCTAATGCTATCCCTCCCCTTGCCCCCCACCCCCTGGAAGGCCCCAGTATGTGATGGTCACCTCCCTGTGCCCATATATTCTCATTGTTCAGCTCCCACTTATGAGTGAGAACACGCAGTGTTTGGTTTTCTGTTCCTGCGTTAGTTTGCTGAGAATGATGGTTTCCAGCTTTATCCATGTCCCTGCAAAGGACATGAACTCATTCTTTTTTATGGCTGCATAGTATTCCATGGTATATATGTGCCACATTTGCTTTATCCAGTCTATCATTGATGGACATTTGAGTTGGTTCCAAGTCTTTGCTGTTGTGAATAGTGCTGCAATAAACATAAGTGTGCATGTGTCTTTATAGTAGAATGATTTATAATCCTTTGGGTATATACCCAGTAATGGGATTGCTGGGTCAAATGGTATTTCTAGTTCTAGATCCTTGAGGAATCGCAACACTGTCTTCCACAATGTTTGAACTAATTCACACTCCCACCAACAGTGTAAAAGCGTTCCTATTTCTCCACATCCTCTCCAGCATCTATTGTTTCCTGACTTTTTAATGATTGCCATTCTAACTGGTGTGAGATGGTATCTCATTGTGGTTTTGATTTGCATTTCTCTAATGACCAGTGATAATGAGCTTTTTTTCATATGTTTGTCAGCTGCATAAATGTCTTCTAAGTGTCTGTTCATATCTTTCACCCACTTTTTGATGGGTTTGTTTGTTTTTTTCTTGTACATTTGTTTAAGTTCCCTGTAGGTTCTGGATATTAGCCCTTTGTCAGATGGATAGATCGCAAAATTTTTCTCCCATTCTGTAGGTTGCCTGTTCACTCTGATGGTAGTTTCTTTTGCTCTGCAGAAGCTCTTTAGTTTAATTAGATCCCATTTGTCAATTTTGGCTTTTGTTGCCATTGCTTTTGGTGTTTTAGTCATGAAGTCTTTGCCCATGCCTATGTCCTGAATGGTATTGCCTAGATTTTCTTCTAAGGTTTTAGGTCTTATGTTTAAATATTTAATCCATCTTTAGTTGATTTTTGTATAAGATGTAAGGAAGGGGTCCAGTTTTAGTTTTTTGCATATGGCCAGCCAGTTTTCCTGACACCATTTATTAAATAGGGAATCCTTTCCCCATTGCTTGCTTTTGTCAGGTTTGTCAAGTCTCAGATGGCTGTAGATGTGTGGAGTTATTTCTGAGGCCTCTGTTCTGTTCCATTGGTCTATATATCTGTTTTGGTACCAGTACCAAGCTGTTTTGGTTACTGTAGCCTTGTAGTATAGTTTGAAGTCAGGTAGCATGATGCCTCCAGCTTTGTTCTTTTTGCTTAGATTGTCTTGGCTATACAGGCTCTTTTTGGTTCCACATGAAATGTAAAGTAGTTTTTTCTAATTCTTTGAAGAAAGTCAATGGTAGTTTGATGGGGATAGCATTGAATCTATAAATTACTTTGGGCAGTATGGCCATTTTCACAATATTGATTCTTCCTATCCATGAGGATGGAATGTTTTTCCCTTTGCGTCCTCTCTTCTTTCCTTGAGAAGTGATTTGTAGTTCTCCTTGAAGAGGTCCTTCACATCCTTTGTAAGTTGTATTGCTAGGTGTTTTATTCTCTTTGTAGCAGTTGTGAATGGGAGTTCACTCATGATTTGGCTGTTTGTCTATTTTTGGTGTATAGGAATGCTTGTGATTTTTGCACATTGATTTTGTATCCTGAGACTTTGCTGAAGTTGCATATCAGCTTAAGGAGATTCTGGGCTGAGATGATGGGGTTTTCCAAATATATAATCATGTCATCTGCAAACAGAGACAATTTGACTTCCTCTCTTCCTATTTAAATGCCCGTTCTTTCTCTTGCCTGACTGCCCTGGCCAAAATTTCCAATAATATGTTGAATAGGAGTAGTGAGAGAGGGCATCCTTGTCTTGTATCAGTTTTAAAAGGGAATGCTTCCAGCTTTTGCCCATTCAGCATGATATTAGCTGTGGCTTTGTCATAAATAGCTCTTATTAAGAGAAACATTCCATCAACACCTAGTTTATTGAGAGTTTTTAGCATGAGTGGGGTGTTGAATTTTATCGAAGGCCTTTTCGATATGTATTGAGAAAATTGTGTGGTTTTTGTCATCGGTTCTTTTTAAGTGATGGCTTACGTTCATTGACTTGTGTAAGTTGAACTAGCCCTGCATTCCAGGGATGAAGCCAACTTGATTGTGGTGGATAAGCTTTTTGATGTGCTGCTGGATTCTGTTTGCCAGTATTTTATTGAGGATTTTCACATCGATGTTCCTCAGGGATTATTGGACTGAAATTTTCTTTTTTTTGTTGTGTCTCTGCCAGGTTTTGGTATTAGGATGATGTTGGCCTCATAAAAAGAGTAAGGGAGGAGTCCCTCTTTTTCTATTGCTTGGAAGAGTTTCAGAAGGCATGGTACTAGCACCTCTTTGTACCTTTGGTAGAATTTGGCTGTGAATCTATCTGGTCCTGGGATTTTTTGGGTTGGTAGACTATTAAGTACTGCCTCAATTTCAGAACTTGTTATTGGTTTATTCAGAGGTACGACTTCTTCCTGGTTTAGTATTGGGAGGGTGTATGTGTCCAGAAATTTGTCCATTTCTTCTAGATTTTCTAGTTTATTTGCATAGAGGTGTTTATAGTAGTCTCTGATGGTAGTTTGTATTTCTGGGGGATCGGTGGTGATATCCCCTTTATCATTTTTTATCATGTCCATTTGATTATTCTCTCTTTTCTTCTTTATTAGTCTGGCTAGCAGTCTATTTTGTTAATCTTTTCAAAAAAAGCATTTCCAGGATTCATTGATTTTTTGAAGGGTTTTTCGTGTCTTTATCTCCTTCAGTTCTGCTCTGATCTTAGTTATTTCTTGTCTTCTGCTAGCTTTTGAATTTGCTTGCTCTTGCTTCTCTAGTTCATTTAATTGTGATGTTAGGGCGTTGATTTTAGAACTTTCCTGCTTTCTCTTGTGCGCATTTAGTGCTATAAATTTCCCTCTAAACACCACTGCTTTAGCTGTGCCTGAGATTCTGGTACGTTGTGTCTTTGTTCTCACTGGTTTCAAAGAACTTATTTATTTCTGCCTTAATTTCATTATTTACCCAGTAGTCATTCAGGAGCAGGTTGTTCAATTTCCATGTAGTTTTGTGGTTTTGAGTGAGTTTCTTAATCCTGGGTTCTAATTTGATTGCACCGTGGTCTATGAGACTGTTATGATTTCCATTCTTTTGCATTTGCTGAGGAGTGTTTTACTTCCAATTATGTGGTCCATTTTAGAGTAAGTGCAGTGTGGTGCTGAGAAAAATGTATATTCTGTTGATTTGGGGTGGAGAGTTCTGTAGATGTCTATTAGGTCCACTTGGTCCTGAGATGAGTTCAAGTCCTGAATATCCTTATTAATTTTCTGTCTCATTGATCTGTCTAATATTGACAGTGGGGTGTTAAAGTCTCCCACTATTATTGTGCAGGAGTCTAAGTCTCTTTGTAGGTCTCTAAGAACTTGCTTTATGAATCTGGGTGCTCCTGTATTGGGTGCATATATATTTAAATAGTTAGCTCTTCTTGTTGCACTGATCCCTTTAGCATTATGTAATGCTCTTCTTTGTCTTTTATGATCTTTGTTGGTTGGTTTAAAGTCTGTTTTATTAGAGACTAGGATTGCAATCCCTGGTTTTTTTTTTTGCTTTCCATTTGCTGGGTAAATCTTCCTGCATCCCTTTATTTTGAGCCTATGCATGTCTTTGCATGAGAGATGGGTCTCCTGAATACAGCACACTGATGGTGTGCTTTATTCAATTTGCCAGTCTCTGTCTTTTAATTGTGGCATTTAGCCCGTTCACATTTAAGATTAATATTGTTATGTGTGACTTTGATCCTGTCATGATGATGCTAGCTGGTTATTTTGCCCATTAGTTGATGCAGTTTCTTTATAGTATCAATCGTCTTTACATTTTGGTATGTTTTTGCAGTGGCTGGTACTGGTTTTTCCTTTCCATATTTAGTTTTTCCTTCAGGAGCTCTTGTAAGGCAGGCCTGGTGGTGATAAAATCCCTCAGCATTTGCTTTCTTGTCTGTAAAGGGTTTTATTTCTCCTTTGCTTGTGAAGCTTAGTTTGGCTGGATATGAAATTCTGGGTTGAAAATTCTTTTTTTTTTTTAATATTGAATGTTGGCCCACACTCTTTTCTGACTTATAGGTTTCTGCAGAGATATCCACTGTTAGTCTGATGGGCTTCCCCTTGTGGGTAACCCGACCTTTCTCTCTAGCTGCCCTTAATATTTTTTCCTTCATTTCAACCTTGGTGAATCTGATGATTATGTGTCTTGGGGTTGCTCTTCTCAAGGAGTATCTTTGTGGTGTTCTCTGTATTTCCTGAATTTGAATGTTGGCCTGTCTTGCTAGGTTGGGGAAGTTTTCCTGGATAATAACCTGAAGAGTGTTTTCCAACTTGGTTCCATTCTCCTTGTCACTTTCAGGTATACCAATAAAATGTAGGCTCAGTCTTTTCACATAGTCCCATATTTCTTGGAGGCTTTGTTCATTCCTTTTCATTCTTTTTTCTCTAATCTTGTCTTCACGCTTTATTTCATTAAGTTGATCTTCAATCTCTGATATCCTTTCTTCCACTTGGCCAATTTGGCTATTGATAATTGTGTATGCTTCACGAAGTTCTCATGCTGTGTTTTTCAGCTCCATCATTTATGTTTTTCTCTAAACTGGTTATTCTAATTAGTAGTTCCTGTAACCTTTTATCAAGGTTCTTAGCTTCCTTGCATTGGGTTAGAACACGCTCCTTTAGCTCGGAGGAGTTTGTTATTACCCACTTTCTGAAGTCTACTTCTGTCAATTCATCAAACTCATTCTCCATCCAGTTTTGTTCTCTTGCTGGTGAGGAGGTGTGATCCATTGGAGGAGAAGAGGTGTTCTGATTTTTGGAATTTTCAGCCCTTTTGCACTGGTTTTTCCTTATTTTCGTGAATTTGTCTACCTTTGTCTTTGATTTTGGTGATTATCAGATGGGGTTTTTGTGTGGACATTCTTTTTGTTGATGTTGATGCTATTCTTTTCTGTTTGTTAGTTTTCCTTCTAACGGTCAAGCCCTTCTGCTGCAGGTCTGCTCGAGTTTGCTGGAGGTCCACTCCAGACCCTATTTGACTGGGTGTCAGCAGTGGAGGCTGCAGAACAGCAAAGATTGCTGCCTGTTCCTTCTTCTGGAAGCTTCGTCCCAGAGAGGCATCTGCCAGATGCCAGCCAGAGCTCTCCTCTATGAGTTGTCTGTCGACTCCTCTGGGAGGTGTCTCCCAGTCAGGAGGCATGGGGGTCAGGGACCCACTTGAGGAGGCAGTCTGTCCCTTAGCAGAGCTCAAGCACTGTGCTGGGAGATTTGATGCTCTCTTCAGAGCCAGCATGGAGGAACATTTAAGTCTGCTGAAGCTGCACCCACAGCCGCCCCTTCCCCCAGGTGCTCTGTCCCAGGGAGATGGGGGTTTTATCTATAAGCCCCTGACTGGGGCTGCTGGCTTTCTTTCAGAGATGCCCTGACCAGAGAGAAGGAATCTAGAGAGGCAGTCTGGCTACAGTGGCTTTGCAGCACTGTGGTGGGCTCCACCCAGTTTGAACTTCCCAGTAGCTTTGTTTACACTGTGAGGGGAAAACCTCCTACTCAAGCCTTAGTAATGACAGACACCCCTCCCCGCACCAAGCTTGAGCATCCCAGGTCGACTTCAGACTGCTGTGCTGGCAGCAAGAATCTCAAGCCAGTGGATCTTAGCTTGCTGGGCTCCATGGGGTGGGGAGAGGGGTGGGGAGGGGATCCGCTGAGCTAGACCACTTGGCTCCCTGGCTTCAGCCCCCTTTCCAGGGGAGTGAGTGGTTCTGTCTTGCTGGCATTCCAGGTGCCACTGGGCTATGAAAAAAAAAAACTCCTGCAGCTAAGTTGGTGTCTGCCCAAACGGTCACCCAGCTTTGTGCTTCAAACCCAGGGTCCTGTTGGTGTAGGCACCCGAGGGAATCTCCTGGTCTGTGGGTTGTGAAGACAGCGGGAAAAGTGTAGTATCTGGGCCAGATAGCTTTGTCCCTCACAGCACAGTCCCTCAAGGCTTCCCTTGGCTATGGGAGGGAGTTCCCTGACCCCTTGCACTTCCCGGGTGAGGCAGCGCCCCACCCTGCTTCTGCTTGCCCTCCATGGGCTGCACCCACTGTCTAACCAGTCCCAGTGAGATGAGCCAGGTACCTCAGCTGGAAATCCAGAAATCACCTGCCTCCTTGTGGTGGCTGCAGGTCTCGCTGGTAGCTGCAGATTGGAGCTGTTCCTATTCGGCCAGTTTGCCTGGGAATCAAGAAGTATTTTTGAGTGTCTACGATTTTCTAGGCATTGATAAGGGTAAGGGATACAGAGATGGATGATATTTGGTGCCTGTCCTCAGTGGGGCATAGTCTCATAGGGGAGATTGTTGCATAAACAAGTAAAAACACGGAGTGCTACAAAAGCTATTCTAGCTGTCTAAGCAAATTCATCTCTGGAGTACAGATAAAAGAGCAGGGCATTCTCTCTCTGTCTTAGGGTTGGGGGAAGTTTAACATTGGACATTTGAGCCAGACCTTGAAGGATGGATATGGTTTGGCCAGGTGAAGGACTTCCAGGGAGATGGAACAGTGGAAACAAACAGGAGAACATAGCACATTAAGGGAGGGACTTAGGTGACCCATGTACTTTCCACAATTAGAAGTGTACATTAGCCAGTGGAATTTTCCAGGAAATTTTAATGTCAGTGGTGATCTTCCACAAGCAATAACATGAGAGGCAGAAAGCAAGGAGACATTGGAAAACAGGGGAGGAAGAGGTATTTGAAGGCCCACAAGGAAAAGGGGAAGTGGGAAAATAGCCAGAAGTAGCAAAGAAGACTCAAAGGATGACAAATGGGTTTATATATTAAAAGAATTCCTGATGAGTTATCCCTTAAAAAAACCCAAGTCTCCATCAGTCCTGGTCCTGGTGTTTGACTTATGATCTGAAAACAAATCTGTCATGTCCTAGGACAACTTGTGCTTTTGCTGAGGTTCCTGAGTCTGGGGCATTGGGTGGTTTGGTTGGCACTGCTCTGTGGTACTTTTGAAATAACATTTCCCCCGACTGCCAACTTAATAGTACACTCTCCTTATTTAGAGTTTTTGTCAATACTCCTCTTTAGACTGTTTCTGAAAGCATCTTTTGACAGTTCATGGTCTTGTCACCTGCTGATTCACCACATTCATTTCACATCACATCATTTCACATCGTTTCAACATCATCTTCTCAATTTCTGTGCAGGATTCTGAAACCAGCAAGTATTTTTCATAACTAATATATACAATTTACCTAACAGGCATGTGTTGTTTGTGCTGGGTATTGTGCCCAGTGTTGGAGAAACACAGATGAATAAGACATTGCCCTTACCCTCAGGGAGCTTACAGTCGAATGGAGGAGATAAACACAAATCAGATTTTTATAAAAGTAGATGGTAAATGAAATGATAAAAATAGTCACAAGGTCTTATGGAAAAGACAGAGGAAAGTCCCTGAGTTGGTGGAGGGAGGGCATGAAAGCCATCTGGGCAGGTGACATCTGAGCTGAGCCTCAAAGAAGGACTGGGCATTAGTCAAGCAAAGGCGAATGGAGAGAGGATGCTCCAGGTGGGATGGGCACCTTGTGAGTACAAGTAGGGATAGGGAATGACAAATGAAAATGAAGTCGGTGAGACAGGCAGAGATTCTGGAGGACTATGAATGTCAGCAGTTTGTTTCAGTTGTTTATTTTTAGTAGATTGAGATTATGGGCAGCCATAGTAAGATTCTGTGGTCAGAACTACATTTTAGACACTTTGTTGGTTGTGAGAAACATGCACCTGAGTGACACAAGATAGACTGGGAAAAGCTGGTTCGAAGGCTATTACAATTCAAGTGAGGGATGATGAGTGACAAGGGAGTGGAGAAGGAGACATCGATTTTCGGAAGTAGTAAGAAGGTCAAAGCAGGTAGGACTTGGTGATTGATTAAATATGGAGGTGAAGAAGACAGAAGTGTCCAACAAGATGTTCATGCTTAGATCCTACTTTAATATCTATGAATGAAGCAGCTAACTACTCAGATAAGGTATACACATGAGGTTAGGTCCTGGCTTGGAAGCCTGACCCAATTACTTAATAATTGTGAACCTTCTATAGTCATTCAGCCTTATCAGGTCTCAGTTTCCCCTTTTGTAAGATGAAATCAGAGGAGTGGCTTCACAGAGTTTTAATGAAGATTAAATAAAGGCTATGAAGGCAATTGTAAAGTTGAAAGAGGTAATCACGTGTAAATGTTATTGCTCATGTGTTGCCACTGTGATTTTGACCAATTGGATCTTGCATTTCTGTTTGTAGTTTGCGAAATAATAACTTCTTCCAGTATCAACTATGAAGAAGACTAAATTTTGTAAATAGCATTAAAACTTTGAATTTGGGGGTGGGACAGAGTAGAAGCAAGATAAGATAAAGTGATACCTAATCATCTTTTGCCCTGTTTTAAGCAATAGTCCTCTGTTCTTCTTCATCTTCTTTTTTTTTTTTTTTTGATATGAAGTCCCGCTCTTGTCCCCCAGGCTGGAGTGTGATGGCATGATCACGGCTCACTGCAACCTCCACCTTCTGGGTTCAAGCAATTCTCCTGTCTTAGCCTCCTGAGTAGCTGGGATTACAGGCACCTGCCACCATGCCCAGCTAATTTTTGTGTTTTTAGTAGAGACGGGGTTTCACCATGTTGGCCGTGCTGGTCTCGAACTCCTGACCTCAGGTGATCCACCCGCCTCCGACTTCCAAAGTGCTGGGATTACAGGCATGAGCCACCGCACCTGGCCCGTCTTCTTTTTAATTTAATAGCATTTAACTTAAAAAAAAAAACCATTAGATTGTAGTCATATTGTAGCAGTGATTATATCATAAAATATGTAAAAGGACTGAGCAGTGGTAGATTCATAGTTTGTTCTTAACATTAATTTTCTTTCTTCTTTCTTCAGAAAGAAAAATTTATTTTAATCACCAGTGGTTTGAGCTCCAAATTTCTGTAACAAAGAAAACTCAACAATGTATATAGGAAAGCAAGACCTAATGCTTTTTTGCTCAACATCATCACTTTTGATTATTGGAAGTTTTTTTTTTTTTTTTTGACAGGGGAAGTAACAGCATTTTGAAGTTTTTTGTCTTCTTATCAGTGGCTCTCAAATAATTGCCAGTTTTACTAAGTGACTTAAGAGTTTAATAGTTGTTCATTTAAAAAATTAATACCTTGCTAATAGACAGCAATAAGACCTGGAGAAAGTTGGCTTTAAAATGTGTTTTTCATGGACACATAGAGGGAAACAATAGACACTGGGGCCTACCAGAGGGTGGAGGGTGGGAGGAGGGAGAGGATCAGGAAAAATAACTAATGGGTACTAGGCTTAATACCTGGGTGATGAAATAATCTGTATGACAACTCCCTGTGACATGAGTTTACCTATATAATAAACCTGCACATGTACCCCTGACCTTAAAAAATGTGTTTTTAAAACTGTGGCTAACATTCTAGAGAATTTACTACACTTCAGACAAAATATTAAAGCCCTAGTAAAAATAGTTGACTCAGTAGGATCTGGAAAATTGTTAATCCTCTCCAACTTTCCCCAGTTGGAACTTTCAACCACTTACCAGCCATTTAGCAGCTAAACAGAAACAGTTCTCTGATAGACACAAAGCTCTGACTTCGACCAGATCTGCTTTTTCTCCTCATGGTTAAAGGAGAAAATACAGCATTCTGGCTTAAAAGAAAGGAACAAAGAGTTCTGAACATCTTGTGGAGCGAGTAGTTATTAACAGTTATGTCCAGAGTTAGGAAAAAGTTGATGTGATATGTTTGTGTGTGTGTGTGTGTGAGTGAGGGGAGTGGACTCGTAGAGGAGGAGAGGTTTAATTTTGTCATATGAGAAAGAAAGTGTTATGGTACCTTACAAATAGGGGACTTGTTTTCAGTCTGGACTCCTCTGCCAAAGGGTCTTCAAAACCCCTCCAATAGCTAAGTTCACAGCTGAGTCCAGAAACCAGATACAGAGCTAAAAAATAGACTATTCAGGACAATATGAATCTGGTGAGTAAATAGTGGCCTAGGTAGGCAGAGAGCCTCTGCATCTCATAGGCTATTGGATTTTCAAGTAAAAATACAGATTGCAAAGTCAGGATATAAAGATTTAGTAAAAAAAAAAACTAGAGGTGCACATCCCTGCCCAGATAGAGCAATGAGAACACACACAAAGCATCCAGGCCCACCCAGTGCTGACACATCCCATCAGCTGTACCCATGAAGAGTTTTCTCCTGCTTCTTAGAAAGGAGGAACTTGAGATAGGAAAGAATGTGTACTTAAGAGTATACATTAGGCTGGGCGTGGTGGCTCACACCTGTAATCCCAGCACTTTGGGAGGACAAGGCAGGCAGATCACTTGAGGTCAGGAGTTTGAGATCAGCCTGGCTAACGTGGTAAAACCCCATCTCCTCTAAAAATACAAAAATTAGCTGGGTGTGGTTGCACACACCTGTAATCCTAGCTACTCTGGAAGCTGAGGCACGAGAATCGCTTGAACCCAGGAGGCGGAGGTTCTAGTGAGCCGAGATCACATCACTGCACTCCAGCCTGGGAGACAGAGTGAGACTCCGTCTCCAAAAAAAAAAAAAAAAAGAGTATATTTAATACATTGTCTCAGTGAGTTTTTTCTCACTGAGTAATTGCCCCAGTACTTTTCTCTATCCCGTAAGTCCTAAGTTAGTTAAAAAGAAAACTCTCGGCTAGGCGTGGTGGCTCACGCCTGTAATCCCAGCACTTTGGGAGGCCGAGGCGGGCGGATCACCAGGTCAGGAGATGGAGACCATCCTGGCTAACATGGTGAAACCCTGCCTCTACTAAAAATACAAAAAAATTAGCCAGGCGTGGTGGCGGGCACCTGTAGTCCCAGCTACTCGGGAGGCTGAGGCAGGAGAATGGCATGAACCCAGGAGGCGGATCTTGCAGTGAGCCGAGATCGCGTCACTGCACTCCAGCCTGGGCGACAGAGCGAGACTCTGTCTAAAAAAAAAAGAAAAGAAAACTCTCTAAGTCACCCAAATTACAGCGTGCAGGACAGTTGAACCAGGCCAGCCATCCTTTTGCAGAATTCCCTCTTGAGGTGCTTTATTCATACATGTTGCTGTGCCATCAAAGCACAGTAGTCCCCCTCCACAGAGGTGTGAATAAAATAATTTCTTCCATACATCCTCCCAATCCTCCCACCCCACCCTATATGTCTAGCCAGCTGCCCTTTTATTGAATAAGCCGTTCTTCAGCGCCTCTTATGAGAATTACCCACTGTATCATATATATGAAATTCTGATATGTAAGTAGTCTATTTTATGAACTCTTTCATCTCACTGATCTGTTTCTTTACACACACACCAATTCCAGTTTATTTTTTAAACTTTAACTTTATAACAAATTTAAGCTGACTGGGCTAGTATCTCATTTTTCTTTTCAAAAATACTTTTTCTTCTTATTTTGATTTTTCTGATGTTGAAGTTTCCTATGAATTTCCGTACATTTTGGCTAGTTTCTAATTCTCCCCCTGAACAAGTCATCTCTTTCCCATCTTCCATACACTCACATTAAAGCCTTTTAAAATGCCCTTCAGTAGGTGTTTTAATAATGTCTGCATGGATTATTTCTAACTTACTTGTTTATTCACCCTAATCTTCCGATGAATACAGAGAAACTGCAGCAACTTGATGGAACTATCGACACAAAAGGATGGTACCTCCCCCACAGTCAGATTGTTATTTTATTCTCTGCTTATTTCATTTTGTAGTACTTAGATCTCTAATTTTGTTCATGATAATCCAGCAGATTTAAAAAAATTTTTACACTTAAGATTCTCTCTCTTGGCCTGGCACAGTGGCTCAAGCCTATATAATCCTAGCACTTTGGGAGGCCAATGTGGACAGATCACTTGAGGCCAGGAGTTGGAGACCAGTCTGGCCAACACGGTGAAACCCCGTCTCTACTAAAAATACAAAAATTAGCCGGGCGTCATGGCGCATGCCTGTCATCTCAGCTACTTGGGAAGCTGAGGCAGGAGAATCACTTGAATCTGGGAGGCGGAGGTTTGAGATAGTGCTGCTGTACTCCAGACTAGGCAACAGGTGAGAGTCTGCCTAGAAAAAAAAACCTCTCTCCTTTGACCTCTCCTCCTCATGCTCCCCAGCCAGAATCCTCACCTTTAGCCAAATTCTTCTCCTTGTAGTTACTCAATAAGTCCTGGTCCTCTTTGGCCATCCTGACCCCCAGAGGCTTCTCCTTTCTCTAAAGTCCTGAAGCATGTGTAGCAAATGTGTGTAATATTCACATGATCCATTTGCCACTAAGTCAACCTGATACAGTTATATCATTCTTTTTTTTCATCCGCCCTCCCCTCTCCTTTTCCTCACCTCACCTGAGATACCTACATGTTTCAGGCGGCATCCTGCACTTTCTTTTCTTTTCTTTTTTTTTTTTTTTGAGAGGGAGTCTCACTCTGTCACCCAGGCTGGAGTGCAGTGGCGCGATCTCGGTTCACTGCAACCTCCGCCTCCTGGGTTCAAGTGATTCTCATGCCTCAGCCTCCCGAGTAGCTGGGATTACAGGTGCCCAGCACCACTCCCAGCTAATTTTTTTATTTTTTAGTAGAGAAGGGGTTTGACTATGTTGGCCAGGCTGGTCTTGAACTGCTGACCTCAAATGATCCACCCACGTTGGCCTCCCAAGTGCTGGGATTACAGGTGTGAGCCACCTCACCCAGGCCTGCACTTTCTTTAACCCCTTATTTTGCTAACACTTATGCTTTTCCACCACACCTAGACCATTGTCTGCTCTTACTGGACTATTTTACAAATGGGGTTTGAGGTAAAAACTAAAAAATTTCCAGTAGTGAAAATTATACTTGAAAATCCCTTTAGTGCAAACGGAATGGCTGGTAGCATAGTCTACTTGGCAACAAGCAGATTTGTTAGTCCTTTCACTTCCCCACTTGCCTCTGGGAATATGCCCTTTGAGTGGAACGGTGGGTGGCTGGCACCGTTTCAATGGTGATCTTATTTGCTCTCTTATTTGCTGAGCCACAAAGTTGTATTCTAGTCATCTAAATGCCCTAAAGATGATAGCACATCATATTTAAGTTCTTCCCATTTTCCTGGCCTTCCCAATTCCCGCTACCTCCTTGAAGCTTCCACAGATATTCCACAGCGAGCCTTCTCCTTTCGGGATCTCTTTGGCCTTCGGAGCTGCTTTTTGGTCTTGGTAGCTACCAGTGTGGTGCTTGTCTTTTTCAGAGCAACTCACATACTAGGAGCGTGGATTCTAGAGGGGCTTGAAACCTGATCCTGTCACCTACTAGCTGTGTGATCTTGGACAATTGGCACCTTCGATGTCTTCACGTTCCTCATCTGTGAAATGGGTTTCTACCTCACCGGATTCTTATAAAGATTACATGAGTTAATATTTCTAAGTGCTTAAAACAGTGCCGAGCCCAAAGTAAGCAGTATATGTTTTTCAGGTTGTATCCTTTTACTTAATATTGGAGTTCCTGTTGAATGTAGCTAAAGAAGGAAGAAGAAAATAGTGTACAAGAGCGCTTACTATTAACTGAGACAAATGAATTGGCACCTTTTTTGTTCTCCAAAATGCAAAACCTGCTCCTTTTAATAATAATTAAAAAAAAAAAAAACCAGTTCGCAACTTCCCTGACTCTTTCACTGAAACTCCGTAAGTGATCTTCAAGATCACTTACGAGGTTTCTCTCAGTTACCACTAACTGTGGTTAAAGTACTGACATTTTTATATTAATAACTATGAGGCTGAATTCTCAAGTACTTTCTTGATTAGGCACTGAAAAAAGACAAGCTTGCAGAAAATGAGTTGGCAACTTGGCAACCCCCCAGGGTGTTTTTCCAAAGGCAGCTCTCAGGCAACGTGTTGAGTGAATGCTGTAAGAGACCCACTTGTGTAAGCCCCACAATTATCAGCTCCTTGCTTAGTAGCTTCTTAAAATGTCTGCTGGGTATTCTATGAATTTGTTTTTCTGTAATAATGATTGTAACCTCCTCAAGGTCAAAGGATTATGACTGCTCAGACTTTGTAACCCCTGGCATGGAGCTGGAACTACTGCATAGCTCAATAATTTCCTGCTGATAGATTGATTGTTAAGATGGGTAGGACCAAGCAATGTTTAGATGCTGCCAAACCACAGTGGGAGAAATCCTACGAATAATAGTACAACTCCCCACGATTCCTTTCTACTCTGTCTTCATTGGTGCAACCTACAACTAAGAACACTGATTCCATCCTAGTTTCTCTCATCCAATAATGAAGGGGAGCAAAAGCTGGGAAGGAGACAGAAGTGAAAAGCCTGGATCATCCAATTTAGAGGTTTATTGAGTGAGTGTTGAGTCCTTTTAGGAGAAAGCATGGTCTCCCTGAATCTTCCATTTGAAGGAGCTGAAAGGGAGAGTGACTTCTATGGCATTAGTCAACACCAGGGGGCAGGAGAGAAAGCTGTATGAATGGAACAGGCTGAAAGGGTGGTGTGAGTAAATGGCACAAGCATGTGAAAATTTCCACCACGGTTCTTGGCACCTAGCAGTACGCTATATGTGTTAGTTGAATCCCAGAGTTTTAACGCCCTTGAAAAATTATTTCTTAATTAGGTCGTGTATGTTCATTGTAGAAAAATTAAGAAAAACAACAGAGCAGCAAAACAACGAAGACATTTTTAATCACTCATAATCTCACCATTCCAAAATGAACTGTTCACATTTCTGTAGAGCACATTCTGTTTTCTATGCATGGATACCTTTCCCTCAAAATGCGATCACCATAAATTGTTATTCATGTTTCTCCATAGTTTTAACTGGTAATATTTACTATTTAGCTCAACATATAATCATGGGTAGAGGAAAAGAATACCCAGGGTTCTAGTTTTGGCTCAGACCTAGCCAGCCCCTGGCAAGCAGCTTGACCTGTCTAAGCTTTCAGTTCCTCATCTGTGAAATAAAGAGTTTGATGCCTATCACCTCCTACCTCCATAATTCTAACCATTGATGGGTCATTAAAATAAGACAATATGGTGCAGCGGTTATTGCTCTGGTATCAGCCAGGCTCTAATCCCTGCTCTACCTGTGAGAACCTGGGCAGGTTTTTTTTTTGTTTTTTGTTTTCGAGATAGAGTCTCGCTCTGTTGCCCAGGCTGGAGTGCAGTGGTGCAATCTCAGCTCACTGCAACCTCCGCCTCCCGGGTTCAAGCGATTCTCCTGCCTCAGCCTCCAGAGTAGCTGAGAGTACAGGTGTGCACCACCATGCCCGGCTAATTTTTGTATTTTTAGTAGAGATAGGGTTTCACCATGTTGGCCAGGCTGGTCTTGAACTCCTGGCCTCAAGTGATCCACTGGGCAGATTTCCTGACCATTCAGTGTCTCCGTTTTCTTTTCTCTAAAATGGGATTAATAATTGGACATATCACATAGGGTTGTTGTGAGGATTGAATTGATAGCACATAGTGTTTGGCACAGAGTAAAGGCTCAACAAGCAGCAGCTATTCTCAATATTTTAGCTCAGGCACCAGGCGCCTTGAGGTGATAGAGTAAAAACTCTAGCTGAGAGATCAAGTAGAAACTTGGGAACTAGCCCGGGTGGAACACAGGCACTGGGCATCGTGCTGAGTCTGTTCATTGGCACCATCTTACTTCATCTTCAGAACGTTACTATCTCTGTTTTACACATGAGGAAACTGAGGTTAGAACTTGCCTAGATTCGTGTAGCTAGTAAGTGTCAATCCAAAGACCTTCCAGCTAGTTTTGGTTGAGCTAAAGGGGCTAGAAGACCTGCCATTAGTTAGATATTTCATTTCAAAAATAAAACCCAGGCATGAAGTCCCTTTCCCAGTGATATTCAGTGTGATTTTTTTCTTCACTCTAATAATTTTAACAATTCCACTGTTTGACAGTTGTTTAAAAGACATAGGAATTTTTGTATATTTTAATTGACTAATGGATAGCTCAATTAGGGGAGCAAAACTAGGATGTGGGTTTTATAAAAATAATTTAGACTTGACTTAGACATTTAATTTTACAGTTGTAAATGATGGTCTAAAAATTCTTCAAACTAATCAAAATAATGAAACTTCAGCGAAAGTGAGTGGCTCAGAAGGCCCATGAAACATACGGCGTGATTTTTTAAATTTTATTTTAACATTTTGATTTCCACACCACTGCCAAAGGACGTCAGAATTGAGTAAGGGGTTTGGGTTGACTGCTGCCTCTTGACCGGCTGTATGTGTGAAAAGGGTCATTTCACTTCCGGCTTTAGTGTTCCCCGCAGGGGAGAAAATTGAAGAATAGACAGAAATACGAAGTGTCTTTTAATTAAATGCCACCTTGGTGTTTTATGGGGCTCGTATGCTTTCCTAACAACATTTGTTAGATAAGTTGGTAATTCCCGGCAGCTGTCTACTGTGTGGTGCATCTGTGAACTCATACTAATCGAAAAGCATGCAGCCAGTTTGGGATCGCGCAGGCTAAGGTGAGGGAGAAATGCGGATACACCGGGTAATGAACGATATAAACATTTCAAATGCGATACACATTCGGTTTGAGCCACATCTTCTGTGTGCAGATTCACCCGCAGTGACCCACAAAGCTATTCCCAAGTAACAGCCGCCCCAAGCCTGAGGCACTGGCGCCCCGCCTGGGCGAGGCTGGCTGCGCTCTCTCTTGGCCGGCGCCCGCTGCATGCGGTACGTGCCTGCCCGGCCCCTAGCCCAGGGTTCCCGTTACGCGGCTGGTTCCAGCTGGCCGCGGAGTCCCAGAACCTCCCCGCGATGCCCAGATAGCTCTCTGCACGTCTCGCCCCGGGGCGATCACGTTGCCGGGGCGAGGGCTGGCGCCCCAGCTGGGCGCTGGTTGGTCGCGCCCTGGGGCTCGAGGCCCGGCGATTGGTCCCAGGGATCGGGTCACGTGCTTGGGAGCAGATAAGCGGCCTCTAGGCGCCGGGCCCTCAGTCTCTCCCAGCGACCGCCGCGGGGGCAAGGCCTGGAGCTGTGGTTCGAATTTGTGCAGGCAGCGGGTGCTGGCTTTTAGGGTCCGCCGCCTCTCTGCCTAATGAGCTGCACCAGGTAGGTTCGCTGCAACTCTGCGCGCTAGGAACACAGGGGAACGCGCAGCTGTGGGGAAGTTGGGGGGCGTTTCAGTTCTATCATCTCTGGAAATGGACACCCCAGGGGGAGGACAAGTGGACTGACTGCGTAGTTGAATCTGGCAACCGAGAGGCCTTGGAGGTGTAGAAATTTGGCTCTATTTCTTAAGCAGAGCCTATTTTAGTAATCAGCATCTTAAAGCAGAAATTATCTTAACGTGAATCAGCTTGAGTTAGGATTTTCTCATGGATGCGGCTGTTCTTTTGGTCCTGCACAAATGTCCCAAAGACTCGGGCAGCTGAAGTGGTGAGAACAGCACTCTGACATTGCTGGTTAGGTGGTTTAGCTTGGAGGAAAAAAATTACAGGACGACGTTTGCATTCATTCGTCCTTCTTATCACAGTTTGCCATAGCAAAATCTCAAGAGTTTGAGCAAACGATTACTTTTAACTCTTGTCCAGGACTTAAAGTTCCAAGGAAATCACCCAAACTAAAACTGTCTTTCTATAAATGCAAAAAGTAAAAAAAAAAAAACAAAAAAACCAAAAAAAACCTCCCATAAAACTACTTTAAATAGCTTCTCCAGACATAGCTTAGCAGAAGACTTCTCTAAAAATCCTGCCTATTAACTATTATTAGACCCACAAATATAGCTTTAGCTTTCATTTGTTTGTTCTAAGTTTGCAGATCTCCCAGAAAAACCCCAGAGCTAACACAGTAAATTCTGCGAGTGTTATTACACACTTTTGTGATAATGACCACTTGCATACATGTTTAGAGCTGCTGTGAGGAGAGTTACTAAAGCCAGACTGAGAAATGTCGTGTACAGTATACACACACCTCTTACTTGTAAGGCTAAGATAGGGAAAAAAATCTTAATACCATAAGCTTGGAAATATATGATGAGGGCTAAAGGTCAGAGAAAAGTCTTCTTTATAGATGCTTCTTGGTTTAATATTGCTGAGCATAGTCATGTTTAAAACTTTAAATGGTTTTATTGTCTTTCTACTTATAAATGTCTATTAGAAAATGCCAAAAAAGAACAAAAACGAAAATAGATAATCTATAATCCTATCACCCAGAAATAATAATTATTAAATTATTAGGAAAGGTGTATTTCCTATAGAGTTTTTCAATATTTATAAGTTTGTATATATAAAATGTATATTTTAAAACACTCCAACTTTCAGGTAATCAGTTTTTCCACTTAAATGTGGACTTGTCATGGGCATCTCTTTAGGTGAATTATCAATTATATAGTTTTTAAGTGCATATGAATTGTTGGCTTGTATTTCAGTGGTTATTTGTGAAAAATAAGAGCATGATAATCAAAGTGCAAAGATGATTCTTTGACTTCTTCTCTAGCCTTCTCACTCTCAAAACTGTTGCATGTTATTTTTTTTTTTTCAAGTGAATTACCTTACCAGAGAAGTGTCAATCAATTTAGCAGCAAAATAAGCCAACGTAGCCAGAGGGAGCAGAGGGTCTGGAACTGTGGCTCCTGAACCTGTCTGGTCATTAGAATCACCTGGGAAGCTTTAAGAACATACCCATCCCTTGGCCCTAGCCCCAGAAGTTCTGCCTCAGTAGTTCTGAGTCCCAGGAATTGGAAAGAAAGAAGAAAGAGAAAGAGAGAGAGAGAGGAAGAAAGGAAGGAAGGAGGGAAGGAGGAAAGGAGGAAAGACAAGAAAGAAAGAAAATGAATTCCCTAGACATAGTGACCAGACAGGTTTGAGGACCACTGGTCCAGAACAGAGCACACAGTTCTCAAGGCTGCCTTGGAGATAATCAAATCGAACCCTTTTATTTCTCAGATGGGGAAACTGAGACCCCCATCACCCTCTAAGTGTTTTAAGCAATTAATAGCCTTTAGCCGGCCAAGGGTAGAGGTAGACATAGAAGATCTGATCACTTAATACTGTTCTCTTTTACTACATATGATAGCACCTGCCTGATATCTAGTGCACTGGCTATAATTCAGTCAGCACAAAAATAGTACATATGTATTTGGCACTGGGGAAGAGCATTTCCGATCCAGGTGATAATCCCTCTTCTTTTTGCATTCCAGAATGATCCAGGTTTTAGATCCACGTCCTTTGACAAGTTCGGTCATGCCCGTGGATGTGGCCATGAGGCTTTGCTTGGCACATTCACCACCTGTGAAGAGTTTCCTGGGCCCGTACGATGAATTTCAACGACGACATTTTGTGAATAAATTAAAGCCCCTGAAATCATGTCTCAATATAAAACACAAAGCCAAATCACAGAATGACTGGAAGTGCTCACACAACCAAGCCAAGAAGCGCGTTGTGTTTGCTGACTCCAAGGGCCTCTCTCTCACTGCGATCCATGTCTTCTCCGACCTCCCAGAAGAACCAGCGTGGGATCTGCAGTTTGATCTCTTGGACCTTAATGATATCTCCTCTGCCTTAAAACACCACGAGGAGAAAAACTTGATTTTAGATTTCCCTCAGCCTTCAACCGATTACTTAAGTTTCCGGAGCCACTTTCAGAAGAACTTTGTCTGTCTGGAGAACTGCTCGTTGCAAGAGCGAACAGTGACAGGGACTGTTAAAGTCAAAAATGTGAGTTTTGAGAAGAAAGTTCAGATCCGTATCACTTTCGATTCTTGGAAAAACTACACTGACGTAGACTGTGTCTATATGAAAAATGTGTATGGTGGCACAGATAGTGATACCTTCTCATTTGCCATTGACTTACCCCCTGTCATTCCAACTGAGCAGAAAATTGAGTTCTGCATTTCTTACCATGCTAATGGGCAAGTCTTTTGGGACAACAATGATGGTCAGAATTATAGAATTGTTCATGTTCAATGGAAGCCTGATGGGGTGCAGACACAGATGGCACCCCAGGACTGTGCATTCCACCAGACGTCTCCTAAGACAGAGTTAGAGTCAACAATCTTTGGCAGTCCGAGGCTGGCTAGTGGGCTCTTCCCAGAGTGGCAGAGCTGGGGGAGAATGGAGAACTTGGCCTCTTATCGATGAATTAAGCAACAA
This sequence comes from Homo sapiens, assembly GCF_000001405.40. Classification (NCBI taxonomy): domain Eukaryota; kingdom Metazoa; phylum Chordata; class Mammalia; order Primates; family Hominidae; genus Homo; species Homo sapiens. Next base: position 91,629,914 of record NC_000010.11, on the reverse strand, counting down.
TGTAACTGGTCTTGACTTGTCATATTCCCCCATGCAATCCTAGGTCTGTATTGCTCAATTTTAGGAAGCCTTTGCTACTCCATCAGTAGGTTTAGATTTGAGCTTTTGAGACCTGGCTATGGAAAAGAAAGACACTTGAGAATTTAGTGTTGGGGTCTGTACAGATGATGCTACCCAATTTGGCTTTGAAGGATCAAGTAACAGGTTGAAAACTATTTTTATAAAGGTAATACTTTTTCAGTTCCCTTCTTCCTTCCCTCTCAATCCACTAGCTTTCATGTTGGGCAAGGAAAAGTTGAGGAAGGATGGCTGATGGTGATGGAAAGCTGTGTTAATGGTATGAGGAATGTGTGAAAAGTATACACAAAGGGCTCTGAAGCTCAAGTCAGAGGAGTGGGAGGTCTGATCATTGTTGGTGGAAAAACGTAAGGTTATTTTGTGTTTTTAAGTTGGTTTTACAATTCTTTCCTGGGGAAATTATTTCTGGAGGGGAAAAAGATCCATTCTACGTATCCTTGTGGAGAAAAGCTAAATAACCTTTAAGAATGTGGGTGGTATTGGAGAAAGAAGATGAATTATAGCTCCGGAGAATCAAGATCTTAAGTGAAGCCTTTCTGTTCAGATGTGATCTATAAAAAATCATAATTTGGGGAAAGTTTAAGCAAATCTGGCTTTGTAGTCCTGATGTTATAAGTGACTTTGTGATCAAACTGTCAGGCTTGGGTTCTTGTTATAGAATGCTTGGTATAGAAAAACCATGCCATCATTAATGGCTAACAACACGTAGGGACTTCATGTCATGTCAAAGATAGCTCTTTGCAAGTGCCTTGATTAAACCAGAAAACTGTCATCGTTTAACCCAAATATCTGAATGGTCATCTGGTAACTCATGGGTTTTTGGCCTCATAAGATGGTCCACTCTGTACACAGGCATTCCTCCTGCAATAATGTTGTATCTTTGAGACCGTTGTCAGTGTACACAACTCACATCCTTCATATTGAAGGTGACTCATTTTTCTGCACACTTTTTTGATGTGATGCTTGACGTGAGGCCCGACACTAGGATTCTCAATGCAAGAATCCAGTACCTTGCACATAGAAGTAGCAACCCATCCCTTGCCTATTTTCATCTTGCTGTTTTCTTTTTTTTAAAAAAATGGATGTGACTTGTTTTGAATGTTTTGTATTATACTTGTTTTTGTGTGTGCATAAATTCATTCTGTAGGATCTTAAGAAAAAGAGTCCCAGAATGTTGCTTCTATTATTGTGCACAACCATTGAGAGGTGTTACAAGAATGCAGTTAATTTTAACATGTGTGATGTGCCATGGTGGAAAAGTACTATCGGAATAACTCTGCAGTGACAGAATTTGAAGTTTGGCTAGCATCCATACTTTTCTACTGTAAATATTTCACTCTCCTCTAGCTATCCTTGATGAGCTTCTCACTTTAAGAATAAATGTGTTTGATATAAGGCCTGAGTATATTTTCTTTCTCAAAGCCACAGTCAAATAAGAAACTCAACTGACATTCTCATTTTTCATTTAGGAACAACTGAGCAGAGTTAGTATGGACCAAGACATGGATCCATCTGAGGATATTCACAAGGCCCCAGTCTCAATAGTGAGCACACTTCCTACCACCTGACCATTGGGGCTGGAGAGCAGGGTCAATAACTTGAGCTGTTGCTACTACTTCTTCCCCTACCCTGACTGTCCTCATCTATGGTTTCTGCTCACACACACACAATCTGCTGGGTCAGGGTTATGTTGGAGGCCATGTCTCAGCTTTAAAATGGGGAAGGAGTTGGTGTGGGAAAGGTTGGAGTGGCTGCTACGTCTTGAGCTACAGCACGTTCCTGAACGGGCAGAACTTCCAGCTGCACAGAGGGGCATAGGGAAGGGGCAGTAGGCGCCAGTCCTGGACTGAAGGGAGCAGCACTGCTCCTTGGGGTGAGAGGCAGCAGGTCCATGAACCTAAGTTGTTGCTCCAGTTCTGCCTAAAATCTGCACAGTGTATCTAAAGAAAGATCTGCACAGTGTTGACCAATCTACTAAAAAGGCCCAATTATGAAGAATAAACTTTTATCATATCATAGAATCCTCTATGTCAGAGCTGTAAACCACAGGCCTGCAGGCTGTATCTGGGCACAGATGTATTTTATTTGACACGGGATTTTTAAAGAATTTATTGCCATGATATAACCATCAGCAGACTACATTAAAAAATCTGGGTTTACTTTTTTTCCTAAAAAAATTGTAAGGTCTCCCCACATGGCAACAAATACATGAAGTTGAATAGTAGCTGTGCCCCTTAGATGGGGCATGCATCCTAGATGGGTCAAACTGCCTTGTTTTGGCCACAGTCTCTACCCATGCCTTCACTCTCTCACACTATCTGCCGAGCTCTGTAAGAGCTGGAATTTACAGCCCCTATTTTGTTTCCTCTCTATTTATGCTGATGGTTTGGTGGACTGCCCTGTTCCCAAGGGATGGAGAAAAATCAAACTTGGGTCTGACAGGGACCTCGAAGACCATGGGGCTCAAGTGCCTAACTTTATAAAAGAAGAAACTAAGATCCAGATAGGTGAAGTGACTTGTTCAAGGTAGTGTGGCCAGGGTGAGCCAGCTGAACAGTGACTTGTCACTTAGTGTCCCTCCCTCTGCTTCACACAGCCTCCTTGAAATCTCCCATGGAGTTGCCCCTTCTCCCGCAGCCCCCTTCTTACAGGAGAGCTATTTTCAGGCAGGCATGACCAGCTTGACCCAATTTTGGGGTGACCCTGGGCAGCTGATGAGGGAGGAGCTGGTCAAAGAGCAGGGTGTTCCTGGAGCTTTACTATCAAATAGAATTAACTGCATTTCACATCCTGATATCTCGCCTAATAGTAGAAGCAACTTTGCTTTTAAAAATTTAACATGAGAGAATAACTTAAATTTGGAATGCATGATATTCTGTTCCAAAAAATATTAAGTTTAATTTAGTTATTTAAGGAAGGACTATTTTTTTTCTCTCTACATTGATGGCTCTCCTTTTAGTTCATCCCCAGACTGAAAGGCTGGAAAACTCTAGGGTGGCAGTGAACTGTGCATCTTTATCAATGTGAATCCAAAAGTTCTGCACAAGTTTGAGTGACCCTTCAAGCTGCAAAGGGAGAATCTCTTCCTCAGCTTTCATCTCTAGGTTCCTCATAGAGTTTTTTGGCAGCTACTGGGAGCTGTCATCTGAACAAACCCTCTCATTAGTGGGGAAGGATCCCAAACTCAGAGCAGTCCATGTGCACCGTTGCTGACTCCTGGCCTTGACTTTTCCCTCTTTTTGACAATGAGTGGACACCCATTCCTGGATTTGGATGGTCCCTCTAAGCCAGTGGTCCTTAACTTTGCCTGCATATCAGATTTAACTGGTAAGCTTTACAAAATACTGATGCCTCCCCCTGAACCTCATAAGATTTGGATTTAATTGGTCCAAGTCGTGCCCTGTGCATTGGACAGTTCTAAAAACTTTCCAGATGTTTCCAATATGCATCAAGTTTGAGGACCTCTGATTTAAGCTGTGTGAAGTGTTTTCAACTGTCCCGATTCAGAGAACAGAGTCATGTAATGGCTCAGAGGATTCCTCCACCCACTTACACACACACACACACACACACACACACACACACACACACAAAATAAAAATTAAAAATAAAATTAAAAATTAAAGATTAAAAATAAAAAAACCAAAAACCAACCAGACGGTGAAATAGAGGTCCATAGTGATTAAAATTTGCTGAAGATTACAGAAATAGTAGAGCTTGGCCTACTGCCCCTTCTCCAACACCCCCAGCCCTGCCCATACCATCTCCTGCTAAACAACCTGGACATGGACTTCTTAATTTTACTAATCAATTATCTCTTTTTCTCTTTTCTGATCTTTTGTGTATAGGAGTAGGTTAATGAGGAGGCTTTTTGGCACAAGTGACATGATCCCTTGACTCACGTATCTTCAACTACAAAGGAAATAGATTATCCTACAATACAAGATGCAAGGTAGAGTGTTTTCAAAGTTGGTTAAGTCAGTGGCTTAAACTCAGGTTATTTCTGTTTTTTTCATTTTACCATCCTCATTACTCTTTCTTTTTCTTTCTTTTTTTTGTTTTTTGAGACAGTCTTGCTCCATCACCCAGGGTGGAGTGCAGTGGTGCAATCTCAGCTCACTGCAACATCTGCCTCCTGGGTTCAAGCGATTCTTGTGCCTCAGCCTCCCAAGTAGCTGGGACTACAGGCGCGCACCACCACACCCAGCCAATTTTTGTATTTTTAGTAGAGATGGGGTTTCCCCATGTTGCCCCGGCTGGTCTCGAACTTCTGACCTCAAGTGATCTGCCCACCTCAGCCTCCCAAAGTACCAGTATTATAGGCGTGAGCTACTGTGCCCAGCCTATCCTCATTACTCTTGATTGTCCCTGTGCTAACTTCCTAATGATAAGATGGCTGCCATAGTTTCCAGGCATGTTAAGCAGACATAATAGCCCCACCAGGAGAAGGAGCCTATCTCTTCCTTGTGTCACTTTTTTTATGGGTGAATAAACCTTGTCCAGAAGCTTCTCTTATCCTCCACTGCAGACTTGCAGACTCTCCCCTATGTTTCACTGACCAGAATTAAATCATGGTTCTGTACGTGAACTAGTCTCTGCACAGGGAAATGGGACTTCATGATTGGCTCAGAAAAGTCAGGATTCCCACCCCACAACTGCCCACTCAGTCAGGGGTTAGAGAAGGTCTAGCCTTCTGAAACACCAAGTCATTTAGTAGAAGAATACTGGGACTCCATCTCATGGCTGCCCTTGACACAGGCATTCATAAATGGTTGAGGCCCATTGTTTCAGCAGCAACTCAAAAACAATTATTCACAGGGCCAAGGTAATACAAGCCAACTTTTCAGTTTGTAATTAAGGATAGAAATGAGTTATCCAGAGAAGCAGATGAATCACATACTTTTCACATATTAAGAAATTAGGTCTGGAGTCAGACAGAACTAGATTTAAATCTCTATCCCACCAGTTTTGTGGTGCAGCCTTCAGCAAGTGACTTAATGTCTCCAAGTCTCAGTGTTCCTATCTTTAAAATGGGAACAATAACAATTCCTACCTCACAGAGTGATTATGAGAATAAAGTGAGATCATGGAGATGATGTGTTAACAAAGTATTTGGCCAATAGTATGTAATAAATAAATATGTATTGTCACTAATACTAATGATAAAAAGTTTCCCCACAAATTTTTCTTTTTACAGTGTGAATCTTAAATTTGAGATTCTTTTCTCAAATAAGGACTTAGTACTAATATTAGTATTCTGTGTTACTGATTGGGACAGAACAGTATCTGAATAGCACTGTAGGAAGAGTCACTCATTCATCCAACATATATTTATACAGCACTAACTATGTGTTTGGCACTGAATATATAGTGATGAACAAGACAAGACAAACATGATTTCTGCTGTCATGGAGCATGAGTGCTGGAGACATTTTCACATCTCTACCCTATCAGTTCATAGTAACACCCCAGCTGGATAATTTTGGGTAAGTTGCACTATCACTCAAGTCTCAATCCTCTATGAAATGGGTTGATTATTTACAAGCTTGTCGTGAGGCTTAATAACAACAGTGGTGTATTAGTCTATTCTCATGCTCCTAATAAAGACATACCCAAGACTGGGTAATTTATGAAGGAAAGTGGTTTAATGGACTCACAGTTCCACATGGCTGGGGAAACCTCACAATCATGGCGGAAGGCAAAGGAAGAGCAAAGGGACGTCTTACAAGGTGGCAAGCAAGAGAGCTTGGGCAGGGGAGCTCCCATTTATAAAACCATCAGATCTCTTGAGACTTATTCACTACCATGAAAACAGTATGGGAGAAACTGCCCCCATGATTCAGTTATCTCCACTTGGCCCTGCCCTTGACACATGAGGATTATTACAATTCAACATGAGATTTGGGTAGGGACACAGCCAAACCATATCAAGTGGCTTATAATTATATAACCCTTATTACATGGTCAGCACGATTCTAAGTTATAGCCTCATTTAACTCTCACAACAGTTCTATGAGGTTGGTTTCTCTTATTAACCTCATTTTACAGATGAGGAAACTGAGGCACAGGCAAGATTTGTGACTTGTCTAAGGTCAGAGGGTTAGTAAGTGTTGGAGCTAAGACTTGAGCTCAAACTTAAAAGTTTGTGGTCACAACATTTACACTGTGATACTTCTCAAAACTCTTATTCATAGTGTACCTTTTAAGTATTTTGTATATTTGTATTTAACCCAGTTCTTGATATATTTGAGTTGACATATACCATTTTATTATTTGTTTTGTATTTGACCCATTTGTTTATGTTCCTTTTCATTTCTTGTTTTCTTTTGGATTTTTTTGGTTATTCTATATTTTCCAGTTTATTAACTTAATAGTTACAGATTCTTTTCTTTTAGTGATTACCCTAGTGATTACAACACACATCCTTTATTCTTACAGTATAGTGAAAATGATCATTTTGACACCTTCTTTGATAAAGCTAGGACCTTAAGCACTTTACCATCCTCCTATCATTTGCATTTTTATTATATATTTTAATTCTAAATATACTTTAAGCCCCATGAGATAGGATCATGTTGTTTTGTTCAGTCACCATTATTTTTTTATTTGTCTGTGTTTTACTCCTTCTGTTATTCTTTCTGTATTTCTGTGTTTCCGTCTTGGATCATTTTTCCTTTGGCCTGAAAAAAATCCCTTTAGTATTTCTTTGAATGTATGTTTGTTGGCGAAGAAGTCTCTCAGTTTTTGTTTAATTGAAAACATCTTCAGCTTTCATTTTTGAAAGACAGTTTCAGTAAATATATATTTCTGGGTAGGGATTTAGGTGGAGGTTAGAAAATTCTCTGCTATTATCTCTTCAAATATTTCCTCTGTCTCATGTTCTTTCTCTTCTCTTTCTGGGACTCTGATTAGACGTATGTTATATGTTTTCACTTTGCCCCACTGTCTTATCCTCTTTTCTCTATTTCCCACTCTTTTTTCTGTCTGGGCTTCAGTTCATATATTTGCTATTGACTTGTTTTCCAGTTCACATAGCCTTTCTTTGGCTATGTCTAATTCTGCTTTTAAATACATTCCTGCATTTTTTATTCAGCTATATTTTTGAGTTAAAATTTTTATTTAGTTATTTTTTATAGTTCCCAATTTTCTGGGAACATCTTCATTTTTCATCCATTTCCCCCCTTTCCTCTATTTTTCTTGGAAATGGTAATGATAGTTAATCTCAAAGTACTTGTCTTCTAATTCCAAAATCTGAATCTCCTGCGGGTCTGATTCTGTCATATACTTTTTTCTTGTTTTTTTTTTTTCATGTGGTCTTGCCTTTTGGTATTCTAATAATGTTTGATTAAATGACAAGTATTATGTATAACAAAAATAGATATTAAAAATTTCAGGGCTGGGCATGGTGGCACATGCCTGTAAACCAAATGCTTTGGGAGGCCGAAGTGGGTGGATTGCTTGAGCTCAGGAATTCAAGACCACCCTGGGCAACTTAGCAAAACCCTGTCTCTATGAAAAAAAAAAAAAAAACCCACAAAAATTAGCTGGGTGTCATGATGTAGGCCTGTAGTCCCAGCTACCTGGGAGACTGAGGTGGGAGGATCCCTGGAGCCTGAGAGATTGAGGCTGCAGTGAGCTGTCATCATGCCACTGCACTCCAGCCTGGGTGACAGAGTGAGAGCCTGTTTAAAAAAATTTTTTTTTTCAAGAAAATAGATGAAAAGATAGAGAATTTTGCCAGATGTATAATCTTCCTTCAGAGAGTATCCACTCTTTCTTCTGCCAGACAGATTCAGGGCTGCTTGCCTCAGTCCAATCAGGGATTGAACTGAGTCAAGGCAAAGTTGCAGTCTTGGTAAAGCTAAATTTATCTTTGGTTCACCTCTGCTTGTAATCTACGACCTTCTAAAGCTGAGAGTTTGATGTTTGTGCCAGGGTTCCTCCTCCTGGAAGGTTTTGAACTCTAATCTTTGTTTCCTCAGCACACTGAATCTGCCAGAACTCCACTCTGCTTTTCAGGCTTTCTGGTGAGCCTCTTAGCCTCCTTCCCTTCAGAGTTTGGCAAATATCTTGAGTGGAAAATGAGCTGAGTGTTAGATTCAGTTTTCTGTATACACCCTCCTCACCAGGATATTGACTTCTGAATTCTTAAGTTTTCTTCTTCCCAGCTCTATGAGGCCACTAATAGCTCTATCAATGTTATTGGCCCTCATCCCAGGCAACACTCAGCTTCTCAGCTTTTTGCCTTCCCAGAATCAGCAAATACATTCAGCTAAGAAAAAAAAAATAGCTGCAGTACATCAGCTCAACCTAACTATAAAGCCCTACTTATTTAAGTAGCTCTTTAATGCCTTTAAATGATTTTTTTGGTATTTTTTTCCTGCATTTTTAGTTGACCTATATGTTATTATTATCTTCCTCAAAGCCCCTCTCACGTTCAGAAGTGGAAGTCCATCAGATCTTTGATTCTCTCTATAGTTTCTGCTTATTTCAAGCCCTCGTTGTCTCAGAAACTCTCTAATGTCTTCAAAAAAGTTTTGGGGTATTTTTTTAATGGCTTCTAGTTATTCTCATCAGGAGCATTAGTTTATTGCAAGTTACTTTGGCATAACCTTACCTGTTGTGTCTTAAATGAAATAACTTGTATAAAGCATTTAATCCAGTGCCTCATCCTATTCTAAGAAGAAGGGAATAAATATACTTTACTATTGTAAAAATTGAAGAGTATAACTAGGCTGGTAGCCTGGCTGGAAAACTATTTCACCTCTGCTCTCTAAAAGTACTCTAGGGATTATTCTAGTACCTAAAGAGGTGTTTGATAGCATCCTCAAAGTTATACCCTGTACAACATGACCAAGATGACTTTGGCCTTTAAAATTTAAAATTAAAGTTTAGATTGCCTTCTCCCAAATCCTCCAGTACAAAACATCTAAAAAGGCTAGATAAAATGCGTTCTAATTATATCTTTAGAATTATTGACCGAGCTGGGAAGAGTAAGGATGGCCTTAAAGGCCTTCTCTGCCCTCCTAAATTAAAAGAAAAAGCAGGTCTTTAGAGAGGTAAACGTGTATCGAAGCTGGCACCTGTCCTGAAGTTGTTTGCTAATCCCCAGGTTACCAACATTTGTTTTAACAGCTATGACTGCTAAGGGGACAGAAGACAAAGGATTAGGGCCCATTAAGGTGTGTGGGTGGGTTGGGAGCGTCACAGTTAATATCTAGTATAGCTAAGACCTAGAAAGGATACACTCTCAGTAAGAAAATAACATAACTTTTACAGAGAAATTCAACTAGGAAAGATGCCTGTCTCAATATTAGCTTTAGATATTAGGTGAGCGCAAAGTAATTGTGGTTTTTGCATTGTTGGGATTTACCATTTGATATTGGAATACATTCTTAGATAAATGTGGTTATGTTATACGTCATTTTAATGGGCATTTCTCATTTTATGTTTTTTTTTTTGCTAATGACTTGTTACTTGCTGTGTATGTTTATTTTAGACTATGGAAATGATGTTAGACAAAAAGCAAATTTGAGTGATTTTCTTATTCGAGTTCAAAATGGGTTGTAAAGCAGCGGAGACAACTCGCGACTTCAGCAACACATTTGGCCCAGGAACTGCTAACAAATGTACAGGGTAGTGGTGGTTCAAGAGCTTTTGCAAAGGAGCTAAGAGCCTTGAAGATGAGGAACATAGTGGCTGGCCATCGCAAGTTGACAATGACCAGTTGAGAGCGGTCATCAAGGCTGATTCTCTTACAACTACATGAGAAGTTATCTAAGAACTCACCGTTGACTGTTCTACAGTCATTTGGCATTTGAAGCAAATTGGAAGAGTGAAAAAGCTTGAAAAGTGGGTGCCTCATGAGCTGAGTGAAAATTTAAAAAATAGTCATTTTGAAGTGTTGTCTTCTCTTATTGTATGCAACGAAAATGAACCATTTCTTGATTGGATTATGATGTATCTCAAAAACTGGGTTTTATAAAACAACTGGTGATGACCAGCTCAGTGGTTAGACCAAGAAGCTCCAAAGCACTTCCCAAAGCCAAACTTGCACCAGAAAAAGTCATGGTCGCTGTATGGTGGTCTACTGCCGGTCCCATCCACTACAGCTTTCTGAATCCTGGAAAAACCATTATATCTGAGAAGTATGCTCAGCAAATCAATGAGATGCATGGAACATCACAATGACTGCAGCCAGCATTGGTTAACAGAAAGGGCCCAGTTCTTCTCCACGACAACGCCTACCACACATCGCACAACCAACGCTTCAAAAGTTGAATGAATTGGGCTATGATGTCTTGCCTCCTCAGCCATATTCACCTGACCTTTCACCAACTGGCTATTTTCACTTCTTTAAGCACTCGACAACTTTTTGCAGGGAAAACGCTCCCACAACCAGCAGGATGCAGAAAATGCTTTTCAAGAGTTTGTTGAATACCGAAGTATGGATTTTTTATGCTACGGGAATAAACAAACATTTCTCATTGGCAAAATATGTTGATTGTAATGGGTCCTATTTTGATTAATAAAGATATGTTTGAGCCTAGTTATAATGATTTGAACTGCAATTACTTTTGCACCAACCTGATAGATGGAAAAAAGCCCCAATCAATTCTTCCTAAAATTCATAACCACAATCTGGCCCTCTCATGGATTTACAACCTGAATTCATATTCTTTGTGCTCTGAAAAACCTCAAGCCCAGAATTTATTAAAAAATTGTTCTTGGTGGCTGGGCGCCATGGCTTACACCTGTAATTCCAGCACTTTGGGAGGCTGAGGCATGTTGATCACTTGATCAATATGGTGAAATGCCATCTCTACTAAAAAATACAAAAATTTTCCAGGCATGGTGGTGCACATCTGTAATCCCAGCTACTCGGGAGGCAGGAGAATAGCTTGAACCTGGGAGGCAGAGGTTGCCATGAGCTGAGATTGCACCACTGCACTCCAGTGTGGGACATAGAGTGAGACTCTGTCTCAATAAATAAATGAATAAGTAAATAAATAAATAAATATGGTCCTTGGTTGCAGTACCCAGGTGCTCGGTAAAAGCAAGCACACATGCTCTCTGCAAGAGTGCCTTCAGCCTAAGCCTCAAGGAATTTTCATGAAATACAAGCTCACACACAAAGCAATAAAAGGACAAATCTTTGAGAAAATGAATGAAGATAAAAGTGAGAACACTAGAATGGGAATTTTTTGTTAAATGTCATAACTATAGGTAATGCAGAAATGAAAAAATTAATAAGGAATTGCGAATAACTTTAATATATCTGAAAACTTAGATAAAATGGAAACATTCCTTAAAAAGTATATTGCATGAAAATAATCTCAGTAAGAAATGGAAAACTTGACTAGTCCTATAAACATATAAGATTAGTAGTTTAAGACTTGTAGTTTAAAATCTACCCGCAAATAAAATACCTGGCCCAGATGTTTTTATAGATGTTTTGTGTCAAACATTCAAAGGCCAAATATCTTTGCTCTTACACAAAATATTTCAGAGTATATAAAAAAGGGGGGAACATTGTCCAACTTATTTATGAGTTAGCATAACCTTGATACTGAAATCTTACAAAAACAGTAAAGGAAAGGAAAATTATAAGCCAATCTTGCAAATAGGTAGATGCAAAAAAATTTTACCCAATAAATTATTAAAATAAATCCAATAATGTATTTTAAAATGTATTATGATCAAGTTGGGCTTATTCCAAGAATGTAAGATTGGTTTAACATTAGAACTTCAATTATGTTAATTTGCCACATAAATAGATTAAAGGAATAAAAACATACAGTCAACTCAATAAATACCAAAAATGTTTATAAAATTTCCTACTATTAATGAAAAAAATTCAAGCAACAAATAAGGAGAAACTTTCTTAGTTTGAAAAAAGGATATCTACCAAAAGGAAAAACAATTAAAACCTGCTGCAAACATCACACTATGGTAAATGTTGAAACTCTTTTTAAGATAAGGTCTTCTATTACTATCTCTTTAAAATATTATGTCAAAAATCTGAGCCAGTGGAGTAAAGCAAGAAAGAAATAAAAGTGAGATTGGAGGGAGAGTAATAATATTGGCATTATTTACAGATAATATGTTTGCCCGTTGTAGAAAACCCAAAAGAATCTATTACTAAATTATTAGAATAAATCTGAGAATTTATCAAGGTCGTTGGATGTAAGATTATGGTAGTTTTAGCCACAATACGGCCCCCAGTGCTTCCCACCTTCTGAAATTCACATGTTCCTTGTGTGGTCTCCTCCCATATTGCACCAACGTTGTTCTGTGTGGCCAATAGAACACATCAGAAATGGTTGGTGTATCACTTCCGTGTCAGGTTATGAAAGACACTATGTGTTTCATCTTAGTTGTCCCGTCTCTCTCTCTTACTTAGATTCACTTGTGCTGGGGGAAGCAGCTGCATTGTAATGAGCAGCTTTATCGGGGAGCCCCGCGTAATGAGGAACTGAGGCCCCTTGACAACCACTGTGTGAGTGAGCTGGGCAATAGGTCCTCCAGCCCAAGTCAAGCTTTCAGATGACTGCACCCTGCCTGACATCTTGATTACAACTTTATATGAGACCCTGATCCAAAAACTCCCAGCTAAGCTGCTCTTGAATTTCTGACTTAAACAAACTATGAAATAATAAATATTTGTGGTTTTCAGCTACGAAGTTTGGGATGATTTATGGCTTAGCAGTAGATGACTAATACAAAGATCAACACCCAGAAGTGAACTGAATATCTCTATATAGGCAATAAACAATATATATGGTATATTTCTGTGTATATATACATTCTATATATATAATATATTATATATTCTGTTTATATATATTTATATTATTGCTGCTATTGCAAAATAGTCCTTTTATATATACATTATATATAGGCTACTTTACAATAGCAGCAATAATTATAATATAATTTCTTTAGAATAAATATAACAAAAGTTTCACAAGATCTTTATGGAAAAAAATCATAAAAATGTATTTAAATGTTTTAAAAGAGCTCTACAAATGAAAAACTATTCCATATTTATGGTTAGGAAGGTAATATTACAAAGATATTTATCTACTACTTTATGCAATGCCAATTAAAACCAAGATACCAATGGGTTGGTTGTGTGTGTGTTTTTAAGAACTTGACAAATTGCTTCTAAAATTCATGTAGAAGCAGAAAGAGTCAAGAAGAGTCAAAAGCCTTCTAAAGGAAAAGAACATAATGGGGGACTTAGTGTAACAAATAAGATTTCATAAGAAATCTTAGTGTAACAAGATTTCTTATGAAATTATGTAACTAATTCAGTGGGGTATATCAGTTAGCTCAGGGGTGGACAAATTTCCAGTGAAACAAGATATAGAGCCTAGAAAGAAACCTATCCATATCTGAAGACCTGGCTTATGACAGAGCTGGAGATGATGCTGAGTGGAAAGAAAATGAACTTCACAGTACTTGGCTCTGGAGCAAATGGTTATCCACGTGGAAAAACATGAAACCAGGCTCCCACCACATGTCTTGCACAGGAATCAGTTCCAAGGGATTAAATAATTAAAGATGAAAGGGAAAGTTATTTAAAACCTTTTGGAGATGAGTAGTCTTTTAGGACCTTGGAGTTGGAAAGGCTTTCTAAAATAAAAGAAAAAACACAAACCAAAGGGAAACAACTGATTAGTTTAACCACATTAAAATTTAAAATTTTGTTTTTTTAAAAAATCAAAAGACGACATAAAGAAAGTGAAAAGATTAGCAACAAACTGGGAGCAGCTGTAATTGACAAAGGAGTAGTATCCAGAATATATAAAGAAGTCCAATACTTAATAAGCAAAAAAACCTATAGAAAAACAAGCAAAAAGACTTGAGTACTCTTCACAGAAGAGAAAACATGAATGGCCAATAAACATATGAAAAGATACTCGACCTCATTTATAACTAGGGAAATGCTAATTAAAACTACAAGGAGATATTATCTCACATCTACCTGAATGGCAAAAATTTAAACATCTGTAAAAAGCAAGTGTTGGTGAGTTTGTGAACAATGGGTCTCATACTCTGCTGGTGAGAGTATAAACTGGTGCCACCACCACCATTTGGGAAACACTCTGACGCTGTAAAGTTGAAGATGCAGAGCAATTCTACTTCTATGTATATATCCTACAAAGAAACTCTTGTACATCTGTATCAAGAGATATATAAGTATGTTTATAACAGTGTTATTTGTAAAAGCAAAAATGGAAATCAACACAAATATCCACTGAGTAGACTGGATAAATAAATTCTATCATTTCAATGGAATACAAAATATAAGTGAAGATGAATGGCAGCTACTCCTACCAACATGAATGAACCTCACAAACATAAAATTGAGCAAGAAAGGCAGGTTGCAGAAAATATATACAATATGATTCATTTACATAGAGTTCAAAACCACACAAAACTGAATATACATATATATTTAATGAATATATATTTCATATATATGAAAATAATAAAGTAAAGCAAGGAAATAAAAAGTGGAACTTGGCCTAGTGATTACTTCTGGGTAGAGGGATGGAGGAAATTGGGGAGGGTTACAAAGGAGGATCCAAATTATTGCTAATAATTTCTTTCTTAAGCAAACATTTCTTTTATATACATTATATATTATTTTATATATTATATATTTTTATTATATATTTATATATAATATATTATATATTGTATATAATATTATATAATATATATTATATATTGTATATAATATATACAATATACATAATATATATTGTATATATTATATAATATATACAATATATATTATATATATTGTATATATTATATAATATATATTTGAGATGGAGTCTGGCTCTGCCACCCAGGCTGGAGTGCAGTGGCGTGATCTTGGCTCACTGCAACCTCCGCCTCCCAGGTTCAAGCGATTCTCCTGGCTCAGCCTCCTGAGTAGCTGGGACTACAGGTGCGCACCAGCACGCCCAGCTAATTTTTGTATTTTTAGTAGAGATGGGACTTCACCATGTTGGGCAGGATGGAATCTATCTCCTGACCTCCTGATCCACCTGCCTCGGCCTCCCAGAGTGCTGGGATTACAAGCATGAGCTCGGCCGTAAATAATATTTTATAATAGAAAATTATAAACAGGTTTTATTAGTACCTACAAGCACAGTAGAAATGTTTTCATTTGTATCCTATGTGGGACTTTTATTTTCTTTTCCTATTTTTTTGGGGGTGGGGTGGGGGTGATTGCTTCCCTGTATAACCTTTAAGAATAATAAATTGTTTTGGAACATCTGGGATTTGAAAGCATTGTTCTGGCAGCCTTTAGGATGTGGTTTGAATTCATGACAGTAGTTCATTTTTATGTGTTGTTTCAAACCTTCTTTACGATTTTGAGATGCCAGATTGCATCAAGTTGAGTCTAACATTCCATTGGGCTCTCACTGCTGTTGCAGACACGGAAATAAAGCCAAATCCTTAGGTGTTTCTGTGAAGGATCAGCTATTCTCTAGATTCTTAGTGCTTACACTTGGGCTTCTGGGTGACAGAAAGGTCAATCCTATTTAACATGGAAACCAACCTCCTTGGACATTCTAATTGGCACCATGTAATGAACTCCCCTTGCTGATACCACCACCTACAACAATAGGCACCTACACCACACTGCCTTTCTGACTCCTAGCACAGTATCCCAGCCCTTATTTATCTAAATGAACACCATCAAACCAGGGTGGAGACATCCTGCTGTCTTGGGAACAGTGTCAACAATTCCATTATATCACCATCTAGGTTTAGTGTGCTTGAAAACAATGATCAGGCCACACCTATGCCAAAAACTTCCTATCACAGCAACAAAAGATATCGATGCTCCATATCACAAAAGGATACAGTCATAACGATGGGCAGTGGGTGCTTCCGGCTATTTGTCAGTACAGCTTCTCACAGCCCCTCTGTCTCACTCATGCTCTGTCAATGGATTAATAGCTCAGGACAACTGTGTGTCCCATGAGTCAGAGGGGCTGGTGAGTCACATGCTTATGCCAATTCCTCCGGCAGATACTTTATCCCAGCCATTTATAATGCTGACCATTTATAATGCTGACCAGACTCAAAGTAACTAAAACCAGCTGTAACCAGAGACATGCACAGACTCAAGTGTCCAGTTATGTACTCTGTTGGATGATATGACCTTCAAAATTAATCTTTGGGTAAGCCCAGTCTATAAACTGCTTGTTCATATGTCTACTCTGGATTTATGATATACTCTCTTCCTTGTGGTAGCTGACACTCTCTGGCTCTGACTGTTTAGATCATGTGAAATCTGACTTACCATCTAGCCAGGATCTTGAGCTCATTGCTACCAAAGTCCTGACTAACAACTTTAAAAAAATGGAAAGAAACCCCCAAAGGAACTGCCTTGGTGGCAAATAACTGCACAGTTAGAGCTGCTGTGATGGAGACAGAGGTATCTGGAGGACTTTGGCTCCTGGGTGTTATGACAATCTTTGGTCCAGAGGGAATAATATCTTATAACCCTGTATTTATACATGGTATTAAAATGTCAAAGGCGAATTTTCTAGGTCTATTCTGTAATCTGATTCCAGGGCAATATGATCCCTTTGCTCTTCAGCTGACTTCTGTCTTATCATCTATGTCAAAGCTTAAGTGTCACCTTCTCAGAGTGGTCTTCTCTGACTACCCCATCTAAAATAGGTATTCCCAGCCATTCTCCCTCATTCATTATTATTTTTTAAGATTTTATTTATGAATTTAATGTAAATGCCATGAAATATATGCAAAATTCATGAAAGTTATGAACAAAACATTAACACTACTCAAGTTTTATGTGGTTTAATTTCACCAATATCCCCTGGGTTCCATGGGAGGGATTTCAGCATAACATAATTATTTTCAGTTCAACGCAAAAAAAAAAAAAAAGATTGACTGAGCTTCTACTACGTGGTAGGCACTGAATCTACAGAAGTAAGATATATTCCTGCCCTCTCTTTTCTCAAACTACACATAATATGGCCCTTGTTAGCCTTTCTAATATGGATTGAAAATCTATGTGTAGGCCGGGCACGGTGGCTCACGCCTGTAATCCCAGCACTTTGGGAGGCCGAGGCAGGGGGATCACGAGGTCAGGAGATTGAGACCATCCTGGCTAACACGGTGAAACCCCGTCTCTACTAAAAAAAATACAAAAAAAATTAGCCGGGCGCTGTGGCAGGCGCCTGTAGTCGCAGCTACTCAGGAGGCTGAGGCAGGAGAATGGCGTGAACACGGGAAGCGGAGCTTGCAGTGAGCCGAGATCGCGCCACTGCATTCCAGCCTGGGCGACAGAGCGAGACTCCAACTCAAAAAAAAAAAAAAAAAAAAGAAAGAAAGAAAATCTATGTGTAAGTGTAATTCTGTGTTTTTTTTTTTTTTTTTTTTTTTGGCAGAGTCTTGCTCTGTTGCCCAGGCTGGAGTACAGTAGCATGATCACAGCTCACTGCAGCCTCAACCTCTTGGGCTCAAGTGATCCTCCTACCTCAGCTTCCCAGGTAGTTGGAACTATAGGCATGTGCCACCATATTTGGCTAATTTTTAATTTTTTGTAGAGATGGGGTCTCACTACCTCATTCATTATTTCATCAAGTGTTGTTGGGTGCCTGTGAGGTGCCTGGATCCCTCAGGGAACTTACGTTTACTGAGCATTTATTAATGTGACAGGCGCTATGTTAAGAGTTTTGTTTACATTTTCTCATTTCGTCCTATGAGGTATGTACTGTTATCATCACCATTTTACAAATAAGGAAGCTGAGGCACAGAGAGGCGAAGTAACCTGCCCAAGATCACACAGTTAATAAGGGGCAGAGCTGGGATTTGAGATCCAGAAGTGTGATCCTGAGCATGGGCATTTCCTCTCATAGCACCCTGTTCTTTTCCTTTCTCACACATCTCACAATTAGAATTCTATGTAATAGGGTGTGAGTGAGATTTTGTTCTGTTGTCTTGGAATGGCTGCCATTGCCCAAAGGTGACCCAGAAAGTGCTAAGCACTCTGGTTTTCTAAAGAGAGCTCTTAACCAGCCTTCAGCAATGCAGTGGCAGAACTGGCCTTAATACCACCAACCCTGCCCCTGTCCTGGGTCTGTAAGGAGAAGTCTGGGCTGGAATAAGGGGCTCAGAGTTTTCAGCCTGGAGGAGGTACAGAGTTCCTTGTGAGCATATTCCCAGGAGCAGGACCAGGAACAGGGGTTTTCCCTCCTCCAAGCCAAAGGAGAGTTGGGGGTGCTAAGGGGATCACTAATGTCATGTTTACTGGCTAGACATCTGCCTGGGCAGCAGTCCTGCTGTCAGCCCTGTCCCAGGAGAAGAGAAACATTGGAGAGAGAAGGCAGGGCTGAAATACGGTGTGGCCATGGCACAGGCTCCTTCCCACAGCTTGGCTCAGCAGGATGGTTAGATTTCCCACGCGTCAAAAGAATGCTGAGGAAGGTACTGGGCCTGGGCTGACTTGCTGTGCCCCCCTCTGCCCCCCGAAGATAGCCACCCTCTGGATGAGGGTCTCCAAGCAACAAGAGTTTGTGAGGTGGGCTACAAGTGGCAAGGGCTGGGGCCTGGGGAGGAAGAGCTCAAACACCCCTTCCCCTTCCCACCCCTGCCATGGAGGGAACTACATCCTGATGAGGTGGGTAGAGAGGTGAGAACAGAGACAGAGCAGACCCACCTGGATCTATGCCAAGCCCCAGTGGCAGCAAGTCTTGGCTACTCTGGGAGGGCAGAGGGCTTGGGATCAGATCTGAGATGGAGGTTTAAACTGGTCTTGACTAAACTGAATAGCTGAAAGTGACAGGAAGTAATGGAAACTGTGAGATATTTTAAAGGGGGGGAAAGAGGAGGAGATGATTTGACATAGCAAGTCAAGGATAGTGGAAAAAAATGAAAACTACATTGTGTTTATTCTCTGTGGATTTGAAGCTTCTTGGCAAATTGGTCCATTTATTTAATTGTGTGTGCATTTATGAATCGTCTCTTTTAATCAGACTTTAAGTTCTATGAGAGCAGGACATGTGTGTCTTATTGACTGCTTTACCCACTTTACCTAGTATGGAGTCTGGCAAAATAAATGTTGAAGTGAAAAGTAAAAGACACCACTATAGGCATGGGGAAGCTTAATTGGTTATGAATCCTGGCATTCCAGATGTCTGACTAAACCCCCCGGTAGATGCTCTGGAATCTTAGATGATAAAGAACTTTTAGGAAGAGGACCTCAGGGCAGGAGTGAAGAACACGTGCACTATAGCTATACAGACCTGGGTTCAAGACACTGCACCCCATACTCTACACTCCTGTCACATAACGTAACATTAGAGCTTCACTTTCCTCCTCTGACATGCCTTGATCATGTTTACCCTTCAGGATTCTTGTGGAATTTAAGTGACATTATGCATGTAAAGGCCTCTGGATTAAAGGGAACTCTTGTACACTGTTGGTGAGAATGTAAATTAGTACAGCCATTTTGGAAAGCGGTATGATGGTTCCCGAAAAAATGGAAAATAGAACTACCATATGATCCAGCAATCCCACTTCTGGGTGTACATCCAAATGAATTGAAATCAATACGTTGAAGAGATATCTGCACTCCCATGTGAATTGCAGCATTATTCACAATACCCAAGATATGGAAATAACCTAAGTGACCATCAATAGATGAATGGATAAAAATTTTAGTATATATACACAACAAAATACTATTCATCCTTAAGATAGAAGAAAATTCTGTTATTTGTGATGACAACATGAATTAACCTGGAGGACATCATGCTAAGTGAAATAAGCCAGGCACAGAAAGATAGATCCTATGTGATCTCACTTAGAATGTGAAATCTAAAAACTTCAAACTCATGGAAGTAGAGAGTAGAATGGTAGTTATAAGAGGCTGATAGGTGGGGGCAGATAGGGAATGGGGAAATGTTGGTCAAGGTGTACGAAGTTTCATTTTTAGACAGGAGGAGTCAGTTCTGGGGATCTGTTGCACAGCATGGTGGCTATAGTTAATAATAATATATTGCATATTTCAAAATTGCTAAAAGATAGATTTTAAATGTTCTCATCACAAAGAAATCGTAAGTATGTGAGTTGATGAGCCTGTTAAATTAGCTTGATTTGATCATTCTACAATGTATACATATATCGAAATATCACATTGTACCCCATAAATATGTACAATATTTGATAATTTTGAAAATAGATAATGTGGCTCAAACCATAAGAAATTTTTGGAGTAGCCAACTTGAAACTTACAGCTTTAAGGCTAAGAACTTTGAGAGTGTGGGTGTGGGGTGCCCAATTCTATATATGGGAATGATGAGGAGAAGCTAAAGGACTTTTCAAGTGTGTGATGTAGGAGTCAGGTGGAGATTACATATGGGAAAAGGCTTTGCAAACCATGAAGTGAGGAAAAGTGTTCACACACTTATAGCCAGAACACTGCAAGAGTTAATAATGGTCCTATTGCAGGCTCAGGGGCCTATCGTTTATTTATAGAAATGCCTTGGGGAGTTACAGATGGGGAGGGAAAGCAAAGAATGTGTTTCTGTGCATGCCTGTGTGTGTGTGTGTGTGTGTGTGTGTGTGTGTGTGAGAGAGAGAGAGAGAGAGAGAGACAGAGAGACAGAGAGAGAGAGAGAGAGAGAGAAATGTACAGGTTTAGCTTTTTCTGAGTTTCTATTTAACACACACCCCCTACCTCCTCCCTTCTCCCTTTTCTACCCCCTTATCTCCAGGCTGTCTCAGTGTCACCTCCTCCGGCCAGTTCCTTCTGGACACCTTGTCTGTCCTTGAGCTATCATGTAATCCTTCCGGGTATTGCCTCAGCTAGCGAGAGCCCAGTCCTGGCAGAAGCCACCCTGCAAATAATTCACTGTGAAAGCTGGGCTTGTTCTCTTCAAAGGGTAAAGTGGGCTAACGAGAAGGGACGAGAGCGTCCCCTGCCCCACCTCCACTCCCTCACAAGTTCTCTTTGGAAACTACCCTTCCCCTTCCTGGGATGACCTCTGTCCTTAATGAAATGGGAGAAACAGAATGTCAAGACTTGTTTCCTTTCCAAATAAAAGAGGAACGCGCTGAAGTGCATTTTAAATGCTGTCTGGCAAGAGTGGCGGGTTGGGGGAAGGGAGGAGGCTGACTTGCCTTTCTTTGCTAGATATCTGGGCACTTGGCCCACACGCTCTTTCTCCGTGAGATTTGAAGGGCAATGTGTCATTCTGGGAGAGGTCTGCAGTTTCTCCAAATATAAACTTTGCTGTTCTTAGGGTCATCATGTACAAGGGCAGTTGTGTTCATAGAACATATTAGGATTTAGAGGGATAGATATTAAGTAGGAGACCCCAAAGAAGTTTTGGGTCAGATTCCTGCTCTACTCCAGGGCCAGGGCCTATGCCCAGGACAGTGGAAAATAAAAGGAGTGCTTAAAATATTGGGAGCTGTAAGGAGTTGAATGAAAGGAGCACCCTTAAGGGATAGGGTGTCTGGGAACAGCTTCTTAAGTGGCAATATGAAGGATGGGTGGAGTTTGGACAGACACAGAGGAAAAGACGGTGTTTCTGGAAGCCACAGAGCACGAAAAAAGGCAGGAGGTGGCAATGACTATGGTGTGGTGGGAAAGCAGAGAGAAATGTGGTTGGCCACAGTCTGGGGCTGTGATGAGGATGAATGTAGCCAAATGATGGAGGTTGAGGAAAGTAGTCTTTTTAAAATTTAGGTAAAAGGGAGACAGACTGAAATTTGTCTTTCTCTGGATGCAATGCAATGTGAGCAGAGGATTAAAAAGTGGCCGGATGACTCAGGGAGACAGAGAGGTCAGTTGGGGGAGTCATTGTAGTAGCTCAAGTGAGAAGAGATAAAAACCTGGACTGAGGATGGCCAGTGAGCCTGACTGGATTAAGAGGAGCAAGGCAGCCCAGCCCCTCTGAGTGAGCTGCTTTTGTGGCCTTCTAGTACAGAATGAGAAGAGGTTCTTGGCTGGGCTAGCTTGGCCATAGTTATCTAGGGACTGGAAAGTGGCTTTCTGCTTATGTGAATGACTTGTATGACAGTACTGGATGCAATGCGCTCTTGATGTTTCCTCTTCAACTCAAGAGTATAGCGTCTGTGGCTGTTTGTTTCTAATTATTTCTTTTGTAGTTGGCAGTGATGGCCAAGAATTGGAGGTCAGTGAGCATGCTTTTTGTTTGGCTCAGTGAGTGGGTTTTGATTTTTTGTGGGAGATTGTATTCTCAGAATTTCAATTGCTAACTTTCTTTTCATTAGACAGGAGTCGTGTATTTACTGACCTTTTTTTAAAGAGCCTGTGAAACAGTGATGATTTCTGAGCAGTCAAAATGGTGATGAAGAATTTGCATTTATTATTGCCATCTTGATGTGCTTATCTCTTTTTTATTTTATTTTATTATTATTATACTTTAAGTTTTAGGGTACATGTGCACAATGTGCAGGTTAGTTACATATGTATACATGTGCCATGCTGGTGTGCTGCACCCATTAACTCGTCATTTAGCATTAGGTATATCTCCTAATGCTATCCCTCCCCCCTCTCCCCACCCCACAACAGTCCCCAGAGTGTGATGTTCCCCTTCCTGTGTCCATGTGTTCTCATTGTTCAATTCCCACCTATGAGTGAGAATATGCGGTGTTTGGTTTTTTGTTCTTGCAATAGTTTACTGAGAATGATGATTTCCAATTTCATCCATGTCCCTACAAAGGACATGAACTCATCATTTTTTATGGCTGCATTGTATTCCATGGTGTATATGTGCCACATTTTCTTAATCCAGTCTATTATTGTTGGACATTTGGGTTGGTTCCAAGTCTTTGCTATAGTGAATAGTGGTGCAATAAACATAGGTGTGCATGTGTCTTTATAGCAGCATGATTTATAGTCCTTTGGGTATATACCCAGTAATGGGATGGCTGGGTCAAATGGTATTTCTAGTTCTAGATCCCTGAGGAATTGCCACACTGACTTCCACAATGGTTGAACTAGTTTACAGTCCCACCAACAGTGTAAAAGTGTTCCTATTTCTCCACTTGATGTGCTTATCTCATATTGCATGCCTGTATCAAGACATCTCATGTCCCCCATAAATATATACATCTACTATGTACCCACAAAAATTAAAAATGAAAAAAATTTTAAAAAGAGAGACAACTTCCTTAAGGACTTCCTAACTCAGATCCTATTTACTACTATTCTGCACACAATTCTAATCAAATTAACTTCTTGTTTTCTAGACCACAGAACAGTGGAGGGTTAGAAAGCGTTTATACGTGTCAGGAGTCTCTCTCTCTCTGTATGTGTGTATGTGTGTTTGGTTATGGTGATGGCAGGCACAGAGGCAACAGTGAAATGGAATAGGTAATGATCACATAGATGGGGCAAGATGAAGCAGCTTTAAAAAGCTCAAGAAGCATAGCATCCTGGGACTATTGATTGTCCCCAAATCTGAATAATCCACAAGGGCATTTCTGTGTGGTATAATCACTGAGTTTCACTGTGATAACTTTAAATTATTAAGAGAATGTTAAGTTATTTTGTTGCTGAAACACCAGAGGTTTGGTCCAGGTCCTGCTGCTCACCACACAGAAAGCCAATCACTGAGACAACAAGTATTGCCAAGGAAGAAGGCTTTAATTGGGTGCTCCATCAGGGAGATGGGAGCTCAGTCTCAAATCCATCTCCCTGACTGACTAAAACTAAGGGTTTATGTAGCAGGGAAGAAATGTAACAATGTGTAAGGAAACAAGAACTAGGGAGAGGCAAGGAGGCATCTGGTGCCATGCTCTGGTGCATTTCAATTCTTTGATACTTTTTTTGAGAAGCTCTGAAGGAGGAAGGAACTCAGATAAAACAAATACAAGTTTTAAGCTTTAACAGCACAAGGGCCGATTTCTATGTTTATCAAAAAGAACAGTCTATGGGAGTATCAAGTTGGTTTCAATATTCTAGATATTCTGTTTAAGAATAGTGGGAAGGACACAACACTTTTTAGGAAGATTCCATCTTTATGAGGGTTAAGAAACTCAAATACTTTCAAGAGCCAGCAGGTAAAGTACATTAGTGAAGCAAATCAGGTGTATAATAGAAGGGGTGGCATGTCCAAAGACTCAGAAATTCAATTTAAAAAATAGTCAGTGCCAGTTGAAACACATATACCAGCTAAGTTCAGCCATCAGGATGCTCCTGTGAGATTCTTGGTCTAAGTGCTTAAATTTAAGTTTCAATGCTGGAAGATTTTTGGAAAGTCCTGAATGAGGAAGAATTTGCTTCCTAGATGTAAATAGCCTGGCCCTCAATCATAAATATTTGACAGGACCTTGTCTAACAGAGAAAACATTGACCTTTCTGTTGTCTTTCATGTACTAGGTCATGAAGCAGAAGGATGAACTGAGTCATAAATGAATCATTTCTCTTTAGGAGTCTCAGACTTAGCAAGGAGATTAACAAACCA
This sequence comes from Homo sapiens, assembly GCF_000001405.40. Classification (NCBI taxonomy): domain Eukaryota; kingdom Metazoa; phylum Chordata; class Mammalia; order Primates; family Hominidae; genus Homo; species Homo sapiens. The sequence continues at coordinate 91,605,336 of NC_000010.11, read as the reverse complement.
CATTGAAGAAATTCTTCATCCAATATCCTAAAACTTTTGTCTTCTTGAGAACAAACCAGCCCTTTTGAGACTCAAATGTCTCAAAGGGCAACTGGAAATGCAATCATTCCTTTGTCTAGAGAAATCCTTTCTTCTGAAATCAGTTATTTCTGACTTCATGTCAGCTCTGACTGCACTGGGCTACTAGATATTAATGCTTCAAATTATATTTGCTTTGGGCAATCCAGAATTGCAGGAGAATTGAATGTCTCTTAGCAAATCCTTTGCCATATTTGGAGAATAAAAGAAGCCTCTGCAAGTAGAGCCTTCTGTAGCTATGGGCTACATTTATGATTTGTTTTCACTGTCACCAGTCCCAAAGCTGGGCTTCTTATTGGTTTTCCAGTAAGTTTATTTTCACAAGATCAGTATGTGTGTGGTGGGATCTGATAAGACTTTGCTACAGGAAAGAACAACATTCTGAAGTCTGACTTGCTTTTAGAAATCCTTGGTCCTAAGTCAAAGTTGGAGACAGATTTATATTTGGAGCTAAAAAAGACTAAATGAGACTCGGTAAACAAGCAAATGAACATGGAACTGGACCCTCAGGAGAAGAATTGCAGCTTTGATAAATGGCAACCTGATTTGGAAAAGAGATGCCTTTATTAAACAGTCTAGTAGCCAAGTGGCCTGAAATGAAGGGTTTGCGATAGGTTCCCAAGCTGACCACACGAGGCAGGGCTCTGAATTGCAATGGATTCTTTCATTTACCACTAAATTAATTCCTTATCAAAATAGTGCTTGCCTCTGAAAGAAGGTTTTCATAATGAACAGAGAATTTACTTGCAAAAATTTGTCAAATCTATTATACAGTCCTGGAGAATTTGCCCCTTAGGTCAATGGTACTGGTGTTTGAACTAACCTCGCGGTGCCTTAAACTCAGAAGGATTCAACTTAACTTCGTTCCTTTTTGATCTTGAGATTTGGAGAAGCCACGGCATTGTTGGAATGTATTCCATGTTTTTAATATAAATGCATGATTTAGTTTCCATCTTCTGATTTATGCTTTGGGGGTAACAGTACAACCTTTTACAAGTAACAGCTGTTAGGATTACAAACAGCTATTTGTCTGTGCTCATTGTGAGTTCACATTAGGAATGAGTTGAAACGGATAAACCCAAGGTATGCAGGTTTGGCAGCATTCTTGTTTGTCATTTATTAATCAAGGGGAGGCTGGTTTCCTGCTGTGGGTTGCAGCCCATTCTCCAACTTCTGTGCGGATGTAGGGGATGGGTGCTGATGATTGAGAAATGCAGATAATCCTTGCCGTGCATCCACTTAACAGTTACTGAGTGCCGAGTGCTGACTGTGTGCCAGGCACTGGCTAGCCCCCAGACATTCACAAGCGAGTACAGAAAGACATAGTTCCTGCCCTCAAGAAGCTCACAGTCTAGTGGGAGAGTCAGACATTAATCAGACACTCTCCTAATAACTTGAATTATAAGCTGGTGTAGGTGTCATGAAGGAAAAGCCATTGGTGTTAGGAGGGCCCAGAAGGGAAACCTGACCTAGTGTGGGAGTCTCTGAAGGCTGAGATCTGAAGGAGGACACCCACCAGGAGAAACCAGGTAACCAGATGAAGCAGGAAGGGGTGATGCTGGGGATTTTCCAGTTAGAGGGAACAGCATCCACGTAGGAGTACCTGGCTGTGTAGAAAACTCCATCTTGTTTCATGGGAACAGCCTTCTTACCCATGGAAGACACCACAGCTTATAACACCTACCAAACTCCTACCTGTTGTCCAAAGACCATTTCAAAAGTTGACTTCTTTATGAAGCATTCCTCAAACCCCACAGTCAGATGCGATTATTTTCATGCTAGATCTTCTCTTATATACCTGATATAACATTGACAGGACCCTGTGTTTTGAATTTGAGAGGCAGAATAAGCCTATGGAGCTGGGCTCCCTGAGTTCAAATACTGACTCAGCTATTTATTTGCTGTGTGACCTTGGGCAAGTTGCTTAACATCTTTTGTATTTCTGTTTTGCCCTTTGTAAAATGAGCATGTTAATGGTACTTTCCTCAGGTTTGCTGGGAGAGTTAATACATACAAAGTCCTTAGTTCAGTGCTTGGCACTTAGTGAAACCTCATTAATGTAACCTATTGTTATTTAGTTCTGAGAAATATCTATTTCCTTATTAGTTTTGCCAAGTGCTCAGATCTGGCAAGAGTTTAATGAGGAACTCCACCCATATCTATTAACATCTTGTCTAGTGTACATCCTGGAATATGGGGCTGCTTTCAATCACAGTGCCTCTCAAACTTTATGTGTGCCTGAATAACCTAGGAATCTTGTTAAGATGCAGATTCTGATTCAGCTGGTCTGAGATGGGGCCTGACCTGTATTTCCAATAAGCTCCCAGGCGATGCTCATGCAGCTGGTCTGTGGGGCACACACCGAGTGTCCAAAAATTGGAATAATTCTCGGGGTCATTTCTGCATAGTATAATCACTAAGCTTCAAAGTGAGAACCTGTCTCTGGAGGAAAGACAGGAGCCCATGGGAGGAGGAGGGGACTCAGTCTATAACACCTGCACCCAGGCACTGCACGGCGTGGTCTGCTTTTCACCTGCAGAAGCTGTTCAGTCAGTGTGAGGTGAATGTCATCAGCTGCCATTGGTGGTCTAGTGTTTGAGGACTTTAGTCAAGATTCTTCAGAGATGACTAGAGAGCAACAGTGAGAGAGGAAGTGAGGGAGATTTATTTTAAGGGACTGTAGGGCAGACTGGCATGCTGTAAATTCAGAGAAGAATTGATATTGAAATCTCTAGTCTGAGATTTGTAGGGCAGGCTGGCAAGCTGGAAACTCAGGCAGAATTTCTCGAGGCAGAATTCCTTCCTTCCCAGAAAGCCATTATTTTAGCTTTTGAGGCCTTCAACTGATGAAATGAGGCCTGCCTACATTATAGAGTACCTTCTGCTTTCCTTAAAGTCAATGTAATTGTAAATGTTAATCACATCTGAAAAATACCATCACAACAACATCTAGACTAGTATTGGATCAAACACCGGGACAACATAGCCTTGCCAAGATGACACATAAAATTAACCAACATGAGGGCCAAAGAACATGGCCTGTTCCATGGCCTCAGATCATACCTTTCATCCCTTCCATGTCAGAATGTGGACGAACCCCTGGAAAGCCACCTCCCTTCTGGGGCAGAGATTCTAAGGGGTTGGCCCCCACCTTGGGATTTGAAGGGTGGCGTTAGCATTTGAGAGTTGCGTTTGAGGTGGTTTGTGCTCTGTTATGCCCAACTTGGGCCTAATTAATGAACTCCTTTGGCTAAGTTTTTTAGTGAAAAACAAGAAGGTCACTCCAATTCAAACAGCTACCTACCTTGGAGTGCCAAGCACAGGGCTGAAAATTCAGATCCTGTTTACTGGGGGCCACACCACTGGATTGTAAGCAGCAGGCAGTTCTTTCCAAGGGGTCTTGGAGAGCTTCTAAGTCCCCTGCTGTGGTCTTGACTAATTCTGACAACAGAGAAAAGGGGCAAAAAATGCTCTGTGGTCCTCAGGGAAATGTCCAGTGAGCAAACGCCATGCCATGGGAGGGCCGTAACAGGCACATCTGAGACTTCACATTTGTCTTTATTCAGGTGTCCCAAGGCACTTTCTAGTCCATGATTTCATGTCGTTTTCAGTATAGCCTGGTGGGACAGGCAGTGCAAATGGTTAACTTCTGCTTTTTATCCTGATTCGAGGAAATGGTACCATCTCCTGGTGCAATCGCCTCGAGGTGGATGGCAGATAGGCAAGTGCAAGGCTGTGGAACCTGGTCGACTTGAGTTGGAATTCCTGCTTCACCCATTACTATCTGAGTGGTCCTGGACAAGTTACCACAACCCTGTGAGCCTCAATTTCTGTGTCTGTAGTAATGACCTTGAATGTTTGAAGTGAGGATTGCATCACATGGCTCAGTGTCTGTCATCCAATAGATGCTTGACAAATGGGGGTAACTTTTTTCCCAGGGAAAAATGTATCAGGGGGAAAAACCTGGGGAAGTCCTGAGAATCCCCCTTGAGTATTTTTATCATGACTGCAGTAGACATGCTGTGGGGTGCTGCCCATCATTCCCCCAGCAGCCCTCTCTGGCCCTACTGAGGCTCCTGGTTTGTACTGAGTGCCCTATCCTTAATTGCAGCTAGCTGGGTGAAGGAAGCCTGCTTGACCAGGATGGACTTGGATTCCTCTCCTGGGAATTTAGAATGGGGACACTGAGGGACTGAGCCATTGAGCTGTTGGGAACTGAGCTGAAAGGTTGTAAGGTCTTGGGAACTGAGGCAACTGTGATGATGACTGTGCACACTGAGGTAGTGGCAGGGAAGCCCTTAGATGGAGAGAATGGGAGATGTGAGAGGAGGTATAATGAGGAGAGATGGGTCATGCAGGCCTTGGAAGATAGAGCCATCGTTCTTAACAGCTTCCTGGTTCCCATGAGGCCAGGTGGAATCTTTCCTACCCTTGGATTCCATGGGACCTGTATTATAATGAGTCAGCTGCCTTTTGCTATCTGGCTTGAGTGTGTATCTATTCCTCATTATGAGAAGATCCATGATGAGGAGCAGAAAGATGAAGAAATGGGGGTTCTGAGAAGCACGATTACTTGACGAGCCTAGACGCCCAGGCCAAGGCTCCTGCTCTTGGCTGCCATGTCTGGCAAGTGCAGTTGTTACAATGGCCATTCTCTCTGGTCTTGGGCTGCTAATAGGGAGTCCGTGGAGGTAGGTTGGGGAAGGAGGTGTGACCTAGGAGGGAAGATGTGGTGCTGACCCTGCCTGATATTTTCCCTCACTGACTCCTGCTTTCCCCATGTTCCATGCAGCTGCTCATCCAGGCTCCGCTCAGAGTTATGAAGGTGCTTCTGGTGTCTTCCTCCTTGAATTGGGCACTGGTTCGCAGTGGCCCTGCCTATGTTTCTCTGAAGGGGAGAAGTTATTTAATTAGTGGAAATGGATCCCAGGGGATCTGGTTCAACTTGGCTCCCATCCAGTGAATTCATCTGGCTTAGAAGTCAGGTTTCCCTGACCTTTTGGACAAAACCAGGCAGACTAGGGCCTAAGCATAATAAAGAAAAACCTGGGGAGGTCTTGGGCACTCCCCCTTGAGTATTCCAGAGTAGCTGGTCTGAGCTTAGGGCTCACCGTGGACATCATGGAGCTGGAGTGCTGCAGGGAGCCTGGGTACCACCTTAGACTTGGCTGTCCCATGGGGTAGAATGTTGAACATCCCACTAGGCTAGAACTGTGCTTCCCAAATTTGAGGGCACTGAAGTGCTGACTACATCAGAACCACAGGGGCATTTGTTAACATACAGATTCATGAATCCCTTTTTCATTCACGATATACAGGATGAGGCCTGGGAAACTCTAGTTTTAACAAGTACCAGGTGATTCTGATAATCAGCCATGATGGAAACTGCCCTCACGTAGGTGGCTCATTAATGTCAGTCTTAGATTCTTTGAAATGGTCCTGCAGCAAACACCATGCATGAAAATTTCTGTAGTCTAATTCTTACCCTCAAAATAGATGTTGTTATAGATTGAACTGTGTCCCTCTCAAATTCAAATGCTGAAGTCCTAACCCCCAGTACCTCAAGACTTGATCTTATTTGGAAATAGGCTCATTGCTGATATAATTAGTTAGGATGTATAATTACTAGAGTAGGATGGGCCCCTAATCCAACACGAATCATGTCCTTATAAAAAGGGAAAAATTTGGACACAGAGACAGACACAGACACATATAGAGGGAAGATGATATGAAGAGACACAGGGAAAGTGCCATGTGAATTATGCAGCCACAAGCCAAGGAACATCTGGGACCACCAGAAACTGGAAGAGGCAAGAAAGATCCTTCTCTTATAGGTTTCAGGTGAACACAGACCTGCCAATACTTTGATTTGAGACTTCTAGCCTCCAGAACTGTTTAACAATAAATTTCCATTGTGCTCGGCCTTCTGGTTTGTAGTAATTTACGATGGCAGTCCCAAGACTCTAATACAGACGCTAATAATTTTTTAGTTTTTTTTACAATATTATTTTATTTTTTTTAAGCCAACAAATAATAATTGTACATATTCATGGGGTACATAGTAATGTTTTGATACAAATAATGTATAGTGATCAGATCAGGGTAATAGCATATCCATCATCTCAAACATTTATAATTTTTCTGTATTGGGAACATTTGATATAATTCTAGCTATTTGAAACTCTATGTTATTGTTAACTATAATCATCCTACAATGCTGTGTAGCACACTAGAACTTACTCCTCCTATCTAGCTGTAATATTGTATTCTTTAACAAATCTCTTCCTCTACCATTCCCTCTGCCCTTGAAATTAATTTTTTAGTTTTGAATATCAGCTCTCTGCACGTCATTCCCTTGTTCCACTGAGTTGATCTGCCTTACTTCTTGGGTGTGAAATGAAGCTTCCATAAGGTCTGGGTGTAGCCTGTGGGTGTGCCCTCTTTCAGGGGCAGAGAGTGGTGATTCACAAGCAGGAAATCTTCATTCCCATGAGGAATGTGACAGTGCCTTATGACGCCAGTGAGATGCCAAAGCCTTAATGTAGAAAAGTCAGGTTGCTTATCCCTTTTATCCCTCCACATAAATCTGACAGACATTTTCAAAGGCCAACCATTTACTAATGTCTGCTGATGCTCTACATTTGGAGTTTGTGATTGTAGGCAGGACGGGAGCTCTTATGTCTAGCGTCCAGGTAAATTCGTAGCACAGCGGTTAAAAACAGGGCTCTGGAGCCAAACTGCTGGTGTTTAGATCCTACTTGCTGTGTAGTTTTGCCAAGTTGCCTGGTCCACAGGTCCTCACACTTGAGTGTGCATCAGAATTCTCTTCAAGGCTTGTTAAAGGCTAGATTGTCCCACTCCCAGAGATTGTGATTCAGTGTGGCTGGGGTGGGGCCTGAGAAATTTCATTTCTAGCAAGTTTCCTGATGTTGATGCTGCTGGTCCTAGGACTAACACTTTGAGAGCTGCCAACCTTAGTTTCTCTAAGCCTCTGTTTTTCCATTTGTAAAGTGGGATTTGTGAGGTTGCTAATTTATAGAGTTGTGAGGATAAAGTAAGATGATGAATGTAAAGTGCTTAGCACATTGCTCTGTGTGAAGCTAAATGTTGGTGATCATTGGCTGTCATTAACATAAATTGAAGCCCTCTTCTGTGCTTGACTTGCTAAATCTTGCTAACATTCAAAGGAAATTCTAGATGGAGGGCAGAAAAATGTTACCTCCTTTTTTCAGGGGTTTTCAGGGAAGTAAATTATCCTTCTGAAATCACGGGACACCTACTGCTATGCTGAGGTTGCATCTCTCATTGGCGCCAGTAGTTGGGCCCTAGGGAATGCCTTTGGAAGAGGTAGGTTTAGAAAGAGAGGAGAGGGGTTGGGTCTCACCCTCAGATTCATCAAGCAGAAAGCCCTGACCATCATGCTCAGGAGTTTGTGAACATTCCTGCCCCCTGGACCTACAGCTGGCTGCCTCTGCTGCTCCATGCGGGCGGGGCCCTGCCCATCTAATCAGAAAACATTGCCTGGTCTGCGTCCTTTCCCACACTCCCAGTTAAACACAGTGATTTTCCTGGTGTTCAAGTGTCAAGTGTTGGAACCCTTCAGAAGCCACCGTACATGTTTGTTCTGCATCTCCTCCAATCTGGGCAGAGCACAGAGATACAGACTGTTAATGGGTTGGCCTTCCTAACTCCATATGACACCCTGGCTCTGAGTCTTCTCATTAGCTCGGTCCTTGGGATTCCAGCTCTGCAAGCAAGACAGTTCATGTCGATAAATAGTGCTTTGTCTGGGAGATTCTGGCCCCATCGGAGGACTGGGGTTGTGCTTGGGAGCTGCTCTCTTGTTGCTAAGATTCTTGGACTTCATCCAAGTTCACAATTCCCAGGATGGTGGAGAATAGTTAATGATTATAAAGCTCTGAAAATGTATATGCTGGTTTCATTCCAATACCACTAAAAGGAAAAAAAACCTTAATTGCCAAGAGGACAGTATTTCTGGTTTTGTTTGATTTTTGTGTAGTTAAACTTTGAAGGCAAAAGTGAAGTCCTTTTTTGCATATGTGTTTTGGTAAAAGCTTCCCCTCTGAATGCAGTAAACTCTTCTTGAGCACTGACTGTGCAAAACAGCCATGTGTGGGGTGGTAAGAAAAAGGCAAGCTTCTTCTAGTTGGAGGAGGTGAAGTGAGTATGACGTAAGGTGAAGCAAAAGGCTGCTGACTTTGGAGACAGAAGATGTAAAGACATCCTGTTTTCTGTCTTCATGTTTTAAAGTTCTTTGCCCAACACATGAATCATTTCCCTTAAAATACTTGCCTTCCCCTGTTGGAGGGCAACTTGAATCATTGGCAGCTTCTAACTGTACCTTCCTGAAGCCAAATTGTCTCTGAGTTACCCTCCCTCTTCCATCCTCCTCCCCAAATTCTAGTTTAGCTCCCCAAGCAGACTCACTACTATAAGTTAATGGGAAAACTCATTTGTTTTCTTGCCTGCTTATTTGTGGTATTTTTCTATCCAGCAACTTTCCCCTGATTATAGGTTTTAATTGTATACTTATTCACTGTCTCTCCCACTAGAATATATTATTCCTGTGGGTAGGGGCCTTCTCAGATAGTCTGACTTGGCAGTCAAATTGAAAAGGCAAAAATGAAATCAAAGGGCAATTATGTAGCATATTAGTCACCAAATCCAAGTATACTACAATTTAGGATTACACTTGGAAGTCTGAACAGTTTGTTTAGTACCAATAAAAGTAGGGCCTGCTTTATAGTTCTACACTGTGGGAAGTAAACACATAACTTACCACTCTCCCCCTATTTTATTAGATAATGCTAGTTAGAAATTGGTTTTTTAAAAAATCGGGCTTTACAAAGCTAAACACAGTCTTTCTCATATAATCCATCAACGGTGCTCCCTGGTATGTGCCCAAATGAGTTGAAAACATTTTTCCTACATAAAATCTGCACACAAATGTTCATAGCAGCTTAATGCATTATTGCCAAAAACTGGAAGCAACTAAGATGTCCTTTAATAGGTGAATGGGTAAATAAACTTGTAAGTTCAGACAAAGAAATATTGCACAGAAAGAACCATCGAGCCACAAAATGACACGGGAGAAGCTTAACTGCATATTGCTAAGGAAAGAAGCCAGTCTAAAGAGGCTATGTGCTGTATGATTCCAACTATATGACATTCTGGGAAGGCAAAACTGTAAAGAAAGTAAGATGCATGGTTGTCAAGAGTTAGCAGGGAGGTGGGGATGAATAGGCAGAGCACAGAAGGTGTTCAGGGCAGTGAAACTATTCTTTATTATGTTATGGTGATGGTGAATACATTACACCATGGATTTGGCAAAACCCACAGAACTATACAACACAAAGAGTAAACTTGATGGTAAACTGCAGGCTTTAACAAATAGTAATGTATCAATATTGATCGATCAGTTGTAAGAAATGTACCACACCAATGCAAGATGTTAATAATAGAGGAAACTGGCCAGATGGTGTGGCTCACGCCTATAATCCCAGCACTTTGGGAGGCCGAGGTGGGCGAATCACTTGAAGTCAGGAGTTCGAGACCAGCCTGACCACCATGGTGAAACCCTGTCTCCGCTAAAAATACAAAAATTATCTGGGCGTGGTGGTGGATGCCTGTAATCCCAGCTACTCTGGAGGCTAATGTGGGAGAATTGCTTGAATCTGGGAAGCGGAGGTTGCAGTGAGCTGAGATCTGCCACTGCACTCCAGCCTGGGCAACAGAGTGAGACTCTGTCTCAAACAAACAAACAAACAAAAATAGGGGAAACTGTATGTAGCTGAGGTGGGGTGGGTAGTGGGGGGCAGGAGGTGGTATATGAGAATGTTCTGTACTTTCTGTTCACTTTTTCTGTAAATCCAAAACTTCTCTGAGAAATAGTCTATTAAGTAAGAAACCCAGCTTAATCAATTCATTTATTCACTTATTCATTTTTTATTTTCAAGAAACATTTATTGAGCACCTAAAAGGTGTCAGTCATGCTGGTCACTACACAGCCCACACACTTGAGGTCACCTGTGGCATTTAGAGGGTGTACCAATGTTGTTTTTTTAAAGAACTCAGTTCTCCACAAGGTTGAAATGGATAATGGCAAACATCAATGAACACCCAGAGGGGACTGTGGAAGAGGTCTCAGCCTTTGAGGATATGAGACCTTTCCATAATCCATTCCTAATGATATTCAGAGCTCAGAAGCTTTTGCACATGGAAATATAAAGGGAGGAGGACTCTGCTACTGTTAGACACAATAATTATATCCAGGGAGAAACTGGGAGCAGAACTCAGGCTTAAGAAGCAATACATTTATGGCTTTTTCTAAATGAAAGTAACACAGCTCAAACACCCTGACCCTATTCTTCAGGTAAAGGAGAAATCCAACGTCAGCCACTAGTGGGGCTTCTTCCCTCTCTTGCATTGGAGTGTACCAGATTCCTGGTTCTGGGAAAATGTGGGAGGCACCCAAGCTATAGCTCATGGTAACTCCATTGTTGCCTTGCTCCTTTTGCTTCCCTGATGGTGTCTGGTGCTGTGATCTTCCACCATCTGCCCAACACAACTTATTGGAAGAGTATTGTACTAGTCTTGCTCTCCCTTGCAGATTTTAAGCCTATTGACCACAGGCTCAGCCACAGGGACCATTTCCATGGCTCAAGGCCATTGTGCTTAGTCTCGGCCATCTGGCAGTCACCTCATACCCAAAATCCGGGCTCTGTGGGACACTGCATGGGAACAGGGTATAGGACCCTGCCTCTCAGCTACCCTTGCTCCTCTATCCACCATTCTCTCCCTCCAGAAACTCTCCTCTACTTTCCTTAGCTACTTCCATTCCATCTTGTATCAGCCCAGTAGGGCTAGCTTTGGAAAACAAATGCCCCTAAGCTCTCCATTGGTGCAAGAGAACTTCAGATTTCCTGGAGTAAAGGAATATAGGAGGAAGCAATAGGGGAAAAGAAAATGCCTTTCTTTCTTTCCTGAAAATCCTCCCCAAATACGTTCCCCAGTGGGGTTATCCAGCCACACTGTAATTGCTAGTGGTGAGAAACTTAGCTGTCTTTATTTTAAAAACAATACCAATTTTCATGAAACACATATCAGTTCATGTCAGACTTCAGGCTCTGGGCCCTGGGCCTTCAGAGTATCAGGCATCCAGACAGTGGAGTCTTATGGACCTGGGGATGGTTCCAAAGTCAGCACAAAAGATTAAAAGCTTATGCAGTCAAAATTCCCCATGACTCTGCATTGGAAAGTGACCCTTTGCAGTATTTCACTCAGGCCGTCACAGAGATCTTATTTTTCAGCATTCAAACATTTCACTGTCTTTGGATGAGCACAAGATGAATTGATTGGCTTGCATTTAGAAGTCACGATGAATGAAAGATACCTTTGAACACAACAGTCACCTTTAATGTCATGTGAAGCTCTCACTAAGAGATCCCCAGGGGACCTGGCCCATCTCCCTTCTCATATTTACTCAGGGGCATGCGTTCATGGAGTATAATGTCTGGTGGAGTCAAAGCATCGTTTTAAAGTCTCTCTTCTTCCCTCTCTTTTCTCTCTGTCTCCATCTCCACTCCCCCAGGTGCATACAGTTTGCTTGGAATAGGAAGGAACTCCACTGTGCTATAAACACCTGCCTGCTCTGTGCCAAGCCCTGGGGCGTCGAACAAGTCCTGCTCTGTCAGTATCAATTCCTGTCCTCTCCGACCTTTCTGTCGGCACTTTCTCTGGGCTCTCATCTCTGATTGTCCTTGGTGGCTCTTGCTGTTTTTTTGATTCCTAAAGTTGACTATATACCTTTCACTGTAGAACGTGTTTATTGATCAGTTAGGCCTTGGGGTAATCTGGCTTTCGCCCAGGCTCTGTTGAGAGCCATGCTATTTTAGAATTGATGATGATAGCCGCAGACTCCCCTGCTCTGCTGTGATGCTGCAGGAGATCTTCCTTCCCAGTGTCCTGGGCCTGTTCTTACTGGCCTTTTTAGAAACTAAGTCTTTTCTCTGTATTTCCATAAGTTCCTGCTTCAGGACTAGTGTTTCTCTGCTAAGCACAACTTTGGACATCCTTTCTCAGTAATCTTCCTGGAGCTATAATAAACCAAGTTGTCTGATGCTCATTGCTTTATCTAAGCTGGGAGAAGTAGGGGAATAAGGCTTTGCCTTAAGACAGCATTTGAATATTGACCCTGCCTCTAGTTGTGTCACCCAGCACAAATTCTTTAGCCTCTCTGAGCATCTCCAGAGACTCCACTGTAAAATGGAATTGCATTACCTACCTTGGAGGTTATTACAGGGAATAGAGTTAGACAAAAGGGCCAGGCAGGCACAGATCTTCAACACCTGTTAGCTGTTAACTATTACCTCATTCCGTGGGGGCAGGGGTGGGTTAGGTGAAATGTGGGACAGCTGCTTCTACTCAGAATGTTTGTAGCCATTGCTTCTCTTCCTTTGTATGGCTAGTCTGGTTTTGTTTTAGACCAAGGCAAAGTGCAGCGGTGGAGGCACACCTGGGCTCAGGTTCCCATCCTGCCACTCAGTTGATGCCACCCTTGGGTAAGTCTCTGGTCTCTCTCAGCTGCAGTTTTCTTATTTATAAAATGAGGGTAATATTTTCCAACCCCCTGATTATTGGAAGAGTAGGAGATAAGGTATGTAAAGTGGTCAGTTCAGTGCCTGCCTTGAAAATCACCACCTGATACTGGGTGTGCCGTCTCCTCTCAGATCATAAGTTCTTTGTGGGAAGGAACATGTCGGTGTCACTCCTGGCTCAGTGACTGGCATGAAGAGAGGCCTCAGCAGCTAGCAACGGATCAAACAAATAACTTGTCTCTCCCTAGTTCTCAGAAGACCCTGTTTGAAGGCTGTAACATTAAGGTCCCGTAGCAATTTAAAAGATAAACAAACCCGAAATAGGCTCCTACGGCATTAAATAGGGCAACTTTCAAATGGGTCATGATGGAAAAAACAAAAATTTCAACTGTGTTATGTAAAAGGCTCACAGGACTTGGTTCACATAAGAAAAAAGCTCTGGAAAATTGTACTTGGGATTTCAAACCGAAGGCAAATACATCTGTGGTGAAAAAATATTACACATGATTTGCTAAAATTTTTTAGACAAAAACCAGCGTTTTAAATAAAAACACTATGATCATAGCATCCCTGTAACTGTTATTCTGGGACATAGTTTCCTCTTTTCCAAAGTTTGAGGTCTGGGCTAGATCTAGGGGCCTCGCAGGCTTTGACAAGATGTTTGGATTTTTCCCAAAACACAGAGAGAAGCCACTGGAGTTTTAAGCAGGAGTAGGCTGTGATTGATTTATGTTTTTAAAAGCCTGGCCTTTTTCTCATTTCACCCTGCTACCCGATGACCGTTCTCCATCCTGCCTCCATTCTGCCTTCTGCGCTGTATGCCCCGTCGGTTTCTCTTTCCACACCATTTCTTCCCCAACCCAAGTCACTCGGGCCCACGGCAATGGCTTCTTCCTCTTTGCTCACAGCATTTGCTGGGATCTCATGCACACTCGGCCCCATGACATTGCATGCTATTATTAGCTTCTGCATATGTTAGTTAATGAATTAATTCAGCAAGCATGTGTTGAACAGCTGCTGCATGTCAGGCGCTGTGCTAAGGGCAAGGGATAGATGCAATTAGGACACGTTCCCTGCTCCCAAGTAGCCTGGAGTCTGGGAGCAGGGACAGCTATGTAAACAGTGATAAGCGTGGCAAGGTTTTTATGGGATCTGAGATAAGAGACCTCTAACCAAAGGGGGAGACAGAGAGGGTAGGGTGGGGAGGGTTAGGGGAGACTTCCGGATGAAAAGAGGTTGGGACTGAATCTTCAAGGCTGACTAGGAGTGGCAGGGAGGGGTGGGCGCAGAGGGGTCAGGTTGAGCAAAGGCATGAGGCAGAAACAGGTGAGAAATTGCAAGCAGTTCATTGTTGATGCAGCATTTAATGAAAGGCTGAGAAGCATAGGAGATACGACTGGAAAGCAAGGGAGAACAATGCAACACAAAACAAACACAACCCAACACCCAGGATGTCACTGTTCAGATCCAAGGAATTCTGGATCTGAACTAGGGAAAAGCCCCAGCGTGGGATATAGGAGGCCAGAGCTGTTAGTCATTTATTTATTCATTGAAGTACCATCCTGGGGATACTGCAGTGAGCAAAACTGGAGGGGTCTCTGCCCTGAAGGAGCCTGAGGAAGCCCTTGGGAAAGAGCCCAGACCTAGCCTCAGGGCTTAGGAAGCCTCCCTGGAGGTGGTGTCCTCTGGTCAGTTCTGACAGTGGGCTTCATGGAGTTGAAGGGGTAGGGAGTGAGAAAGCCACCATGCAAAAGAGGTCATGGTGGCCCACCTTTCCCTTGACCCACCCCCAGCCTTCCAGGCCCAAGAAAGCAAGCCACAGATGTGGGCTGGAGACGGGGGATGGAAAGGAGGCCAGAGAGAGGCCTACAGAGCCCTCCTTCCTGACTGTTTTGCTGCCTCCCCAGTCATCTCCTGGAACATGGGCCTGTTTTGTAAACATAGCGAGTCAGCCCAAATATGTGGGGTTTGGCTCTGGCTTGGCCAACCCAGCTCACTAAGCAAATAGTGAGGGATTCTTTCCCCCATTTCTTCCTAAACTAAATCTTCTCTGGGTGCATACTTTACAGAACGCCAGCAAACTGCAGTTTGGCGTCCTTCCCAAGGAAGAAAAACATCTCCTCAGATTTTCCACATGCCCTCCCCATCCTGCGGGTCCAGTGCCAAGACTTGGCTGGGGATAGGGCTGCTGCTGCTCCGGGGAAGGGCGGCCATGGGGGAATGTGCCACCACCCCAGGGGAGAAGCATGGGCCAGAATTTCAGGAGATAGTGGGAGAGTGGGAAATAGGTGTGTAGTTGGTTGGGGGCAGGAACCTATGCAGATAGCAGCACTGCTAGGAACCATGCTGGCACCAGCAGACCCTGGAACAGCTCATTAATGTTGACAAAGCACCTTCTCATCTCATTTGATCTCCCAACAAATGCATGAGACAGGTAGAGCACATGTGATTACCCTTCCCATATAACCAATGAGTTAACAACTTGAAATTGGCTTGACCCAAGTTAGAATTCCATCTCTGCCATTATGTGACCTTGGGCAAGGCGTGAAATCTCTTGCAGCCCCCTCTCTCTATTAGGGATAATAATAGTACTTTCCCCAGTGTTGTGTTGAGGGTTAAATGAGATACTGTGAGCGAGGAGCCCGCTCCATGCCTGGCCCTAGCAGGTGCTGCCCTGGTTCTATTGTAATGGCTGGACAGGTTACCTGACTCCTCTGCGTACTGCTGGCACTGTGACCCAAGTGTTTTGACTTTCAGCACAGCCTTTTATATTGCCTCAGTCAACCCCATGCCCACCAGGCCACTCCTTACTCTGTCCCCTGTCCCTCTCACCTCCTCACTTCCCCCTCCTTCCTTCTCCCCCACACTCCCCCAGCAGAAGATATTGCAAGCTTTGAGGTTGCCCATGTGCTTTCAGCTCAGAGATCTATGCTGACAGCTGAGGGGTCTGTAAGTCCACCAGGGCAGTCCTTAAGTTCAAATTCTTGCCCTACTCTGTGGCAACAAGTGACCCTAGAAACTGCATAATGGGTGAAACTTAAGCTTCAGAACATGAGCCCCAGTTCACAGTCTGCCTGTTTCCTCTTATAGTCAAGGGCGAGCATCCAAATGCCCCTTCATTTATCATTGTCATTGCCACTCTGAAAGGTCAGAGCGCATTCCTCTCATTGCCTCCAGACACTTGGCTCTGGGCTGTGATTAGACTTGGAGGCTGAGCCTTGCATGCAGTCGGCACTTACGAATGTTTGTAGAGGAGGAGTCAGGTCCTGCCCTTGCCAGGGCCTGGAGGGTCTATGTTATGACAGCTTATGGAAAAACAGCATTTTCTCATCTTGGTCAGCTCAGTGGCTCCTTTGTCATAGACCCAGATTGTTTCCCTAATGAAAACTCAACAACTTTTATAACTGTTTCCTCTGCCCTCTTCCCTTAGAATTCTCAGGCTCATTGTTGCTTCCTTAAGGGCCTGTCTAACCATCCCATTGAAAGTGACTCCTCCTGCCCCACCCAAGGCACTATCTCATCATCATTTTTTTTTCATGCTACTTCTTACTGTCTGAAGTTATTTCTTTGCTTATTGTCTTTGTGACTACAAAGCAGACACCATGAGAGCAGGACGTTGCTTGTCGTGGTCACTGGTATCCCAGTGCCTGGCATGCATATAGCTGGAACACAATAGTTATTAATTTATGGATAAGTGAAGCAACCTGAAGACCATGGAGGTTCAAAGTCTTCATTTTGCAGACAAGGGATCTCAGACCCAGAAAGCTTAAGAAACCTAGTGTCAATTCTCTTGCGCAGAGCCCTCTGCCATGAGCTCTTTCTCCAGGATATTCTTCCTCAATTCTGAAGGGCCTCTGGAACCAACATGTAATGGTCTGCTTTTCTATTCATGAAGGAGGACGACTTTGTGTCTCTGAAGAGTTACAGTGCAAAAATGTATCTGACAGGCACCCTAATAAGCCAATGGACAGTTTGCTCATTGGGGCTGAAAATGGAAAACACACAGATGTACATAAAACACGCTGAAAAGAAATTAACATGGACCCACTTGTGGGTAAGGATTGATTGCATAATGTGATGTCATCCTGTTGGATGTCAGCTAGCCAGGGAAACCCATAACTGGGTCATGACTATTGGTGTCGGGGGAGATGTTTCCCCTCTAGATTCTGGGGGAAGAATAAGAGGGCCGTGATGAGTCATAGGGAGCAGTGGGCTGGGAGGCTTCTTCATAGAGTAATTTGAGGATTAACTATGAAGAGATGCATAAAGGGTTCAGCACGGTACCTGCCCAGTAAGGGGTAGTTCTGTTTTCATCCCTAAAGATGGATGATTCTGGCTGAGGACTTATTTGCTTCTCTGTTTCACTGACTCCCACTAGTTTTCTTATATTTATCTCATGGGAGATGACAGGAGATGACTCATACCAAGTAGCAAAAAGAGCCAGCACGCTGGCTCCGGTAAAATGTTGTGTGGGGCAGTAAGGAGCTAATAATAATAATAAGGTATAACAGCTACGGCTTCACTTAATTTACACTTTTTATGTCCCAGCCAATGGGCTAAAAGTTTAGGTGTGTTACCTCAGTCATTTGTATGAGGTTGGAACTATTTTTGTTTTGCTTAACAGATAAGAAACAACCATTCAATCCTATGAGAAAGGAACTATTTTTACTCCTGTTTTACAAAGGAAAAAACAAAACTTGGAGTGGTCAAGTGGCTTGCCCAAGGTTACTTAGCCGGTAAGGGGCACAGCCAGAATTCCAGCTGTGGCACGTGATCTGACTCCAGAGATCAGGTGTGAAAATACTTCCTGTACTGCCTCTCAGGAGGCTGGACATGAGGGCTAAATAAATTAGAGGTGGTGGAGTTTTGGTGACTGTCAGTCTCATGTTGTCTCTAGCCCCTTTGTTTTGTTAACCAGATATAGACAACACATGTCTAGTAAGAATATTGTCACAGACTAAAGAGAATGGGTTTTACAAGAAGACACCTGGGGCAGCATAAATGATTGCCATAGCCATGACAATCCAATGAAGTGAATTTCCAAGCAATAAGTGTTCTGTGCTCATACCACCTTGCACCTGAAAAGCATGCATTGCATTATGTGTATTCAATTAAATAAAAAAAATAAAAAATATACTGGCTCAGTGCCTGGCAAAAAGTAGGCACTTAATTGTAAGATACTCTCATCTGTACCTTTATTTCCCTAATGCCTAACACAGTGCTTAGCAAGTAGTAGGTGCTTAATACATATAGTTTTTTTTTTTTTTACTAGTAGCACTTAGTACTTAATAAAAATGACTATCAATGTTCCATGCTAAACATTTCAAGACAGTATCACTTCTGCCCCTTATGCTCATTCAATGAAGTTGTGGTTAATAACCCCATTTAGCAATATGATTTCCTTTAATGGAAGGAAAAACAGGCATATGGAGGTTAAATACTTAGGATACCGAGCTGTCAAGCTGGTAAGTGGCAGAGCCAGGGGTTTAAGTGAATGGGTTATCAGAATCTCCTTTGATGGTTCCCATAGTGACCAGAGGAGATGAGTGTCTGTCATTCTCTAGGTTATCTGTGGGCCATAGCCGGAAGCTTACTGTTTCTTAGATTCTTATTTCTTAAAAAAAATTGTGCCATCTTAGCTTTCTACTATATCTATGGTTAATTCAATCTAAATTAATGTTTGAAGCCATTGACAAGTTTCATTACTTAAATCATGCTCTCCCCCAATCTTTGTATTATCTTGATGCTTCAGAAAGATGCACCATGTTTGTCCTGTGGCTTCCCATTCTCCTGGCAGACCACCAGAGACATGCGCATTCTAGGTTGAACATGGGGCTGGGGGAACCTGGGAAGCTTCCTGGGAGAAGTGAGTTCTGAACTAGAATTTAACTGGCTGGCAGAGGGAAAACTGGGACCTGGATCTTACAGCTCTTCTTCCATGCATTCCCCGCTCCTTACCCCAAATCTGTTCACACTTTATCCCTTGGTAATGGTAGAGCAGAGTGGAGGCTCAGTACAGAGCTTGGAATATATGAGATTGTCAGTGGCAAATAAATGAATGAATGACTGAGTGGATGGATGAAGTCTGGTCAGTGATGGGCATCAGCATCCCCTTGGAAAGGCCAATGGCCTGAGAGAAGCCAAGGTGGGGCTTTATATTGTGAAGGGCTACCTGGAGGAGGAGGCTACAGCCACCAAGGACACCTTAACCTTACCACCTCCACTTCTAGGTTTTAAGCTATTATTGATGCTGCTGTGATCACTAAATGTCAGTCAGTGAGGGAGCATCTTGTGCCACTAGAACTGGGCACTCATAATCAATTGGGAAGGTAATTTAGAGGGCCCTAGAGATTTTCTAGTCTATTCTTCCCATTTTATAGATTAGGAAATTGAGGCATAGAGAGGGAAAATGAATGATCCAAGGCCACATGGCTTGGTGAAACTGTTCATTGCATATTCAATAGCCATTTCTTGCTCCTTATTCCTTCCCAGCAGAACCCCAGTTTTGATTGATATTGGGCTTCCATGGTTTGATGGAAGACCTTACCCCTCTCTGTCCCTAGAGAATAAATCTTGGTTAGTTTGAGCCAATCATAATCATTTTATCCTCTTTGCCAGGGACTGGTTTGGGATGAGCATGTGGTTGAATTCTAACCAATGAAACATGAAGTGGGGGACTTTGGGGAAAGTTTTCCCCCATCTTAAAGAGCAGTGACAGTAAGGGCTACACAATCTTAGTCTCTATGGTTTTAGAGTTTGCTGAATGAGGACAGGGTGCTTGATGTACTTGCAACCAAAAGAGTCACACCGAGGACAAATGCCGACACACTGTGGTTGGCCAATTTGCATGATGAAAAGAACCTGAATCCATGGTGGTGTCACTGAGCCACTGAATTAACTAGCTCTGGAAATGTTCTACCTCTGGACTTCTTATCAAATGAGACAGCAAAATGTCTTTATTGTTTAAAATAGTTGACTTGAGCTTTCTATGATCAGTCACCCAATGCATCCTTATTGATACATATCACCAGGTAGGATCAGATTCCCAAATCAGTGTTTAGATGGCCCTTTGAAGTGGCTGGAGTGATCTCTGAGACCACCAGGAAGCAATAGCAGAAGTAAAGTGTTTGGGATTATCCATTGGGTTGCGTCTCGATTGCTCCTGTAGAATATTAGAGGCTCCCAGGAAGATCCCACAGACTAGCCTTGGATTTGGACATAAACTTTGTAATCAGTAGAATTAGGGTTGGCTTCTATATTTTAATGTTAAATATGATTTTTGCTTATTTATTTACTTATTTATTTTTGAGATAGCCCATGAGGCAGGAAACACAAAACAATGATTTTTACCCTCAAGGCTTTATTTTGTCACATAACACTAGTTGTGGAAGTTCCATGAAGACATTAAGGACTCGGACTCCTTACACATTATTTCCATGGTGTAGCCCTCACCCTCATGTGCAAGATGGCTGCTAGAGATCCACCATCACATCTATGTCCCAGACAGCCAAATAGGAAAGGTGGGAAGAATGTTACCCCTCCTTTGTTTAAAGGTTGCAATAAGATTATGTTGTTTTCTGAACTGCTCCTCCTCATTTCTTCTCCCCTCTTTTCTTTCTCCCTCATCCCCAAATGCCAACACAGGGGCTCAAAGAAGAGCCTCCTACATTTCAGGTTAGTCTTTTGATATGTAAGTGCTCAATAAATGTTTGTTTCTGATGATGAGGGGAACAAATGACTCCCTTTGCATTCCAGGTTCTGGGGCAGGGCTGACGCTCCCCAGTGTCTTGCAGAGCCGGGCAGGAAATGACAGAATGGACATAACAGTTTGGTATAAGAAAAATGAGAAGTGGGCTAGGCGTGGTGGCTCCCTTCTATAATCCCAGAACTCTGGGAGGCTGAGGTGGGTGGATCACCTGAGGAGTTTGAGACCAGCCTGGCCAACATGGTGAAAGCCCATCTCTACTAAGAATACAAAAATTAGCTGGTCATGGTGGCATGCACCTGTAGTCCCAGCTACTTGGGAGGCTGAGGCAGGAGAAATGATTGAATCTGGGAAGGAGGCTGCAGTAAGCAGAGATCACACCACTGCACTCCAGCCTGGGCAACAAGAGCGAGACTCCATCTCAAAAAGGAAAAAAAAGAAAGAGAGAAAAATGAGGAGTGGTAGCAACCCTCCTGAAAGGAGGTACTGTTATTCAGCTGCTGCCAATTGTTGTCAAGAGGGAATACAAGTTCCATGTTGTCAACTCTTCCATTATTCAACAGAAGCTGAAAATCTATATTTTAATGTTAAATATGATTTTTACTTATTTATTTTTGAGGTAGGGTCTGGCTCTGTCACCCAGAATGGAATGCAGTGGCATGATCTTGGCTCACTGCGGCCTCTGCCTCCTGAGCTCAAGCAATCCTCCTCCTTCAGCCTCCCAAGTAGCTGGGACTACAGGTTCATGCCACCACACTTGGCTAATTCCTAAATTTTTTGTAGAGATGAGGTCTCACTATATTGTCCAGGCTAGTCTCAAACTTCTGGACTCAAGTGATCCTCCTGCCTCAGCCGCCCAAAGTGCTGGGATTACAGGTGTGAGCCACTGCACCCAGCCTAAGTATAATTTTTAAATATTAGACCAACACTGCGTGTTTTTTGGGTTGGGAGTAAATCTTGAGGTCAAATGTTGTATTTGATTAGTTCAGCAGAATCTGGAATATAATGAATACTCAGTGTTTATTGAATGAATACATTAAAGCTTTCCAGTTGCTTTTCTTTCCCAGAAGATTGAATGAAACATGTGGAGCAACTGATAAAAGACAAAGGCACTCATGTCTTTGTTATATATTTGTTAGTTGTTCTAGTGTTGTTTTATTTCTTTCTCTCAAACTAGAGGCTAAGCACTCAAAGACAGAGATCTTATTATCCATCACACCAACCTCTTCCTTTTTAAGGAGAGTTCCCCAAAGTTCCATATTAGGCTTCCTCTTTTTTTTTTTTTTTTTTTTTGAGATGGACTCTTGCTCTGTTGCCCAGGCTGGAGTGCAATGGCGCTATCTCGCCTCACTGCAACCTCCATCTCCTGGGTTCAAGCGATTCTCCTGTCTCAGTATCCCGAGTAGCTGGGATTACAGGCGCCCACCACCATGCCTAGCTAATTTTTGTATTTTTAGTAGAGACGGGGTTTCGCCATGTGGCCAGGCTGGTCTTGAACTCCTGACCTCAGGTGATCTGCCCGCCTCGGCCTCCCAGAGTGCTGGGATTACAGGCGTGAGCCACCGCGCCCGGCTTGAGGCTTCCTCTTATATCTCATTGGATAGAACAGTTATATTGTTGGAAACCTGGGACATTTAGTCTTTATTGAGTTACAGTTGTTCAGCTAAAAGCTGGAGTTCTTCTACCAATGAAGGAGGAAAGGATATTGGAAAGCAGCTAGTGGTCTCTTTCACATGACCCTGAAAAGAAAACTATGGGATGCTGCAGTCAACAGTCACTGAATTCCATGCTATGGTAAATAACGTGAATTGTAAGGTGTCAATGCTAGAAGTGGTCGCTCATTTTACAGGTAGGACATTTGAGGAACAGAGTAGTGAAGGGATTTATCCATGGTAACATGATAAGAGAAGCTGTCCTTCTAACTCTATCTTGTGCTTGATGTGTCACCAACTCTTGTTAATGTCTAAATCATAGCATTTAGCCCTCATTGATTCCTTCCTGCCATTGTGAGGCACCCAGGCCCTCTTACCTTCCCACCACCTTCTAAACTTGGCATCATCTCACCCTTTGCCCCGATCAACTCTTCACTAATGACTTTCTCAGTCCCTCCAGCCCAAAGTTAGCTCATCATTTTCATCATAAGGGGCAACTAGTATTGATTGGTAGAGGCTTCCAGGGATGATCTCTCATGGATAATTCTGAGGGCTCAGTGAAAAAGAGTACTGAGATTGATTAATGAGGTTTGCTGTGGTTGTTCAAGAAATGGTGCCTCTTGGGGCAAGAGTTCATCTGAGCCCTGGCTTCTTTCCTTTAGGGGCTATGAAAAAGCCCCTTTCATGGGCTTACCCTACAAGGTATCTGGCATTAACATAGAACAGCCCTGTTCCTACAAGCTAGGTGAACCTCCAGCCACACTGCAGCCATCAGGGAGTGGGCAGTGGTGTGACTTATCACATATCAGAAGCTCAAGGCCATCTATCACCAGGGCAGGCCTATCTGATCCTGTCTTGCATCAGACAGATAACTCTTATTACCACTCTACAAACCTGAACATGTAAAAATAGACAGGATTAGGCTGTGACCAGTGCCCTGGAGTTACTGAGGCAGCCTCATAGTGAGATTGTAATGACAGCTCTCTCACAGGCCAGATGCTAAATATATCTTCCCCACAGTTGCAAGGATGGTGCCAGGGAGCACATCAGCCGCATGATCCTTCCTGGTCACGAGGGGAGAGATCCTGAGGACTTTGCTCTCAGAGTCTATTCCTGAATCAGGCTCAAGCCCAGAACAAGAATAGATTCTCCGTGTCCTGGCCAACTGTCCTACCTGTGGTCTCCAGATGGGATACCATGTGTCACACCCTGACAAGCATGTAGGCAGCTGTGGAGGAGATGGCAGGACTCTTGGGCATGTCTTGAGAGAAGTCTTTGGGTCAGGAGGGCACATCTTCTTCCTGCCTCATGGACCGTAGGAAAAGGAGGGAGCCTTGGGTTGGTGGTATTGGAGGGGAAAGGGCTCTGAGAGTACCCCATCTCCCCCTGCAAATCCACAGAAGCAGCCAATCTGATTCACTCCAAAGTGAATCCATGTTGATGACTTAGATTTGGTCATATGTGCCCCTTCCTTCCCTAACACTTCATTTCTTGAATAGCATACAGCTATTTGCCAGCTTAGCTAAAATTTTAACTACACAGGTATTACAATAATGCATTTTTATCGTAAAAACCTTCAAGCAGCACTTTGGGAGGCTGAGGTGGGCAGATCACCTGAGGTCAGGAGTACGAGACCAGCCTGGCTAACATGGTGAAACCCCGTTTCTACTAAAAATTAGCCCAGTGTGGTAGCACACGCCTGTAATCCCTGCTACTCGGGAGGCTGAGGCAGGAGAATCGCTTGAACCTGGGAGGCGGAGGTTGCAGTGAGCTGAGATCATACCATTGCACTCCAGCTTGGGCAACAAGAGTGAAACTGTGTCTCAAAAAAAAAAAACAAAAAACCCTAAAAAATAAAAAACAAAACCTTCAAACAGTACAGAAGAAAGTAGAGGAAAATTAAAAACCCCCCTTTCTCTTATTCTCTCTCCAATTCTAAGAAGTAACCTGTGATCATACATACTTTATTTTATTTTATTTCATCATGTTGGCCAGGCTGGTCTCAAACTCCTAACCTTAAGTGATCTGCCTGCCTTGGCCTCCCAAAGTGCAGGGATTACAGGCATAAGCCACTGCAACTGGCTGGTCATATGTACTTTCTCTGCACACATCATAGAATACATTGCAACACACACACACACACACACATACACAAATGAAAGTATGGTATAGAATAGTGTAGTGTAGTATAGTATACAAGTTTACAGGTAATCATTCAAAGATTGCCTGGGTTCAAAGAGCTATACATCTTTGGTCAAATTACTTTGCTTCCTTGTGCCTTGGATTCCTCCTCTGTAAAATAAGGATAATGTTAGACTCTACCTTACAGAGTTATTATGAGGATTTGATGTTGAGACTTTAAACACAGTGACTAACACAGAGGAGGGGCTTGAGTCTTATTATTACATATGCAAATAATAAGGCCATGTTGGTTATCTATTGTTGCAAACAAATTACACCAACACGTAATGGCTTAACAGCAAAATTTTATTATCTTGCAGTTTCTGTGGATCAGGAATTTAGGAGCAGCTTAGCTGGGTGGTTGTAACTCAGGGTCTCTCATAGGGTTGGATGTTGGCAGGGGCTGCAGTCATCTGAAGGCTCGACTGGGGATGTGTAGAATCTTCTTCCAAGATGGCTCACTCATATCTGTTAGCAGGAAGCTTCAGCTTCTTGTTGCATGGATATCTCTGTTGGCCACTGAAATGTCCTTATAACGTGGCAACCAACTTCCCCCAGAGTAAGCAATCTAAGATAAAGTGAATGAGGAGGAAGCCACAATGTCTTTTATGACTTTGTCTCTGAAGTTGCATACTGCTGCTACTACTTCATTCTATTCATTACAAGTGAATCACTAATTTTCAAGGGGAGATGGATTGAAGAGTTGTATGAAAGAATTTATGGACATATTTTACAACCACCACAAAGGTTATCTCAGACGTACATTCTATTGTGTTCTATGTGTTGCTTTGCAGTTTGCTTTTTGTGCATATAAAGCTGCATCATTCTGTCTGACTGCCATATGGTATATTTCATTGTGAAGATATACCATAGTTTCTTCAACCATTTTCTGTTTGATGGGTATTTGGGTTTTACTTTTCTTTCTTCGAAGAAAGCAAGGGTCTAAGTAAGGGCCTAAGTGATCATCTAAGAAAAGCGTCACTTCTTAGAGGCTCACAGTCTGAAGAAAAGCTTCTAAGTCTCTAATTCCAAGAAGTTGGCAGTGGTATTAGGGAGCAAAGAGACATTTAGATTTCAGGTGACGAGGTAGGTCAGAAGACCAGGACATATACAGACTTGAAACCATTCACAGGAAAACATTAATATACAATATTGTCATCACCGATTCCAGAGAAGCTGTTGTTGCCTCTGGCCCTGGTTTTATGCTCCGCCTGAGTGAGGCATGCCTGGGAACCCAAGGAATGTCTTCAGCCTGATGTGCAGCTGGGATGGCCAAAAGTTTACAACATTAGACATCAAGCTTCAGTGAGGTCTCCTAATGCTGGTTTGAATCTTTCTTATTGAGACAGACAGTTTTAGTTAGCTACCTTTCATCCTCCCCTTCTCACCACATACCCCAGCCTCTTTTAATTACCCTGATTTTGTTTAGGATGGCAGTGGCCTGTCCTCTGAGGTTGAATTGTGATTAGTCAAAGTCAATGACTGTAATTCCACTCACCAGATATTTACATTTCCAGCCTCCTTCATAGCTTGGGGTGGTTCATGTAAATGTTTTGGCCAAGGCAGTCTAAGCAGAAGTCTGCCAAAGGACTTCTTGGAAAGCCTTTGCTTTCTGCATAAAATAATCAGATATGACTGGCACTCCTCTACCCTCTCATTTTGCCTTAAATGTAGATATACTATCTAGAGCTGTGGTCACCATCTTGAGACATGCAATTAAAAAAAACTGAAAAGCCACCATGCTGAAGATTTGGGGTGGAAAGAAGGAAACACATAGGAACTTTCAGCTGCTGCAATAGCTATGGACTCCATACTCACGGACTTTTTGTTATGGAGAAAAATAACTCTACTTTTTAAAAAGGCACTGCTTGCTGGTTTTTCTGTCACTTGTAGCCGAGAGCATTCCTGATACATTTCCTGCTTCTTTCTAAGCTCTACAAGTGCAGATACTCTGTCTAATATGCATCCCATTGAATACCCAGTGCCAAGAAGTATGCCTGAACACAGATGATGCCTGATGAATGAATAAACTGAACTAATGAGTATCTTCTTAGGTACTAGGAGCTTCTCTATAAGAACATTGGCCTTTTGGAGAATCCTTTCTCCTGATCCCCAGACAATTTTCTTTTTCGATTCAGCAGAGGTGGTGCTTCCCTGAACCTGCAGACAGGTTTACAATACCTAGGCCATGGCAGAAATATCTCTGCTATATAATATCCTTTAACTCAGTCACAGTTTCATCACTGGGAAACATAAACCAACAAATTACTCTATAAAAGCTAAGAAAAAATTTCTCTTCATCCTTTTCTAACTAAACATGCTTGGATAGGGTTACAGTGAACTGGTCTTATATCAAATTCTGCTCAAAAGCAAACAGTGTTCTAGCAGAGGGAGACCAGGGAAAGCCTCACACTTGATAATAGCCAATGCAGGGAATGTTGGCTGGTACATTATCCAGGTGGAAGAATAATATCTCCCGGAAAGTGAAGTGGGTCTTTATGGAAGTGAAGAGAAAATATTTTAAGAGTCTCACTATTGATGTAAGAAGAGATTGAGTTTAAAAAAATATAAAAAGCATCATGAGTTTGTTGAATGTAATTGGACTCTTGTAGACAATTCTAGAACCAACTTCATGCCATGTATGGATGCAAAACAAGGGCTGAATTAACCCATAATCATCAGGCTTTTGACAAATATAAGTGGGGCTGGTAGCATCTTAATTTTCTGGTGTGTTATAGTAGAAAGAAGGTATTTTGGAATTCCTAGTTGGAATGCAATTTCCAGTTCTTACTAACTGTGTCACTCTGAGCCAATTACTTTCTCTGAGCTTTAGTGTCCCTCTTTGTAATACTACCTACCTGACAGGGTTGTTATGAAGATTTAAATAAAATCATACAGGCAAAATGTCAGGCATATAATGTTGCTTCTACTACTATCACTACCTCTGCTACCGCTACAAACACCACCACTACCACCACCACCACCACTACTACCCCTATTACTACTTCCACTGTTCCACCACCACTACTGCTACTGATACTACTACTACCACTACTACTATGATTTGTAATGCAAGAGACAAAGCAGGCTTCCCATCACTGTTAGCACTCTTCTGTGGTATTTTAAATAAGGAAGACAAACCTTCTTTTCAATGAACTAGGAGGAAATAAAACCATAGACTCAAATTCCTTTTCCCTCTTGAAAACAAATCACCTTCCTTTGGGTTTTGGAAGGAACATCTGGCAGGTAAATTGGTCTTACTGCTTTAGGCCAGACAGGAGAAATGTTGTCTGCATCCCCACTGCCTGGTTCTGTAACTGTGTTTGGGATCTGAGGTCCTTGCAGGAGGCATGCAACATACCTATGCACTGCTCACTTTGCAGGACTATGAATTTCAGTTTGTGTTCTAGGAAAAATTTATGGTTTCCTCCCTAGTTCCCCCTCTCCTCTGAGTTCCTGAATGAAGACATTGCTTCCTTTACCACCTGCAGATGCTGTAGGGTACCATTTAAAGTCTGCTCACATGGTGGATGTGAGGTCAGCAGCATGACCAACGTGAAATGCTGTCTTTTGGCTCCCCTCTTCCCCAGCCAGAGGGGCTTTCTTCACTGATGAGTAAAGTGATGATAAAAACAGTGCTTCTAATTGCTTTTTTTTTGAGACAGAGTCTCTCTCTGTTGCCCAGGCTGGAGTGCAGTGGCGTGATCTTGGCTCACTGCAACCTCTGCCTCCTGGGTTCAAAAGATTCTCCTGGTGGCTCAAGCCTGTAATCCCAACACTTTGGGAGGCCGAGGTGGGCAGATCACGAGGTCAGGAGATCAAGACCATCCTGGCCAACGTGGTGAAACCCTGTCTTTACTAAAACCACAAAAATTAGCTGGGCGTGGTGGCTCATGCCTGTAATCCCAGCTACTTGGGAGGCCGAGGTAGGAGAATCATTTGAACCAGGGAATCGGAGGTTGCAGTGAGCGGAGATCGTGCCACTGCACTCCAACCTGGAGACAGAATGAGACTCTGTCTCAAAAAAAAGAAAGTATTCTCCTGCCTCAGCCACCCAAGTAGCTGGGACTACAGGCACCTGCCACCACGCCTGGCTAATTTTTGTATTTTTAGTAGAGACTGGGTTTCACCATGTTGGCCAGGCTGGAGTGCTTCTAATTGTTAAGGAATGTTGCTATACCTTCCTTTTTCAAAAACATGTTTTCCTTTTGAAAATTGTATTGCACTGTCATAATTAAAAATATAGATAAACAAAATGAGGAAAATATAACTACCTATAATCAACAGTGTGTCATCAGTATTAACAAACAATATGGATGCTTTCAGCCCCTTTCCTATAAATATTTATATACATTATTCTCAAACTGGAATGTGATCACAATCCATAATACAGTCTTCAGCATATTTTCATTAATTGGTGAGAAATCACCAATCGCTTTCCACATCTTTCAATACTCATCTTCAGCAGCATTTTTAATAGCTCATAGAATTCTATGTTATGGGACATCATCATTTACTAGTTTATTTACCCAGTTTCCTATTGTTGGACATTTGGGTTGTTTAGACTTTTTCCACCATTACTAATAATGCTGTGGTGATTAACAGCCTTTGCACTCATCCATGATTCTTTCCCCCCAGGGCTTATCAGATGATTCTCTGGAAAGGGTGTACATATTTTTAAGGTTAAAAAAACTCATGTCACTAAATGGCCTTCCCAGAAAGACTCTGTCAGTTTGCAGTATATGTGACAGCACCTCATACTTTTTAAGGTGCTGCCTCAGTGGCTTCTCAGCACAGCCCTGTGTGATAAGCAAGGCAGATATGATGACTCATCTTTTGGAAACTGAAAAAAGTCAAGTGCAAAGAGATACCTTCAGGGAACTTAACAAAGTGAGTTGCCATAGAGAGACACTGAATGTGATAAAACAATTAAATGCTGGGAGACAGTTAACAAAACAAAAAGCTATGGTAGCTGCTCTGAAGCTCCTGAGAGAAATTAGGTCTCAGGGACAATTGTCTGTTAAGTGTTTGGCAATCAAATCATGTCATCAGCATGCAGGAGAAAGCATACCTTTCTGTTTTCTGTCTTGAGAGCAAGCACTTGGGGAGGCAGGAGTCCAGCTCATCCAAGATTCCAGAATGGATAACTGATTTAGCCAAGGCCACTCAGAGAGTTAGTGGCCGACTCAGAATGGAAAGCCAGGTCTTCTGACTCCCAGACCAGTGCTCTCTGACAAACAATGTGCCTCTCCAAGATACCTGGGCTCTGGCCATTGACCAAGTCACTCAAACTTCTGTAGTTGTCTAGACTAGAGCAATGATCTGGGGATCTTATTAAAATGTAGATTCTGATCCAGTCTGTCTGGAGTGGGGCCTGAGGTTCTGCCTTTCTAGCAAGTTCCCAGGTGATTCCTATGGTCCAAACCACTCTTAGAGTAGCAAGAAGCTAGAGATGGCTCAGGTTAAAGACAAGGCAAGTGACCTAGATAAAGACATGGCTTATTGGCAAATAATACAGCATTTTAAATGCTGATGATGGAAAGGGTGTTCTTGGTTGTTATGAGCCTTAAAATAAAGGTCTTGTCCCTCTTCTGCCAGAAACACCCTGACATGAGACCAAATCAACAGGCCAAAGGAAAGCCTAGGGCCATGGTGGCAGAGGGCGTTTCAGATACACCCACCAACAGCACAATTGGCCCCTTCATTATGAGGAAGAAGCCGCAGCAAGGCAGCCAGAATAAAAGCCACTTTGTTTAACATTCCAAAGGCGTTCCCAGTGTCCCCCAGAGTCCTCATTAATTACCTGGAGAATTACCAAGGGGTTCTTGGACAGGATGAGAGCCTCCTTCCACTGCAACTCACCACCCCTCATGACACTTGGATGACGAAAAACAGCACTTGATGAGGTGAGAAGAGGAATGGAGCCAGGACACGGAAGCAGAAGGGCATTGACCTGTGAGATTTCCAATGCACAGACATGGCTTGCTCTTTCTCAAGCAGAGGCAAAGGATGTCGGTGCTATTGACAGTCCTGGGCATGAATCTTTCGGACTGCAAATGGTAAAGATTTTCAACACTTGGGGAGTAGGCCAGGGAGGGACGTTTGGTGCCACGGAGGAGTGATGGGACTGGGCCCAGGCAGGGCTCAGCCTTGGGCCAGGGAAGGAGCATTGTGCGTACTCACTTGTTTCTTCGGATTTGGAACCAGGAAATGCTGGCATTAAAGCTAGAACAACAGAATCACAGGAAAAGATCTTAGAGGTTACAGAATCCTGACATTTTAAAACCAAGCTCCCTGGAGCTCTACAGAGTCTGTGTGAAGGTGTTTTAGGGACTGCTCTTTAGAGTGAGGTCTATGAGGATGTGGGGCTGCCCTTCCATTCTGGAATCCCTTTGTATCTGTCTTATACATTGGGACTCAGAATGTGATTTATTTCTGTAAAGGGTCTTGCACTTAAAAATTACTGTTTTGGCCCAGTACAGTGGCTCATGCCTGTAATCCCAGCACATTCGGAGGCTGAAGCAGGAGGATCATTTGGTCCTGGGAGTTTGAGACCAGCCTGGGCAGTATAGTGAGACCACATGTCTACCAAAAATTAAAAAAAAATTAGCCAAGCATGGTGGTGCGTGCCAGTAGTCCCAGCTGCTCAGGAGGCTGAGTGGGAGAATCGCTTGAGCCTGGGAAGCAGAGGTTGCAGTGAGCTAGGATCATGCCTTTGCACGCTAGCCCGGGTGACGGAGTGAAACACTGTCTCAAAAAAAAAAATTGCTGTTCTTTTCTGACCTGTTTATTTTATAGCTCAGAAAAGAAAGATGGCTTTTTAAAGACTTACAGCTCATTCGTGACATAACACTGTGCGTTCTCCCCAACAGGGTGTGGTGATACCAAGGTACTCTAGGTTAAACAAGACCCTAAACACCATGTTAGATTCTTTCCCCTTAGAGCAGACTACTTGTTTTGCTTCATTTTTGCAGTTTCAACCCCTCCAAAACTCAAGCTAATGCCCAGATTTCCAATATTCCAGTGACACCATGGTCTAGAAAGAGGACTGGCCTCAGGTCTGGTAGCGGGATTTGCCTGTGTGGTGTGATATGTGTGGGCCTCAGCCGGCCCCCAGTAAATTCTCATCTAACAGGAATTCCCACTATGGGTTACGCCAGCAGTTTTCAAATGAACTCAGGTGCCAGTGCAGCTGAGGAAAGAATTCTTGAGTGCTTAATTCCATCACACAAATGAGAAGCAACTTACCAAGTCTGAAAGCTAATTGTATGATAAGCACACAGTAGAACATTTTAAATCACACATACTGTGTTAGTTGCTAAGACCAGTTGCACATATTTTGGTTCTCTGTATCCTTTGATAAGGTATGGTCACATAACATGTTTTAGCCAAAGAAACCTAAGCAGAAGCTTTCAAAGTCAGTGTATGATCATCTTCATCTCCTTCCCTATGGTGCAGTGTTCGTGAAAGTCCACGCTGAGGTGGAGTCTCTGTTCACTGGAGTCCCAGGGTTGCTATGAGGTGTACAACCCTTCTGCCAACCCACATCAAACATACAGTGTGGACAAGAAATACATTTTTGTTTGTTTAAGTAATATTTTGGAGTTTTGTTACCACAGCAAAACCCAGCCTATCCTAACTGATACAGACATTTATCAAAAATAAACCAATGAGCTGTTAAATGGGACATTACGGATTTTGTCTTAACTCTTTTCTTTTCTTTTCCCTTTCTTTCTTTCTTTCCTTCCTTCCTTCCTTCCTTCTTTCTTTCTTTCTTTCTTTCTTTCTTTCTTTCTTTCTTTCTTTCTTTCTTTCTCTCTCTCTCTCTCTCTCTCTCTCTCTCTCTCTTTCTTTCTTTCTTTCTTTCTTTCTTTCTTTCTTTCTTTCTTTCTGAGACAGAGTCTTGCTCTGTCACATAGGCTGGAGTGCAGTGGCATGATCTCAGGTCACTACAACCTCTGCCTCCTGGGTTAAAGCAATTCTCCTGCCTCAGCCTCCCAAGTAGCTGGGACTACAGGCCTGCACCACCACAGTCAGCTAATTTTTGTATTTTTAGTAGAGACAGGGTTTCACCATGTTGGCTGGTCTTGAACTCCTGACCTCAACTGATCCGCCCACCTTGCTTCCCAAAGTGCTATATTATTCATCTCTAAGTTTGGAAGTCTTGTACCAAAGAGCTATGTGATTGGAGAATTTAAAACTGTATAGGAGGCCGGGCGCAGTGGCTCACGCCTGTAATCTCAGCACTTTGGGAGGCCGAGGCGGGTGGATCATGAGGTCAGGAGATCGAGACCATCCTGGCTAACAAGGTGAAACCCCGTCTCTACTAAAAATACAAAAAATTAGCCGGGCGCGGTGGCGGGCGCCTGTGGTCCCAGCTACTCGGGAGGCTGAGGCAGGAGAATGGCGTGAACCCGGGAAGCGGAGCTTGCAGTGAGCCGAGATTGCGCCACTGCAGTCCGCAGTCCGGCCTGGGCGACAGAGCGAGACTCCGTCTCAAAGAAAAAAAAAAAACTGTATAGGAAAAAATACATATATTAAATGGACAATGATTGTAGATGAACTGATGAAAGCTTATAATCTTACATGCATTAAAATAGACCACAAAGATGGTGCAACATATCATGACAAAATCAATATTTGATGCATGATAAATTAGTATCAGTGGAGTCTGAACCATTAATTTCTATTTATCATCTTTATCCAAAAGGACCTTTTGGGGATTATTCTCCTTCACATGCTAAGAGGCTTCTTTTTTCTGAGTCTGGTCATCTATTTCAGACTCCATGTCTTTCTCATTCAATGACAAGAGGTGGCAGGCATCCATCTCGATTAGTCCTCGCTGGTACCAGAGAACTAAAATAATTTGGATTTTTGAGATTGAAATTATTTTGTGCAACCCATATTTAATTTTTCTCTCATACTGTCTTGTAGCTATACAACCCTAGCTCTGTTCATGCTAATGTCACACTTGCTTTTTATCTGGCTTTCAGCTAACTCATTGCCAATTCTAGTTCCATTTTCACACATTTGCATGGCTCTAAATAATTGAATCAGCCCTAAGTCTTAATTCTAAATTTCCGAGAGAGATAGAAAGAGAATCAGATTGGCCCAGCTTGGGTCAGATGTTTACAACTATAATTGATTATAGTCGGGGGAGGATCACATGGCACATAAAGAGCAGGATGAAGGACATTAGGACTCTCAGGCACAAAGGAACTTGTATACTTAGCAGGAAATGTTTGTGGTTTCCAAAAAAAAATTTACAGAAGCAAAAGACATATTCTTGAATTCCATGTGTGGATTGGAAGATGCTATTGTTTCATTTGTTACTTGCTTATTCTGTTGACTTTTAGCAGTCACTAGTGGAAAACAGCCATGCATGCCAAAAATATAAGAAAAATTCATTGGAGAACTTAAAGTAAAATGTTATCCACCAACTAATTTTTGCATAAAAAAAGATTTTTAAAAAGTATTTTTGTGGCCTAACACTTTGGGTTGGCCTGTAGAATATCATGAAGTACTGAGTTAGATAAAAAAGGAAGAGCATTATCTTCATAAGCCCCAAGTGATCATGAGTGTAGGGATAAAGCTGAGGTTCTGATCCTTTGTTATTCATTAGAATCATCAGGGGAACTGAAAACAAGATAATATCTTCACATACTCACCAGAATGGCTTAACAATAAAATTGATGATAGCAAATGTTGGTGAAGATGTGGAATAACTGGAACTCTCACACAATTCTAGTATAGGGGGTATAATTGGTACAATCACTTTAGGTAACTGTTTCACAATATCTGTTAAAAAAGAATGTAGGCATATGCAGTCACCTGAAATTCCATTCCCAAGTGTTTATTCAAAAGAAATGCATATAAGATGTTCATCAAAATATATCTACTGGAATATATACCATTTGTAATAGCCCCAAGCTGGAAACTACCCAAATATCCATCAACAATAGAGTAGATAAACAAATTGTAGTCACACAATGGAATATTATACTGCAATAAGAGTGAAAAAACTATGACCACACCAAACAGTGTGGATGAATCTCACAGACATAATTTTTGGCAAAAGAAATCAGATGTAAAATAGGACATTTTGTATATTCTATTTATATAAGGTACAAAAATAGACAAAAGTAATCTATATATTGGAAATCAGGGTAATGATTATCTTTCGTGTGAGTTTTAGGTTCTGGAGATCTTTTGTTTCTTGATCTGGGTTCATGAGTATGGAAATTCATTAATGTGTACATTTATAATTCACTTTTCTGTATATATGTTATGTTTTATCTTAGTCTGGGCTGCTCTAACAAACTACTTTAGACAGGGTAGTTTTTAAACAAGAGAAATTTATTTCTCACAGTTCTGGGGGCTGAGAAGTCTAAGATCAGGGTGCCAGCAGATTCAGTATTGGTGAGGGACTGTTCCTCATGAATGCCTTTTCTGTGTCTTCACAGGGAGAAAGGGCAAACAGCTCACTCAGGCCTCTTTTATAGGGTTACTGTCTTAGTCCATGTACTGTTGCCTAAGGCTGGGTAATTTGTAAAGAAGTTTATTTGGCTCACAGTTCTACAGGCTGTACAAGAAGCATGGCACCAGCATCTGCATCTCGTAAGGCCTTAAGTTGCTTCCATTCATGGGGGAAGGCGAAGGGGAGCCAGTGTGTGCAGAGATCACATGGTGAGAGAGGAAGCAAGAGAGAGGGGGAGGGGCCAGGATTTTTTTAACCATCAGCTCTTGTGGGACCTAATAGAGTGAGAACTCACTTGTTACCATAAGGATGGCACTAAGCCATTCATGAGGGATCCAACCCCACGACCTAAACACCTCCCATTAGGCCCCACCTCCAACACTGGTGATCAAGTTTCAACATTTGGTTTTGGGGGACAAACATCCAAACTATAGCAGTCATTAATCCCATTCATGAGCCCTCATGATTTAATCACC
Source organism: Homo sapiens (assembly GCF_000001405.40). NCBI lineage: Eukaryota > Metazoa > Chordata > Mammalia > Primates > Hominidae > Homo > Homo sapiens. The sequence goes on along the minus strand of NC_000010.11, from coordinate 91,570,150 downwards.
TTCTAAAGGCCCCACCTCTTAATACTATCACATTAGTGATTATGTTTCAACATATTAATTTTATGAGGACACATTCAGACCATAGCATACTTTGATAAAAATCTTTTTAAAAATTAGTGATGTCTGGACGCCACTCTAGACAAATTGAATCCTCTGTGGGGATGTGAAGCCCACATACAATACTTTACAAAGCCCCCCAGGCAATCTTCATATACAGCAAGAGGTGAGAACTGCTGGTCTAGTGGAAGGAGCCTAGGAACAGGGAAACCTGGATTTAGATTCTGGCTCTGTTGCCAAATTGTGGAGTGGCCACAGGCAAATCACCTCCTGCTCTGGGCCTTGGTTACCAGGGGACTTAGCAGATGACTGATTCCTACCAGTCCTATAAGACATTACCATGACTCTGTTAGTCAAACAGATTAGTTGACATTAATAGGTTCTGAGGGGATATGATGGTTCAATTTTGTGTGTCAGTTTCACTGGGCTAAGGGATGCCTAGATAGTGAGTAAGATATTATTTCTAGGTGTGTCAAATGCTATTCTCTTCCAGAAAAGAATAGCATTTGAACTGGTAAATTGAGCAAAGTAAATGGCTCTCACCAATGTGGGTGTGGGGCAGGAGAATAGGGTCTGGAGGCAGGGAACCTAAGGCTGTTTCACACTGACTTCCTAGAACTAAATTGAAAGGAAAACCCTAACTTTCCACGCCTAAATAACAAAAGGACCAGAAGTTACTTCCTTTGACTTTTTCTTGTGGCAGATGGCAGATGGGAGATTGGCTGTCTGCAACAAATCATACTAAGTGGGGGTTAGGTCTTTGTTTGCAACTTTGTAACTTCACTCCAGCCTCTGAATGGTTGCTGTCCACAACTAATCAGACTGATGGCGGGCTACCACTTCATTACATGAGGTGAACATGAAGTGGCCGATGGGAAACTTCTAGGGGATATTTGAACCCACGAAGATTCTGTATCTGGGCCCTTGAGCTGCTGCTCGGGTCTGCTCCCACACTGTGGAGTGTACTTTCGTTTTCAATAAATCCCTGCTTTCATTCTTGTATTGCTTCATTTATTCTTTGCTTTGCTGAGCTTTTTGTCCAATTCTTTGTTCAAAACACCAAGGACCTAAACAACTTGCAGTCACAACCCTCTATTGGTGACAAGTGGGCATCATCCAATCCACTGAGGGCTTGAATAGAACAAAAAGGTGGAAGAAGGGCAAATTTGCTTTCCCTTCTTCCACTGAGATGTACATTTCTCCTGCCCTTGGACATTAGAGCTCCTGGGTCTCTGCTTTCAGACTGATACTAGGATTTACACTCTCCCTGACTCCATCCCCTCAATTCTCAGGTCTTTGGATTCAAACAGAATTACAGTATTGACTTTCCTAGTTCTTCAGCTTGCCAATGGCAGATGGTGGGACTTCACGGCCTCCATAATCGTGAGCCAATACCTAAAACAAATCTCTAAAATATTAAATACATCTATATATATTTTACTGGTTCCACTTATCTAAGAACCTTGAATGGGGGGATATGATGAAAAAACAGATTTGATGTGAAGGTGTGTGTCAGGATTATGCTCTTGCTGTTTACTGGCCCAGCAACACAATGGCATGTCTAGGCTGGGTGGTGTCAGAATGAGAGATGTACAGAGGATATGGGAACCTATCTTAGTTTCATTCACAATTTTTCCTGGAGGTGGAGCCAAGTGGAAATTAAATTCACTTTTTTTCAGTTCGACTTCATTATCCCTTTGGAACAGGCTATGAATAACCCAGGAAATTAAGTTGGAAAAAAATCAGAGCTTGATGGAATACTATAGATTATTTGGTTCAGGAGTTCACAACCATTTTAATGAGATCTCCCCCACTTTTCTCAAATTAAATTTATGCAGAATCAAATTTATACCCAAATAACAAAGACGAATGGATTCCCAGGAAGTTAGAATTTTCATTTTTTAGTGAAAAATATTTCTTGAGGAATCTCTAGTATCATAGAACAACTTATGTGGTACAACTTTCCAATTTCATAATTGGGCAATTGAAGTTCAAAGAGGAGAAATGACTTGCCTCAGTCACGTATTAACTAGTGATAGAGACAGAAACAAACCTTAATGTTCTGACTCAGCGATTCTTTTACTCATTCAGCAAGCATCTGCTGAGCCTCTACAAGTTCCTAGAACTGTGCCAGGTTTGGGGGATCTGATGGTGAACAAGCTACAGTGAGTCCTGCATCTGTACCTTGTGACTGGGGTCTAAACTGATGTCCGTCACCTTCATCTCTGATTATCCCATGGGCAGAGTCTGGCTCTCCATAGTAACCCTTGGAATGGCATCTATGGCACTTGGTACAGTGGGACTCTACAGAGACCCTCTTCTCTGAAGATGGGATGGGGATAATTCAAGAAAGGCTTGGCTGCAGGAGGTGTTGATGTGTGGGAATGGCACCATTCCAGGTTGTCCATCACTGAAGGGTGTTACACAGCCTGGGCACCAATACCAAGAAATGGTTGAGCTGTACAGAGAGCTCCGAGTGACCACAGCAGGGCAGCACTCTCAGATCCAGGGTCATAGTATTTGGTTCTCCTGTGTTCAGTGGATACTTCCAAAGTATGACACTGTGAGTCGTGTGGTGTAGCGTAGCAGGTAATGGCGCTGTCTTTGGAGTTACTTGGTTTGCAGCCTGGATCTCCATTTTTTGGCTTTTTAGTCTTAGGACATGTATGTCGCCTCTCTGAATCTCATCTGTAAAATGATGACAATGGTTTTTGCCTCGTGGGGTTACTGTGAGGCCTAAATAAAATAAGCCATTCCTGGGACACAGAAAGTTAGCTATTCATTCAATAAATCTTTACTGTGGGCCTACTATGTGCCAGGTCCTGAGGATCTCATGATGAACAAAGTCTCTGCCTTCATAGGGCTTACATTTTAGTAAAGAGGAAACACAACAAACAAACAAATCATAACAATAATAGCTAACATGTATTAAACATTTTCTATGTGCCAGTCACTGCTCTAAGTATTTTCATGAATTATTCTATTTTTGTCCTCACAAAAATCCCTTGAGCTACATAAAATTATTACCTGCTTACAAATATGAAGCGGAAGCTCAGGGAGTTAGTAATTTGTCCCAGATCACACAGCTAGAAAGTGTTGAAGCCAGGCCTTGGATCCCGACAGACAATTAGACATCAAAGCTTGCTCTTAAGTGTTAGGAAGAAAATAAAGCCAGGAAAGAGGAGAGGCTGAGGGGTGTACCCATAGCGGGTAAGGGAGGCTAGGGAAGGACTCTGAGATGGTGACATGAAGCTGGGAAGGTCATAGTCGGCAGAGGGAGGGGCTGATGCAGAGAATCCGAGGCAGGAATGAGCTAGACTTGTGTGGAGCTGCAGGAAGGTCAGTCTAGCTGGGTGCAGTGGTTCACGCCTGTAATCTCAGCTACTCAAGAGGCTGAGGCAGGAGGATCACTTGAGCCCAGGAGTTTGAGACCAGCTTGGGCAACACAGCAAGACCCTGTCTCAAAACAAACAAACAAACAAACAAACAAACAAACAAACACACACACAAAAAGAAGGCCAGTCTAGTCAGACTAGTGACCAAGGGGAGAAGGGTGTGAGAGGTTGAAGAGTTGTTAATATTGATTAACTGCTAGTAGTTTACAGCCACTATAATCATAGGTCTTGCTTCTCCCTTTAGCCTGTGAGGCAGGAACCTATTTGTGTGTGCCCACAGGGCCCAGCTCTATGCTGTGGTCATAGCAGGTATTTAATATCTTTTTTTTTGTTGTTGGGAAAAACATGGGCCATGCTGAAAGCAAGAGAAGGCTTTGCATCCTGACCCTGTCACCGGCTAGCATGCGTGGGCAGCTCACTTTCTCTCTCTGAATCTGCTTCCTTATTTGTCCAATGAAAAAGGTCACATTTCCCTTTATAGAATTTTGTCAGAATTAAGAGAGATAATGTGTATATAAAATAGCCACCGCATTGTAGACAATCAATAATGATTACTTCTTAACCCTTCTTCTCCTAATGCTGTGATCTCTTATCCTTAGAACCACCCACCAATCACTCCCAAGACATTTCTCTTTTAATTCCATGAATGGCTTGAAAAACTGGACCATCCTGACTCCCCAGATGATGTCTATGGACAAAAGTGTCCTCTCCCTTCATTGTCTGGGTTCCGTGGAAGCTTGGCGTCAACACGCCCTTAGCCAGTCCTTGCTCCAGGTATCCTTTGCAGGGACCACCTTGACAGCAAGCTAAGATTTCAGAACTGTGCATTGCTTCAAAGGTCTCACTCTCAGCCCACAGATGCCAGCCAACTCAGCCCCAGGAAGGAACTGGGGGGACCTCTCACTAAGAGGAGAGCCAGGCTGCAGCCCTCCCCTGCTGGCTGGGAGCCCACCAAGGTGGGCAGTATAATTTAGCTTCCCCTCCCAACTGGCTCCTTATAAGAGACCTTGTGTTCCCTCTGCTAGACACAGGATTCTGATGTTAGCTCTGGGTCAGTTCTTTGATGATAACATTACCCAGGACACCCTCAAATGGGAGGCTACCTCTTTCACCATTGGTCAGTCCCACTTCCAGTCACTAAAGGAAAGTAGGCCTTTTCCTTCTTTAGTCTGTGACCTAAGAGCTAAGACATGGCTCCTTGTTCCTCCATCCCCCTTAAACTAGTTTTGCAGTGACTCTTCTAAAGCATATGACCCAGAGCTAAATTTTACAACCCTGTGAGGAATTTCAGGGTATATGTGATGTGCAGAAAGGCAATTTGCAGGCATGTGCCAAAGTCTAGCTTGGCCCAGCTGTATGCATTCTACTCATTTCCCAGTCTGGCCAGCGAGTTTGCTCAGCTCCAGCTTATGGTGAAACTGAGTCTTCTCTGGCTGGAGCTCAAGTTCAGGTCTTCCGCAGTCACTAAGTGCTATTGGTTCCTTCTCCTGGATTCTGTACTCACTCACTTGGAAATCTGTAATATTTCCTCAACCAAGGCCACCTTAAGCCAGGGGAATATTTTACTGATGTTGAGTATCTCCCCTTCTCACTCAACTTAAAATAGTTATCTTTTCTACAGGCAGGTACCCACTTACTCCCAGACATACTTTTTTCTTTTACTTCTTCATTCAAAGAGGAATTTATGTTTATAAAACAATTGTATATTAAGATTATTGTTAGTCTCAGCAAAAACAGGAAAAATCCACAGTGTTAATTGAACCTGACTACTTACCACGTCATATAGCAGTTGCTGTATAAATACAGCAGTTGCTGTATTTATGGAATTGAATTAATTTTTTGACGAATATATCAGGTTACATACTTTTCAGAAATCCAACCCAATCCTTAGTGTGCATGTCTCAGCTAAGATGCTTTCAGCTTTATCACTTGCAAGTACTTCTGTCTTTTTTGAGATAAGGTCTTTTCTGTTCCCCAGCCTGGAGCTCAGTGGCATAATTATAGCTCACTGCAGCCTCCAACACCTGGGCTCAAGCAATCCTGCTGCCTGAACCTCTTGAGTAGCTGAGACTACAGGCATGTGCCACCGTGCCTGGCTATTTTTTTTTTTTTTTTAGTGGAGACAGTGTCTCACTGTGTTGCCCAGGCTTGTCTCGAACTCTTGGGCTCATGTTGTCCTCCTGCCTCGGCCTTCCAAGGTGCTGGGATTATAGGGGTGAGCCACAATGCCCGGCCAACTTGCTAGTACTTCTGTAGGAAGGCAGGAGACCCGTTTTCATAGTCCTTTCAAATGGAAGAGGTGGTAACTGGCTAGAGAGCAGAAAGAGGTAACAGTAATGAAGGCAGAGCTTGCGCTGCAATTTGAATAAAGTTGCAACCTTATTTATCATCCACCAGATTAACTGTAAGAGGGCAAGTGGGGTACTGCAGTGCCCTGTGCCGCCTGGCCTTCTAGTGTTCTAGCTGCAGGCCCAGCGCACTGGCAACTGTCACACTGACTAACATAGACCAATATAGAATCCTCTAGCTTGGCAGGCTCTGGAGACAGAGGCTGTGGCCTTTTAAGCTTTGCATACCCATTGCCTGGACCTGGTACATAATTGGTGCTCAATAAGTATTTGTTCAATAAATGAACAAATTGAGATATGGACTATATATATAAATGCTATAGGAATTTTAGAAGAGATATTATTGTGGACTTTCTCTAGACCTTGAACCTGAGATTGCTGTGCAATAAATTACTGTGTAGGAAACAACCTACAGAAACCACAACTTAGAGTAGAAACTGCCAGCATTCCTTTGAGAAGATGGACACACTGGGTTACCTTGGTTTATGAAGAGTTGCTCAAATGGTGTCTCTTAGTTAAGCAAATATAAGAAGACACCTATTGGTCTGGGAAAAAGATGTAATGGGGACTTACTTTCTTTTGTGGCTTAACAGCAACTGCTTCTCCCTTTGGTTTGCAGTGTGCAGAAGTTGGGTTGACTTGCATAAGAGGCTCAGGATTTTTCTGGGTAGGAAAGTACAGGAGCACAGGCTCCTTTTATGGAGTTTGGAAGTGAGAGGAATGTCACGAGTGTATCCTGGGGTAGCCAAGACCTTGGAATGATTGGCAGAAAATTACTCTAATGTCTTCAGAGTGGGAGTTACTGTGGGGGAAAAGGGTGTCTGGCTTTGTGACTTGGGCTTAACCCAAACCCTAATGATGATTGTGGGAGCCACCAGCATCAAGCTCTGGGCACATGGCATAGCATACAGGTGTGATTAGAGGAGCTGAAACCTGCAAACTGGGTCAGGACCCGGGCCAAGGGCATAACCACAGGGCAGACAAATGTCCTAAGCTAGCAAAGGCAGGGCTTCAACTGCATGAGGCAGCAGGAAGCAATGGCAGTAGTGACCAGATTAGATTTTTAAGTTGTCATTTCATTTGACAAAAAGAAGTCCCTGGAATTCTTATACAATTTTGAGAGAACAGAAAGAGGGAAACATAGTTCTAATAGGCACATATAGGACCTCCAAAAGTGAACTGAAAAACAAAGTGTGACTATGTTTGTATCCCAAGCTAGTGAAGTAGGTCATACCAATTACAGGTTGAGAAACAAAGGAACTTTGTCACACAGGAGGCACCAAATGAGCAGAGGGGTGGAGATGGAAATAAGTCTGCTGTGTGGTTTGTGAGGGACCCACAGTGAGAAGGGTCAAGTTGGCAGTGGTCAGATGGTCAGATATGAGCTTGTGTGGGTAAACGAATGATATGGTTTGACTGTGTCCCTACCCAAATCTCATCTTGAACTGTAGTTTCCAAAATCCCCATGTGTCATAGGAGAGACCCAGTGGGAGGTAATTGAATTATGGGGGCAGTTACCTCCATGCTGTTCTTGTGATAGTGAGCAAGTTTTCATGAGATCTGATGGCTTTATAAGGGGTTTCCCCCCTTTTGCTCTGCACTTCTCCTTGCTGCTGCCATGTGAAGAAGGATGTTTTTGTTTCCTTTTCTGCCATGTTTGTAAGTTTCCTGAGTCTGCCTCCTCCACAGCCCGGCAGAGAAAATTAAACCTCTTTTCTTTCAAAATTACCCAGTCTTGGGTATGTCTTTATAGAAGTGTGAGAACAGACTAATACAGTAAATTGGTAGCAGGTAGTGGGGTGCTGCTGTAAAGATACCTGAAAATGTGAAAGTGACTTTGGAACTGTGTAACAGGCAGAGGCTAGAACAGTTGGGAGGGCTCAGAAGAAGACAGGAACATGTGGGAAAGTTTGGAACTTCCTAGAGACTTGAAGGGGCTCAGAAGACAAGAAGATGTGGTAAAGTTTGGAACTTCTTAGAGATTTGTTGAATGGCTTTGACCAAAATGCTAATAGTGATATGGACACTAAACTCCAGGCTGAGGTGGTCTCAGATGGAGATGAGAAACTTGTTGGGAACTGGAGTAAAGGTCACTTTTGCTATGCAAAGAGACTGGTGGAATTTTGCCCCTGTTCTAAAGACCTTTGGAACTTTGAACTTGAGAAAGATGACTTAGGGTATCTGGCAGAAGAAATTTCTAAGCAGCAAAGCATTCAAGAGGTTACAGAGCATAAAAGTGGAAAATTTGCAGCCCAATGGTGCAGTAGAAAAGAAAAAAACCCATTTTCTGGGGAGAAATTCAAGCTGGCTACAGAAATTTGCATAAGTAATGAGGAGCCAAATGTTAATCACCAAGACAATGGAGAAAATGTCTCTAGAGCATGTCAAAGATCCTCACGGCAGCCCCTCCCATCACAGCCCTGGAGGAAAAAATGGTTTCTTGGGCCAGGCCCAGGGCCTTGCTGCTTTGTGCAGTCTTGGGACTTGGTGCCCTGTCCCAGTGTGGCTAAAAGGGGCCAACATACAGCTGAGGCCATTGCTCCAGAGGGTGCAAACCCCAAGCCTTGGCAGCTTCCACAGGGTGTTGGGCCTGTGTGTGCACAGAAGTCAAGGACTGAGGTTTGGGAACCTCTGCTTAGATTTTAGAGGGTGTATGGAAACACCTGGATGTCCGGGCAGAGGTGTGCTCCAGGGGTGGAGCCCTAATGGAGAACCTCTGCTAGGGCAGTGCGGAAGGGAAATGTGGGATCAGAGCCCCCATACAGAGTCCCCACTGGGGCACTGCCCATTGGAGCTGTAATAAGAGGACCATCGTCCTCCAGACCCCAGAATGGTAGATCCACTAACAGCTTGCATCATGCGCCTGGAAAAGCTGCAGACACTCAACGCCAGCCATGAAAGCAGCTGGGAGGGGGGGCTGTACTCTGCAAAGCCACAGGGGTGGAGCTGCCCAAGGCCATGGGAGGCCACCTCTTGCATCTCACGTGACCTGGAGGTGAGACATGGAGTCAAAGGAGATCGTTTTGGAGCTTTAAGATTTGACTGCCCCATTGGATTTTGGACTTGCATGGGGCTTGTAGCCCCTTCATTTTGGCCAATTTCTCCCATTTGGAATGGGTGTATTTACCCAATGCCTGTAACACTATTGTTATCTAGGAAGTAACTAACTTGCTTTTGATTTTGCAGACTCATAGGCAGAAGGGACTTGCCTTGTTTCAGAGGAGACTTTGGACTTAGACTTTTGAGTTAATGCTGGAATGACTTAAGAATTTGGGGGACTGTTGGGAAGGCATGATTGTGTTTTGAAATGTGAGGACATGAGATGTGGGAGCGGTCAGGGGAGGAATGATGTGGTTTGGCTATGTTCCCACTCAAATCTCATCTTGAACTGTAGTTCCCATAATCCCCATATGTCGTGGGAGGGACCTGGTGGGAGGTAGTGGAATCATGGGGGCGGTTACCTCCATGCTGTTCTCATGACAGTGAGTGAGTTCTCATGAGATCTGATGGTTTTATAAGGGGTTTTCCCCCACTTCACTCTGCACTTCTCCTTGTTGCCGTCTTGTAGAGAAGGATGTGTTTGCTTCCTTTTCCACCATGATTGTAAGTTTCCTGAGGTCCACCCCCGCCCAGCCCTGCAGAACTGTGAGTCAATTAAACCCCTTTCCTTTATAAATTTCCCAGTCTCAGTATGTCCTTATACCAGTGTGAGAATGGACTAATACAATGAAGTTAGATTATGGATGGGTTATGGTGGTGGCAGACCAGAAATGTGGGCATTATTCCCAGAGGCTATGGCTTTTAGGGCATGTAAGCCCAAGCAGTAATTCTGATGGTGCCTTGAAGAATGAGTGGCAGGGGTAGGGGTCTGGAGGCAGGGAGGCCAGCTGGAGGTTTAGGTCCAGGGGATGGCTGCCTGATGCCTCGAGGGCATGGATTGAATTTTCGTCATCCCCAGTCCCCAGGTCTGATGCATAGTAAGTGCTTAAGAAAGACTTGTTGAATTGAATTACAAGAATGCTGTCACCAAGTGGGAAGCAATTTCTAGGTGGTAAATGGAGCTCCTGGTTTCAGAAACTGGGATACCCGGATTCCAAGTGCTGGCATTTCTTGTCTGTCTATGTGACGTGCAACTTATTTCACCTTGTTGGAATTTTAGTTTCTTTAGGTGTGAAGATCATTCAGCCATTCATTCACCAAGCACTTGTTGATCATAGCCAAGAACCACATATTGTGCTAAACTTGGGAGAATCAAAGAGGAACAATATGATATTCCTGTCTTTGAAGACTTTGTGATTTAGTTGGAGAGATACATGTACAAGAAAATCATTTATTACTGCATGGAGTGTGTTTTCATTGAGGGATGCACAAAGTGCAGTGGGATTGCAGAATGATCTCTAACGTGTATTTAGCACTTACCGTGTGTCAGGAACTGTTCAAAGTTCATGCAGGCATTTAATCCTCATAATAACCAATGAGGTAGTTATTTCTATGATCTCTATTTTCTGGAAAGGAAACTGAGGCACAGAGCTTAAGTAACTTTCCCATGTTTCCACATTTGATAGATGGGAAAGGGGCAACTAGCAGAGAGACTAGTACATGTAAAAGCGCAAGAGTCTGAAATAACATTTTGTTTGCTAGAACAGTACATGAGACTAGAAAAGAGTAGGGAACCAAAGCATAACAGGCTTTGAATGCTATATGAGAAAATTTGGCCTCTACCTAAGAAAGCTTTCCGGCATTTTCCAAAGTGTTTGGAGGAACTTAAGATCTGAGGAACGTTAATATAGTGTGTATTAGTCAGAAACAGACTACTGGCTCTGTTCTTCAGAGAACAGAAACAGAATCAATAAGTTATGTTTTTATGTACTTACTTGTTTACTCATCTTAAAGAATTACAGGTTGAAAAAGTCCAGATCTGCAGTCTGCAAGTTGCAGACCCAGGAGAGCCAATGTCCAGTTGCAGTCTGAGTCCAAAGGGCTGAGAACCATGAGAGCTGATGGTGTAAGATCCAGTCCAAAAGCCAGCAGGCTTGAAACCCAAGACGAGCTGATGTTTTGGTATAAGACTGAAGGTTAGAAAAGACTAATATCTCAGCTCCAGCAGTCAAGTGGGAGGAATTCCTTTTACTCAATCTTTTTGTTCTATCCAGGCCTTCAATTGATTGGATGAGGCCCACCCACATTAGGGAGGGCAGTCTGCTTCACTCAGCCCACCACTTCAAACATTACCACTTCAAATATCAACCTCATCCTGAAATACTCTCACAGACATACCCAGAATAACATTTGACCAAATGTCTGGGCACCCTGTGGCCCAGTCAGGTTGGCACATAAAATTAACCACCACAGGGTGTTAGGTGTAAAAAGGTGTCTACAGTTACAGTGAACAATGCTGGCTGCTTACCCATTCTCTTTGCCTTCCTAACAGAGCTCTAGTTTTGTTCAGGAATCTATTCTTCCTCCATGCAGCTTCATGCTTTTTTTTTTTTTTTTTTTTGTCAGTGATTGGTTCAGGAGTGGATATGTGACCAGATTCTGGCCAATGAGACTTGATTGTATACCAGGGAGCTTGCGGGAAACTTCTCTCCTAAGAGAGGCCACGTGAAGAAATGATCCTTCTTTTTCCTCTGTCAGGCCTGAGTGTGATGCCTGTAACTGTCATCCCACTAGTGGCCTGAAGATGAAGCTGACACTGAGGGTGCTAGAGTTGGAAAATATGGACACAAATCTCCCAAGCTTGTCCTACCTCTCTGAACATCTGCTTTGTAAAGCGTCACAAATAGTCCTTATTGTTTATTCCAGTTTTGAGTCAGGGTTTCTGTCACTTGTAGCTATATCCTACAGGATATGATCATAAAATAAGATTGGAGGCTTGGCTTAAGCAAAAATAAGGAGGCTTTTAAAATTCCAGGGCTTCTCACTCAGTGCAACAGCATTTATTATGCAGGTGTACTTTGCAAATATCCAAAGTTGGATATAACACACAGCATTTCCTAAACAGGTGTGACCCTGGAAACCTTTGTGGTGAACAATCCACGGTACTGATGTCCCACAGAAATACTCCCATAGGCAATGGGAAGACTTGGGAATCCTCAAAGTAGGCGGATGATAACATTACATGCTCAATAAAATCCCACCTTCCCCTCTCTAGCTGTATGAAGAATCGTGTCTCTGATGATCATAAAATGTAAGGGAACTCAGAAGTACCTCCCCAGAAAAAGATTGCAAGCCCTAACTTACTAGACTAACTGATTTCTTAGTCCCCTTCCAGTTCTCAAATTCTGCAGGGATTGTATAATTTGGTACATTCATCTCCGAGCATTGAACAAAGTTTCCCTTCCTGTTTTCAGTCACTTGCCAACATCTGTGAATGAAATTGGTGAGGCATATATGTATATATTCAACCAATTTTTTCTGGATTGAATTATTTAAAATAACCCACTAAATGAATCCCTGCTCAGTAGGTCTTTGACTTAAAACCACTCAGGCTCTGCCCACATTTTTTATTTCTCTGGCTCTTTTTTTTTTTTTTTTTTTTTTTTAAGTCAAACAGCCCTAGGGAAATGGCTTGAGGCTACAAAGGGCAGTTTTTAGAACGTTTTCTCTGCAGTTAGTGACAGGGTAGACAAATAGCATAAAATAGAAGGCTGTACTCCATTCCAGATGGGAAAAGTTGCTTCTGTTGCTTTTCTTGATTTATGTTAAATTCATCATGGTTTCAAACTGAAACCGCTTTGGCCCCTAAAAGCAACAGGGGGAAAAAAAAAAAAAAGGAAGAGAAAAACAATGCGACAGATCTCTATATGAAGTAATTGGACCCTTTAGAGATATAAACTGCAAATTAATTCTTTCTCCATACAATGGGAGTACTGGTAATTATTTCCCAGGATGGCACCACGGTTGTGTGAACTAAGAGACTTAGCAAACAGTACGGCTCTTGTGTGATGAGGCGGACACACGGCTGCTGTTTTCTGTCCTCATGTTTTACTGTGGTAAAGTCACCTTTGAGAACAACCTTGGCTCCAGAATGAGGGTGACTTAGTGTGAACTGGAAGCCATGAAAGAAACACTTTCTCTGTCACAGTCTCTCCTTTGTTAGAAAAAAACCCCATTCCTACCCCAAATCCCAAACCTCAAAGATCTTCCTTAGGTCTCCACTTTAATTCTTAAGAGTCCCATGCTGTTCAGCTTGGGTCTCACATTGACTCAGGGTTGCGCAACTCAGAAGTCCCTCAATTCTTTAACAGCTGACTGAGGCCAAACCAGTATGGGAGCTCCTTTGAAAAACCCAGCTAGGGCCAGGAAGGCCAGACAAGTGGACTTTCATTGCAGGTCAAGTATCGCATGTTTCTTCTGACCAGGTAATTATCGGTTATAGGACAAAGAGGAAGCCCGATTTATCAACAAAGTGAAATTAAAAATTAACATGCTCCTGTTTGCTCAACTGTAATCTTTGAATCAGTCAATATCTACAGGCTGTGCCAGTAACCTGATTTCAGGGCAGCTACAGAGTCTGCTCAGAGACCAGCCCAGTTAAACAGTTAAGGCTGAGATCAGTTGGGCAAGACTGGAAATGAAATATGTTTAGGCGATGAATACTCACAAAGTGCTTAGAGGTTTCTTGCTGGGGGCTGGTATTCGTGGTGCGGGTGTGCTGGGTTTGAGAGGACCCAGAGTCCCAGTCTTTCTGGATGATGTTTACTCCAGCTGTCCATCCCAATAAAGGCAGGGGCAGTAGGCAACACATTTTTCTTTTCTCTTCTCTTTTCTTCCTTTTTCTCTCTCCCTGGCCTACCATGGCAGGCCAATATGGCAGGTGGAGGTATGCGGGAGCTGGTCAGAGTTAAGAGTGATGGACTCGTAAGAGACTGAGGTGTAACCAGTTAGAACCTGGGGATTTGTTGCCACTCCCTACCTTCATTTTCGGGGGCTGAAGTAGATACTTAGTTATAATAAGTTTATTGAAAATATATCTATGAGCATAGTTTCTAGCACATCAAAGGTATTTAATAAATATTTGGGAAATGAAATAAAGATTGAATAATTGAACAAGGCTCACACAAGACTGGAAATCAGGGAACAGGAATATTAATTTACATTTAACCAATTATAAACAGTTTTTGATACCTACATCTATGTATCACTATCTCCTCTTTCTTGCCCTTGTTTACTTGTTTTCAACTTTACTTTCACTCTGTGGATGTATATAGAGTGCTCCTCAACAGGGGTGGGACACAGGGGAGTAGGAGGGAGTGGCAGGATATAATTTGGTCTGCTGGGGGACATTTATCAATGTCTAAAAGTATTTTTGGCTGTCACAACTGGGGGAGTGCTACTGGCATTTGGTGGGCAGAGGCCAGATATACTGCCAATCATCCTATAACAGAGAATTATCTGGTTCAAAATGTCAACAGTACAAGAGTGGGACAGGAGCATGTCACCAAACTGTTAATGATGATTACTTATGGGGAGGCCTGTAGAATAGCATTTTGGAAAACTTTCCACTTATTAAGTTTAATCATTTATATCTATTTTGGGGATTTTTAAAAACAACATGAGGGTATCACATTTGTAATCAGAATCAGTGAGAGAGGCATTGAAATATTTACTGGACATTTAGTATATCTCAGGTATTACCTAGATCCTGGGGATACAGCAGTAAGTAAATAGTAGATGCTGCACTAAGGGACCCAGTTCAACAGGAAAGATCAGACAAGTACTGACTTAGCAAGACAGGAAGTGCCCAGGGCCTGCTGAAATATTACTTTTTTTTTTTTTTAATTAAGAAGAAAAAGTGCTTGGTGTTCCCAGGTGTAGTTACTGAGCAGCATGGTTCCAAAGGACAGCAAAAGCACTTTACTGCCTTAGAAGGAGGGGAGGCTTTGCCAGGCCTATGAAACCCTCATCTGGATCTGGCCTCCAGGGCAGCCTCCTGCCTGCCTCTCTGGTGAGGCTCAGCTTCTGCTCTGCCTCACCAGCTCCCCTCCAGTTCCCCTCACTCTGAGGGTGCAGGGAGCAGGGTCCCACGGGAGCATTGGTGTGAGAGGGAGCTCCCAGCACCGAGGGAGAAGCAGGACTCACTGACCAAACCATGTGTTTGTGCTGGAAGGGCCTCACTGCAAACATGCTCATCTTATGGAAGAAGAAAGGAGGTTCAGAGAGGGAAAGGCTTGCCTGAGGTCACACGGTGAGTTAATGTCAGGGCGGGGCTGGCACACAGGTTGCCAATGCCTCAGCTTGGGGGTCTGCTGTTCTAGGATACCCCTTGCTTCTTATTGGGCTGACCGATTTCCTGCCTTCCCTTCCTTACCACAACAGCCTCCAAGCATGTCTGCCTGGCCCCGAGCTTGGTCCGTGTTCCCAGGTGATAGTTTTTACCCCTGAGGGTCTGAATGGGGGGTGGGGATACGACAAGAGCAGCCCACTCAGAAGCACAGCCTGGGCCAAGTGCACCATCTTAACCCTCCTATGGGAGTCAAGCCAGTGTGGTCTGGAAGCGGGGGTGTGAGGGGTAACCACACAGCAGTAACCTCATGTTTTGCAGGTTAGGGCTAGGGGCAGGGGCAGTGCCAGTATCAATAGCCTTGGGGATGATGTGGTGTGGGATGAGGTGGGGTGTGTGCACATGTATACAATGTGTCTGTGTTAGCATAAGTAGATGTGCTTATGTGCTTCAGCTATTAGGAAGAGTCAGACCCATATGTACTGAGTTGAAGAATCCCCCAGATACAGTGTTAAAGATGCAAATTGCTGAAAAACAAGTTTAGTAATAATCCTATTTTTAGATGTAACATTTTTTGATGAATGTTTATATATGTTTGCATCAGTACAGAGAAAGATACAGAAGGATATGCTGCAAACTGCTAACACTGATTATGTTAAGACAGGGTCCCCAACCCCTGGACCATGGACCAGTACTGGTCCTGGCCTGTTAGGAACTGGACCACACAGCAGGAGGTGAGCAGTGGGCCAGTGAGCATTACTGCCTGAGCTCCGCCTCCTGTCAGATCAGCAGCACATTAGATTCTCATAGGAGTGTGAACCCTATTGTGAACTGCACATGCGAGGGATCTGGGTTGCACACTCCTTATAAGAATCTAATGCTTGATGATCTGAGGGGGAACAGTTTCATCCTGAAACTATCCTCCACCAACCCCGCCATCCGTGGAAAAATTGTCTTCCACACAGCTGGTCTCTGATGCCAAAAAGGTTGGGACTGCTGTGTTAAGGGATTGAGATGATTACTTTTAAAAAAATCATCTCTGTAATATCTGGCCTATTACAGAGAGTCTGCCACCTTTACAATTAATAAAACATTTGAATAAAAAAGAAGAAAGTGTGTAATTATGTGTACACATGACTATGTTGATGTGTGTACATATGTCCATACGTGACTTTGTGTTTATGTGTGTTGCATATGTGTACATATGGGGGAGAGAGTCTCAAAGGAGAGCAGAACTTTTGGTACAAATTCCAGACACTGGTCACATCCTCCAACCTTTGTGCTTTGGAAAGAAACCTCAAGGGTGTACACCTACTTGAAAGTTTTGCCATAAACATCACCTGCCTTGCAGGTGTGGGCTGTTCTGGGGCTCCTGGCTTAACCAAATGGCCTTGGATAAATTACAAGTGGGAGAGGCTGCTTCCTTGCAGCCAAGACCACTGGTGGTTTAGAGCCTTCTCCAGGAAAATCCACAGCCCCTTGCACAGTGTTTGTGGAGTGCCTCCAGTGTGCAGAGCGCTGTGTGTGGTAGGAAATGGTTCTTCTGGGAGGCTAGCTGCTCAAAGGATGGGGCTTAGAAATCTCAGCCTGGGCCAGGTGCAGTGGCTCATGCCTGTAATCCCAGCACTTTGGGAGGCCGAGGCGGGTAGATCATGAAGTCAGGAGTTTGAGATCAGCCTGGCCAATATAGTGAAACCCCGTTTCTACTAAAAATACAAAAACTTAGCCGGGCGTGGTGGCACGCACCTGTAGTCCTAGCTACTTGGGAGGCTGAGGCAGGAGAATCGCTTGAACCCTGGAGGCAGAGGTTGCAGTGAGCCGAGATCATGCCATCGCACTCCAGCCCAGGTGATAGTTTGAGACTCCATCTGAAAAACAAACAAAGAAATCTCAGCCTGTGCTGGTCAGTTGCATTCTACAGGCAGAACCAGTTTCCTCCCCCCACCCCATTATTCCTGAGATCTAGATTTTGCAGGCACCAGGATTTATTAATTTACTTGACCATGGCTCAGCCAACTGGTTAAGGCTGGTTTCTATGCTGATCTGGGCTTTCAAATTCCCATCTACAGCTGCAGGAGTCCATTGAGACCAACTAGGGGGTTAGAATGACTTTTTCCTAATGTCAGGTGCGTTCCTGCGTGTGTGGATGTGTGTGCACACACCCATGCACACACATGTAAGAAGACAGCTCTGCCCCCTTGAGGAGACACAGCAGGGCTGACAGAGGGTTGTGTGCCCTGTACCTGGCCGCAGGCCTGAGCATACCCGCTCGCTTTGCGATAGAAGTGGATTATGCTAGCAGGCTCATGTTCTTCCTGCCCTAAATTTCGCTTCATCCCCTCTCTCCACAAGCTGGTTAGCAGCAGCTTGGGAGTTTGAAGAGCAAGAGGAGCTCCCTATGTGATCTGAACCCTTCTTTTTGGACAGGTTCCTGGGGATGCAGCTGGAGCCGGGCTGGTGGAAGCAGCAGGCCGAAGTGTTTTAGAATCTTCCTGAACCCAGCAAAGGGATGGGTCTGTCCTCCAAGCATTGGGGCAGGGGTTGGGGGGTGGGCAGTGGGAAGAAACTGTGGCTGCTTTTCCTGCAGAAGCCAGAAAGTTCGAATAGGAGAAGGAGGGGTAGAAGGAGAGAGGGAAAGAGAAAGAGAAAGGGGTGGGTCAGGGGGTGTGGAAGGAGAAGGAAGAATGGGGAGGAGAAACAGACACTCCTTCATGGAGATTTCCAAAAGGCCTGGGAGGGACCTTGCCAAGCCACTTCCTAACCATCTTGGGGTGTCAGCGTGAGGCTTAATGGGAACAAGGAGCATCTGTATGTGTCCTCAGCCTGCACAAGGGGAAATTCTGGTCTCCTAGGAAGAAAGCCCTGGAGCCAAGCCTCTTGGCCTCTGTGTCCACTCTCTGCATTTACTCTTCGAGCTCCGCTGTTCCTACCTTCATTTATGTTTCCGCAGTCTGTCCATCTTCGTTCTCGCTGACTCTCCTCTCCCGCCTCCAGTTGAAACTCAGGCTTCTGTTTCAGGGTTGGGGGTTCCTAGAGATTCTCCTTGTCTCTAGCTCCCCCTGCCCACCTCAGCGGGACCAAGGCCACACTACTGCCCAAGAGCCTGCATCAACTGCCAGTAGATGGCAGTCCTCATCAAATTCAAACTCCTCGCTCTGCCCTTCATCTGTTGTCAAGATCTTCTCTCCCTGGTCTTGTCCTATTCTCTGACCAGGCTTCCCTCTCCTTCCCCATGGAAGCCCCCAGCCAGTCTCCCTGGTGAGCCCTGAACATTCAGAGTTCATCTCTGCCTCTGTGCCTTGCTTTGCTGCCCAGGTCAGTTCCCACTCCCCAGCATTAGTCTAAAGCCAACTCATCTTCAAGTCCTGTCCCCAGGAAATGTCCCTGGTCACTTCAGCCTGACTACATCATTCCTTAATTCCCACTGCATGTACAGTTCAAAGCACCCACAGTTTTGCTTCTCACTGTTTTCGGTCTAGCTATATGTAGTCTCTATAAGGGCATGAACCATGCCTTTCACTTTCTTCGATCTCTGTCTCAGCCCCAGAACCCAGAAATATGATTATTGATTGATTAAAAATGGGCAAATTATAGCCAAAGAGATTCAGGGTAGGGAAAGTGCTTGAACAGGCCAGATATTCCTCCAAGGTCTTCTTGAGCAAAATGGCATTCTCTGGGGCTATTTTCCATGTTTGGCCATGCTGTGTTTTGCTAATACTATGGCAAACACTTGGGTGTTCAGTTGCATGGAGACGTTTGCATTTTCCCTTTCCACAGGCAGGCAGATGATTATTCAGGATGGGAAAACATCAGCATGGAAACAGATTTGTGGCTCAGCTCTCCTGCTCATTTTCTAATGTAAGAACAAATCAGTTGAGGCTGGGCACCATGGCTCATACCTGTAATCCCAGCACTTTGGGAGGCAAAGGCGGGTGGATCACTAAGCTCAGGAGTTTGAGACCAGCCTGGGCAACATGGTGAAACCCCGTCTCTACTAAAAGTACAAAAATTAACTGGGTGTGATGGTGTGTGCCTGTAGTCCCAGCTACTTGAGAGGCTGTGGTGGGAGGATGGGAGAATCACTTGAACCTGGTAGGCGGAGGTTGGAGTGCACCGAGATTGCACCACTGCGCTCCAGCCTGGGTGACAACAGAGTGAGACTTTGTCTCAAAATGAAACAAACAAAAAAAAGAACCAATCACTAAATTGATCAGGACTCCCTCCTCTCAAGACAATCCACTGAGCCTCCAGTATTTACAAACACAGGAGCATTCACCCTTCTTCAGAGGGCAAGCTTACTGGCCGGAGGCATCATGCTGGCCATCCTGCCACTGGCATTTGGAATTGTCCTCCCCATACTTTCTCTCCATGGTATTACAGTCTCTTTTTCCCACAGAATAAGAGGTCAAGGAGGGTAGGTTTGAATGAGATTATCAGTAAAATGTTTTACCATTTGGATTTCTGTTCAAATTGTAATAAGCATCTTTATCACAATGAGTCAGAGAATCTGGTTGCAAGTGACAAAACCCCTACAGATGTCTTTAGGTGTCCTCATTGTTCTGATAAGTACATCTTTCAGTGAAATACCAATTTGTGTGGCAGACACTGTGTCACTTTCCACAGCCATACCACTCTTCCTCTCCACTGACAGAACCCCAAGGTGACCAGTTCCCAGAAGATGAATCATGCTTGGTCTAAGACCATGGTGTCTGTCTGCGTCAGGGTCCCCAAGATCAACCCAAGGCCAGTGATTTGCTAGGAAGACTCACAGGACTCAGCATATAGTCACACTCATGGCTAAGATTTATTACAATACAATGATACACTCAAAGCAAAATCAGCAAAGGGGAAACGTGCATGGAGCAAGGTCTACAGGAAATCAGACACAAGCTTCTAAGAGTTCTCTCCTATTGGAGTCATGCAGGCCACGCTTCATTTCTCCAGGGAGGTGTGACAGTACATGTGAAATGTTGCCTCTCAGTGAAGCTCATTAGAGACTCAGTGCCCAGGGTTTCTAACGGGGGCTGGTCACACAGGCACCCTTTACCTAGTATATACCAACATTCCAGACCTCCAGAAAAGACAAGCAGGTGTTCAGCACATACCATATTGTTTGCATGCACAGTTTCAGCACAGTGAACCATGGTTATCAGTTTTGACAATAGTGGGGCCCCTCCCAAAATCCAAGTTCCCAGATGCCAACCAAAGGCCAACCTCGTAAGCAGGCCTTCCTAAGAATAGCTGTCTCAGGCCTATTATGTTAACTCTTTTCTGCATACAATCAATGCTTTTTTTTTTTTTTGATACAGAGTCTTGCTCTGTTGCCCAGCCTGGAGTTCAGTGGCATGATCTTGGCTCACTGCAACCTCCACCTCCCGGGTTCAACTGATTCTTGTGCCTCAGCCTCCTAAGTAGCTGGGATTACAGGTGTGTGCCACCATACTTGTCCAATTTTTGTATTTTTTTGTAGAGATGGGTTTCGCCATGTTGGCTAGGCTGGTCTTGAACTCGTGACCTCAAGTGATTCACCCACCTTGGCCTCCCAAAGTCCTGGGATTACAGGTGTAATCCCAGTGCCTGGCCTGCATACAATCAATTTTATGTCTGACACTTGCTTACTCAGCCTCCCTTGCATCTATGAGTGGCCACATGACTCAGTCGTAGCCAATAAATTCCAAGGGGAAAGTGTTGTGATAATATCTGGAATCCTGGCAGTCATCTTATGACAAGTGCAAGGACAAAACCCCAATATATCAAAGGCAGCATAGGGAAAGGTGAAAAGAAATGGGGTCTTTGGTAATACCTTTAAGTCAATGCACCATTCCAGGGACAAAATATTGCCACACTTTTTTTTTTTGGTTGTTGTTATGTGAGATAATTAAATGTATTTGTTGCTTGAGTAATTTTGAGTGGGGTTAAGTTGAATGCAGGTCAGATGCGCTCCTGACATAATGTGTTCCTCTCTATTATGGACTGCCTTGTGGCCCCTGCCCCCAAAATTGGTATGTTGAAGCCCTAACTTCCAATATCTCTGAATGTGACTGTGTTTGGAGATCAGGCCTTTGAAGAGGTGATTAAGTTAAAATGAGGCTGTTGGGGTAGGGCTCTACTCCAATCTGACTAGTGTCCTTATAAGGAGAGAAAATTGGGAGTCACACATGTGCATGCTCAGAACAAAGACCCTGTGAGGGCACGGCAACAAGAAGGCCACCTACAAGCCAAGGCAAGAGACTCATTAAAAACCAAACCTGCCAACACCTTCGTCTTAGACTTCTCACCTCCAGAACTGTAAGAAAATCAACTTCTGTTGTTTAAGACACCCAGTTTGTGGCATTCTATTTTGTGAATTCTAGCAACCTAATGTGCTTTCCATGTGTAGATATGGAAAGGGCAAGCCTGGCAAATTATAACTGACAAAAGTGGAAACACACATGAAATGGTCAGATCTGGTGGTCACATACAACACCCAGGCAAGAAAAGGATCCAGGCGGGGGAGCCAAGAGAATGGACTGGCCAGATGCCCCCACAGGAGAGCCGGCTGCACCCACTCAATCTCTCATCTTCCAGAGGCTAAAGCTTCTACACAACTGTACTAATTATAATGAGATAGTAAAGAGGCAGCAGGTTCAGGGGTGTCCAGTCTTTTGGTTTCCCTGAGCCACATTGGAAAAAGAATTGTCTTGGGACACACATAAAATACACGAACGATAACTGATGAGCTAAAAAAAAATTGTCAAAAATATCTCTTAATGTTTTCAGAAAGTTTACATTCAAAGCTGTCCTGGGCTGCATGCAGCCTGCAGGCTGTGGACTGGACAAGCGTGAGGTAAATGGTAAATGGAGATAGGATATCTGGTGACCATAGTTAATGCACAAAAGAGAGAATGGGGAGGCCCTAGTGAAGGGACAAATGCAGAGAGAAGAAAAAGTCTGTATTCCTGGAAATGTTGATAAATCAGATTTCTCTTTGTGTCACTGGGGCTTGGATAAGCCACAGCAGGTTATGGGCTTTCTGTGGAGGCACGGTTCTAAGGTAAGAATCAAGTGACAGCAGTTACTACTGTGTGGCTTTTGACTCATTACTAGGGAAGATGGCCAATTTCATGTGGGCTGCCTTGGATATGTCCTTCTGGTCAGACCTGAGTTGGTCCTACTAATTTGGGGCTTTTTGAAGGACACTATCTGGTCCCACATGTTGGCTAAGGTGTGAGTGAGGCAGAGTAGCCACAAAACCAACTCAGATTAATTGAAGCAAAAAAGAGGAATTTATTGGCTTATGTAACTAGCAAGTCGAGTTTCACTGGATCAAGGGGCTCATCTGGGTTGGTTTTCTTCCTCTGCCTCTCTGTTCGTCTTTCCTCTATATGGCTTCACTCCTTTGACTGGCTCTCCCTCCATGACTGTCAAGAAAGCTGCTGGTACTCCTGCCAAAAGTGTGTAAATGGAATCTAACTATGAGGAAGAACCAACAAACCTACACCAAGAAACATTTTACAAAACAACTGGCCTATCTTTTTTTTTAAAAAAGTCAATGTCATAAAAGACATAGAAAGGCTAAAGTGCTCTTCAGTTAAATAAGACTAAAGAGATATGAAAACTAAATGCAATATGCCATCCTGGATCCTGGATGAGACAGATGGGAAAAATCCATTATAACAGACATTATTAAGACAATTAGTAGAACTTTAAAATGCACTGTGTATTAGATAAGAAGATTGTTTCAATGTCAAATTTGCTGAATTTGGTCATTGTATTGTGATTATGTAAAAGAGTATCCTTGTTCCTAAGAGGTAAATGCAAAGTATTTAAGGATAAAGGATCATGATGTCTACAATATGCTCTCAAATAGCTCAGTCATGACAACAAAAATCCTATATTACATAATGTAATAAAGTAATATGAACAGAGAAGGTGAGAGAGAGAAAGTGATTGATAAAGCAAATATAGCCAAATGTTAATCTAGGTGAAGGGCATACTAAAATCATTATATGATTATTGCTACTTTTTCATGGTTGAATATTTATTTATTTATTTTTTGAGATGGAGTCTCACTCTGTCACCCAGACTGGAGTGCAGTGGCATGATCTCAACTCACTGCAACCTCTGCCTCCTCAGTTCAAGTGATTATCCTGCCTCAGCCTCCCAAATAGCTGGGATTACAGGCACCGCCACCATGCCCAACTAATTTTTGTATTTTTTTTTTTTTTTACAAGAGACAGGGTTTCACCATGTTGGCCAGGCTGGTCTCAAACTCCTGACCTCAAGTGATCTGTCTGCCTCAGCCTCCCAAAGTGCTGGGATTACAGGCATGAGCCACCGTGCCCGGCCTTCATGCTTGAATTATTTTACATTTAAATTTATTTTAAAAAGATGTTGACGACAGACCTCTGTCTCTTACCATCCATGTATCAATCTTAGGAAAGAGTCTAATTGGTTAGCCTGGAACACGTGGTCTAACCCTGTGACTGACAGCCTCACCAGGTATCATATGAAACGGAGAGGAACTCCCCAAAGAATCACAACCTCTCTCAGTCTTTTCTTTTACAGCTCCTGGTCTCCCAGATCCTCCTCTGCTGGTCACTCAATGCCCACATGCCACCTGGCTCCATCTTCCCAAGCCATCCCTTCCTTCAAAATGGCACCAGACAAAGACAGATTTTTCTCAACCAATAGCTCCACATTTGAGCCTTTTTATGATTCCTTTCTCCCCTCAACATTCCCATCTGTACCCAAATTCCTCTTGGTCCTACTTTCTTTTAGCTCACTGATAAAGGAATCTGTGTTCATGTGAAAAGTGTTACCAAGAGTTACCTTTGTGCTCTTACCTTGAGTTTACAGATCCATATTTTAACTGGTCTTTAATCCAGGGAAGAGAAGCCAATGGCAGGAGTTTCACACTCAGAAGCAGTCCAAGGAGATGAATGATTTGGGGCAGGTGGGCCTCTGGCTTCTTTTGCATCTTGCTGTGTTGGTGGTTTTTTTCTTTATCTCAGGCCAGAGTTTCTGACAGGGAGGCCGACTGCTGTCCCTCTCGGTTGGAGAAAGCCAGAGTAGCCAAAAGGAACTAGGCCAATGTCACTTCATTTCCTATCAAGCAATTTTGACAACTGATTTGTTCCCAACCAGTAAAGCAGAGTTAGCAGTGAGGTTGCTGGAACTCAGTCAGTGTGGTCTTGGCATGGCTACCTCTGCATTCAGCCTTTTTGAGAACAAGGCAAGATTTAGGGAGTCCATTTGATGAGGGTGAAACTCGTAAGGCTAAATGAAGAAAATTCATTCATTTATTATATATTAATCCATTAATTTATTTATGAAAGACTGAATTGCATAGTTTTTAAGGTAGGCCCACATGTACATTCTTCAAGGTTGTTCTGTGTGTTCTGCACAACGTCAGGGGTGTGGTTCACAAGGATGGTACAGAGCAGCCCTAAGTGAGGGCACTTGCTCTAAGATTGCATTTCCTGGTTTACAATTAGTCTCCACCACCTCCAACTGTGTGACCGTAGGCTAGATTCTTCACTGAGCCTGTTACCCAGTGGTCTCATATGTAGAGTGAGGATGATCCCTGCCTCAGAGGGTTAGCATGAGGATTAAGTGAGTGAATGCATTCCAAGTATTCTGGAACACATTCAATAGCATTGTGATTACCCATTACGTTAAATTCAAGGGTTGGTAGAATACTCCTGGGAAGCCATCTGGGTGTAGGGCCTTTGTATGTGTGTGTGAGAGAATGGGTGGGTAGGTTTTTCCTGGACATTTAAAGTCAGATCCCAGACAGCATCTTCTTTCACTCATAATATATGCAATATATGCCTGTATATTGCAAATATTTCAATATATGCCTGTAATAGAAAAGGAAAAAAGCAAAACCCACCAATAAAGAATGCCATTATTACATATATAATTAATAATTCCTAAATACCACTAATATCAAGTCCTTATTCAAATTTTCCTGACTTTCTCAATTTTTGTATCCAAAACATGTTTATTGGGATGGTTTCCCACTCTTGTTGATTCAGGGTGCCTTCAGTGCTGCTCTGTCAGAGGAGCATCCTTCTGTGAGC
Organism: Homo sapiens; assembly: GCF_000001405.40. Classification (NCBI taxonomy): domain Eukaryota; kingdom Metazoa; phylum Chordata; class Mammalia; order Primates; family Hominidae; genus Homo; species Homo sapiens. Next base: position 91,545,060 of record NC_000010.11, on the reverse strand, counting down.
CTTGCTTTTCCTTCTGCAAACTGGCTAAGAGTAGCAGAGCACTCAACACCCAAAACCGCAATGTGTGCGTGGCCGAAGACCGAGGCAACTGTGTCACATCCTGGGCATCTTACATCTATGCAGTAGGAATTGGGGCTTAACCCTGAGTGCTTCTTGGGTTCCTTCATCTCTGCCTGAGAGGGATGAAGGTGATCTTTTTCAAGAGCCTTATTCTCGTGGAGACATCATCATAGCTTGAAAGCTCAATTACTTTTTATAGTTAGTTTTCAATTCAGAATCAAAACCAAGTCCACACATTGTAGCTATTTTATATTTTTTCCCAATTCACTTTCAATGGATGATTATGTCCTTTTCTCTGATCTTTTTCCATGAATCATTTGTCCTGTAAAATTTCTCCCTTCTGGAATGGGCTGATTGTTTTTGCACAGTGTTGTGTAATTTATCTTCTATCTTCTGCATCTCCTGCAAATTGATCCATTAGATTCATATTCTTGTTAATTTTTTGTGTGAAAATACTTCAAAGGTAGTGCTGAGTTACATCAGCAGGCACATAATATCTGGTTGTTTTATTTTTGGCGCTTGATTAGTGGGTTCAGATATTGCCAACCTGATCTCTTTGCTTAAAGTTCATAAAAAACATTCAGCCACTGAAAATTGTTCTCTAGATCATTTAATTAGAAGTTACATAATGGTGATTTTCTTCTTTCATTAATGAAATGTTTATGTGTATTTTCCACATTTATGATTTTTTTTCCTTTTTTTGAGATGGAGTCTCACTCTGTCACCCAGGCTGGAGTGCAGTGGTGTGATCTCAACTCACTGCAACCTCTGCCTCCTCGGTTCAAGTGATTCTCCTGCCTCAGCCTCCCGAATAGCTGGGACTACAGGCATGCACCACTGGGCCCAGTTAATTTTTGTATTTTTTTAGTAGAGATGGGGTTTTGCCATGTTGGCCAGGCTGGCCTTGAACTCCTGATCTGCCCTCCTTGGTCTCCCAAAATACTGGGATTACAGGCATAAGCCACCGTGCCTGTCCCGGTTTACTTTTATAACTTAGTTTAATGTTCTTAATCTTGCACTTATAGTTTTCTATTCTTAATTCTTAATCCTCCATTATAGTCCCTATTAATTTCCAAATATGAGCAATAATAAAATCAGTATATTCCAATGTATTCCTTTTCCTTTATAAACTTCTCATCTTCTTTTACCACCAAATTTTAGTCAATAATATTATTATTCTTAGTTTTTAATCTTTGTGCTGTGAAATGTGCTTTACCTCTCTCTCTTACTTGGCTTGTCAGCTTTTAATGACATCCTTTGACTCATTGTATCGTAACGAAAAGGGCATCCGTGTATTTCTCTATTACCTACCACGTTGCTTTCCCTTTTCTCTCCTTTGGTTAGTTATATCTTTTCTACATTGTTGGAACATATAATGTTTGCCTTCTTTTCTGTCAGCTTAATCCCCACTGTGTTTTCTTCGTAGACCTGTGGTTAAATGAAATCTACTACATTCACTGCCAGTCCTTTTATACAATTTTTGTGCTCACTGTGTGATTCACATAAGTTAGTCCTCCAGTATGTTCCTCAAGAGGGCTCATGAGAACAATATTTCTTGTTTTTACATGTTCAAAACCACTTGACTATTAGCTTTTTAACTGAAAAATAATTTGGTTGGTACGAAGGAATCAAATTTTTAGTTCTTTCCCTCCCTCCCTCCCTCCCTCCCTCCCTCCCTTCCTCCCTCCCTTCCTTCCTGTCCTATATCCCTTCATTTCTCAAACCACTACTTGTACAGGGCTTTCAGGGCATTTAGGGGAAATTGGAAGCAGGGGTGGTATGGGCAGAGAACTCATTGAACTGTAGCAACAAGCAGCAGACAAACACATTGTGGTTCTTTATTATTATTATTTGGGACGGGTTCTTGCACTGTCACCCAGGCTGGAGTGCAGTGGCACGATCATAACTCATTGCAGCCTTGATCTCCTGGCCTCAAGCGATCCTCCTGCCTCAGCCTCCAGAGTAGCTGGGACTACAGGTTCACGTCACCATGCCCAGCTAATTTTTAAAGAAATTTTGTGTAGAGTTGGAGTCTCACTATGTTGCGAGTTGGGGTCTTGCTAGGTTGCCCAGGCTAGTGTCAAACACCTGGCCTCAAGCAGTTCTCACATTTGGCCTCCCAAAGTGCTGGAATTAAGGCATGAGCTACCATCACCCGGCCACATTCTGCTTCTTAAACGTCCCTCCAACACTCTGTCACTTGAGACTTTTCACTGCTCTTTGCTATGCCTAGGAATCCTGGCCTCTTGCCATCTTGTCGGGTCCCCCATCTTCCCCTTGCAGCAATGTCTCCCCATTCTTGTGCTCCTTGTTGCCTTCTTCTGGGATTGCCTATGGAAACTTCAACGTCTTACATCATTAGGCAAGGAACCTAGTTCCTTAAGTCTGACTACTTTGCCTCAGCACCATGCTCTATGACTTCTTACTGCTGTGAAAGGACTCATCAGAGTGTTTTGTTTAAGTCAGAGTTCCTCACTTCCCCAAACTACCATTTCTATATCCTCTATTGCTCTGCCACCGTCCTGTTCCAGGCCAGCACAATTGTTCACCTGGCCCATTACAATAGCCTTATACCTGCCTCCCGGATGCCATGCTTGGCTTTCTTCACCCCATACTCTCCAGCCAGAGCATTCTTTCCAAGATGATCATGTCATCACACCACTTCCCTGCTAAAAATGCATCAGTGGGGCTGGGTGCAGTGGCTCACGCCTGTAATCCCAGCACTTTGGGAGGCCAAGGAGGGCGGATCACCTGAGGTCGGGATTTGAGACCAGCCTGGCCAACATGGTGAAACTCCATCTACATTAAAAATACAAAAATTAGCTGGGTGTGGTTGTGGGCACCTCTAATCTCAGCTACTTGGGAGGCTGACGCAGGAGAATGGCTTGAACTTGGGAGGTGGAGGTTGCAGTGAGCCGCACCACTGCACTCCAGCCTGGGTGACAGAGTGAAACTCCATCTTATAAATAAATAAATGCTGCATTACATTCAAATGCAGGTGTCAGGATCCTGCCATTTCAAAGGGGAAAAAGAAAAAAAAAAAGTGCATTCAGAGCTGCCCAGCTGGTGCTTATAGAAACACTGCTCTGAGATGTTTCTTTCTCTACCCAGGAGAAAATATTTTTTAAGCCACGTTTCCAGAATTATATAGTTGCATGCGAAATGCCTCAGCTCCTGCTGATGAAGTGATTTCTGCAGAGAACTGGCTGCCTTCCAAGAGGAAGGAAGGGCTCCTGAGATGCCTCCGAAAAAGATGAAAGAATTTCCAAAATAGCAGCTTAATGTTGTACCACATATGGGATTTTCAAATTTACAGCTGGTTAGGAAATGATTTCCGGCTTCAAACCATTTGAGTTACTGTCTCCATGGCTTCAAGCACCCAGAACTTCATTTGTCTCCTCGTTGCCAGGGGTTTCTCTGCCTTTTTCCTCCCCCGCTGCTCCTTCCTGTTGATTATTTTCAGTTGTGTGATACTAGCATTTGACTAAGTGTCCACATAGAATATAAGCTCCATGGAGGTGGTGCCACATCAGGGCTTTGTCTCTTTGGGTGAAAATAGCTGGATCTTAATATATATTCTTGAATTAATGAGTTCCTGATCAAAAGCTTGCATACTAATCAAAAAAGCATATGAGAAAGAATCACCCATTGATATAAAAAAGAAGACTAATATCAACCTAAACCCTTCACTTAAATACACTCACTCATGCCCGTATTACACACACACCCTGTTCCAGCTAATGTTGCTGCTTAACAAACCACCCCAAAATTTAGTGGCTTAAAACAACAACCTTTTTTAAAATTATGGTCATAGATTCTATGGGTCAGGGCACAAAGACAGGGCACAAAGGGTGTGGCATGCCTCTGCTGCATGATATCCGGGACCTCAGCTGGGAAGACTCAAAGGCCTTAGACAGGGCACAAAGGGTGTGGCATGCCTCTGCTGCATGATATCCGGGACCTCAGCTGGGAAGACTCAAAGGCTTAGGTGACTCGACAGGTGGGGCTGGAATCATCCTGAGGCTTCTAGGCTGCTATGACTTGAAGACCAGGACTGCTGACGAGAGTACCTACGTATGACCTCTCTGTGTGGCTTGGGCTTCCTCATAACATGGCAGCCTCAGGGTAGCTGGACTTCTTACATGGCTGGAACTGTTCCAGTAGCAAGACAGAAGCTGCATCACTTTTTATGACTCGGCCCCAGATGTCACACTGGTCATTTCCTGCCATACTCTATTAGTCAAAGCAGTTCCAGGGCCACTGAGATTCAAAGGGAAGGGAAACTGACACTGCCTCCCGATGGGGTCATGGCAAGGTCACATTGTAGAAGAGAATGTAGGATGGGTGATATTTTTGTAGCCATCTTTGGAAAATACAATCTGGCCCACTCTCTCAAGCTTCACCTGCTGATATCTGGGTAACCAACTTCTCTGTGTTGGACACTAGGGGATGAGACATTCAAATCACCTAAATCACCTGCAGTCAAGGTAATGCCAGGCTCATTCTGAATCTCTGTGGGGTGTGGGGAGGGTTATGTTTTTCTTTTCAAGAAAGAGTCCCTGTCTTTTTCTTCTTAATCATGATTGATTTTGGCTTAGAAAATGATGTTTTTAATGCAAATACGTAGGCGACATGAAACCAATATTTCCCACCTGTGTTATTTACTAAGACTTTAATAAATGTACTGATATGGTTTGGCTGTGTCCCCACCCAAATCTCGTCTTGTATTGTAACTCCACAATTCCCACGTGTTGTGGGAGGAACCCAGTGGGAGGTGATTGCCTTATGGGCGTGGGTCTTTCCTGCACTGTTCCTGTGATAGTGAATGAGTCTCACAAGATCTGGTGGTTTTAAAAATGGGAGTTTCCCTACACAAGCTCTGTCTTTGCCTGCCACTATCCATGTAAGACATGACTTGCTACTCCTTGCCTTCCACCGTGATTGTGAGGCCTCCCCAGCCACTTGAAACTATAAGTCCATTAAACCTCTTTCTTTTGTAAATTGCCCAGTCTCGGGTATGTATTTATCAGCAGTGTGAAAACAGACTAATACATGCACCTTGGGAACAAAGGGTAAAAAGTTTGGAAAAAGCTTTATAAATGATACTTTCCCCTTAGAAATTAATGCACTTTATTATCATAAAGACTCTAAGAATTCTGGCAGTAAAGAAATCTTTCAATTTTATTTAATTTGGGCACCTACTGGGTGGTCAACAAAATATTTATTTCCACCCCGGCATGATCTCTGATGAATTGGGGCTTTCCGGGCCTTGATTTCTTCATCTATAAGGTGTGATTTGAATGTCTCTTTAGAATAACGTCACTTGTAAAAGGTGCCCAGCAAATGGTAGCTCTTATTAGCATTATTAAGCTGTTCTGGCTTCTTTTTACAGGAAATCAACTGCCTCTTCATTCTTCCCCAGGCCTTCACAATGAACAGAAAGCTGCAGTTTCCTCCTCTGTATTCTTTCTCCACTCCCACTCGCCTCATGTACCCCACTGACCCAGGTATGAGAAACCCAGCCTGCACCTTCTATAGCACCACATGCCTAGACTGAGGAAAGATCCACAAATGCCACTCTTCTTCGAATAGCCTACCTTCATGAAGTCTCACCAAGTAAGTGGGACCATTTTGTGAAGACAAGATACCTAATGAAAGGAAATTGTGGAGTGGAAGGTGCTTAATTCCATCTGCTTCACATCCCCCCACACCTACTCCTTAGGCCCCAGAGCACTTTCCCCGCCTCCTCCGAGCAGGACCTGCAGCCTCACTATGCTCTGTCACAGCTGGGTTCATCCCCACCAAGGGGCCCTGGTTTTCCAGGGAAACAGGCAACCAGGGAGACTGCCACACATACAAACAATATGGCGGGGTGAGAGGAGGGTCTGCAGGGCACACCTGGAGCTGAGCTTTAAGGCTCGAGCTGATACATGGGGCAGGAGTAACCGGGCAGGAGAAAGAACACAAATCTGGCCCAGGATACCTGGATACCTGTCCAACTTTGCCCCTTCCTTGGTGTTGACCCAGGGCAAGTCACCTGCCCTCACTGGGCCTCAGTTTTCCTCACCTTAAAATAGTGCTGGGGCAGGACTTTGACACACAGATGATGGATTAGTTTAACTTTGGAAAATAGTGTGGTACCTCATAAAGATGGGGTGAGCATCTGCACACCCCATGACTCAGAAATTCCAAAAGACACCTACAAGAATGTGCAGAGCAGCACTTTTGTAATAGCACCAGACTGGAAATTACCTGAATGTCCATTTACTGTGAATGGATAAATATGTTGTACTATATTCAGACAGTGAAATGCTATGTAACAATGAAAAAGCTATGAGCTACAATTATATGCAAGATCACTGGAAGAATCTCACAGACACGGTGTTGAGAAAAAAAGGTACAAATATTAATACTACATGATTCCATTTATATAAAGATCCAAACACAGAAAAATACCTCAATTTCAGACGTGAGAAATAAGGACGGTAGTTATCTTCGGGGTCTAGCATCTGCAAGGAGGTATAGTGGTGCTTCTAGGGTGATGTTCTCTTTCTTGATACGGGTGCAGATTACTTAAACTTTATTAAAAATTTACCAAACAAAAATGTTCTGGGTGATGCAGTGATTTAGTGGGAAAATCTCAGAAGTGGAAATTAGAGACCAGAGTCCTGTTCCCAGCTCTGCATTGACCATCTCATGACCTTGGGCAAGTTGCTTCCCTTCTTTGGGCCTCATTTTCTGACATTTGTAAAGTGAGAGAGTTGAGTTAGATGACATCAAAGGTCTGGTGGTCTCCAGGGCAGCTATCAGTTCCCTAAAACAACCCCAAATCAACCCACAGCAGCGTGCTTGTCATGCATACCACGCATCAAGACAATTCCCCTTCCAGATCACTCACCCTAAGCAACACCAATTTAGAAGACCTAGAGTGGTCACTGAAGGTCCATTTACTCTTGCCCATCAGTCACATGAGGTTGTTGTGAGGAACCAGTGTGACAGTGTATGGCAAAGATGCTGTGTAAACTGGACAGAGATGATTTACTATTGTGTTACCATAACAGCTCTAAGGCAAGGTCATAGTCTAACTTGTCTTTGGCATGATTGAGTTGAGGAGTGGGTGTACTATTGATGATACCATTGATTACTTGAACTTGTAAACAGTCTTTTAGGAAGAAAGTTTTAGACAAACAGGCTGGAATTCATGGGATGGAGATCGTTGTTGAAATCAGTTCAGCAAACAGAAATTTCCACAAAGCTTTTGCAACATTGGGCAGAATGTTCTCCCGATGAAAGGGAGCAGATGGTTGTGGCTGTCCTGTCTGTGGTCCCTATGAGACCCTTATCTTGTGAACCCACATAGAACATTTGGGATTTGGCCAGTGAGTGCCACCTGCCAGTCAGCCCAGGCTATGTGAGCTCCCATGCAGTGAGAGTTGCCAATGTTTATTAAGTGCTTACTAAATGTCAGGGACTATGCTAATGTCTTACAAGCTTGTTCCATTTAGCCCTCCTAATGGCCCTCTGAGTTGGGTCCTATTATCATTCCCATTGTATAGGTGAATAAACTGAAGTTCAGAAAGGGCACATACTTTGCTAAGATTTGAATCCACATCTTCTGACTCCATAGCTCATGTCCTAGATCCTCCTGTAGCCCTTGGCCTCAGAGAGTTTACACTGTTGCCTCCACCATGGAAATAATGCCTATTGAGCATCCACAAGGAGGCAAGCACCAAATGCACAATCCCTAGATCTTCAGGCCCTGTGAGGTTCAGGTGGGTATTGTTATCCTTGCTTTATAGGTGAAACTGGGTCCAGAGATGTTAACAAGTACAAAGTCACACACAGGAAGTGAACATTTTTAATCTGCTTGGCCTAGCCCAGGAGTCCTTGCTCTTCATCCCTCTGCCCTCCTGATCCTCCCTGAGCCTTCACTTAGAAACGATTCCTCCCTTCTTGGGCTCTGTGGCTCTTTTAGTCTCTCCTACAGGGCATACAGCCATGAACTCTATGTGAACCAGTGCATATAAATCCTATCTTCCTACTAGGTGGAGAGCTTTGAAAGGGTAAGGCTAGGGTTATTTCATCTTGTGTTTTCTTTGTCCCCAGGCCAAGGGAGCAGAGAAGACATGCTAAGTTGCATGGGGTTCAGAGCTGGACTATAGAGAATCTGGTTGTAGAGTTCTTGGGAAGAATTTTGGGGGTCGAGACTACCAAGAAGGATCCTGAGATCTTATTGGCAGAGGGTAGTGAATTGGGACAAAGATCTCTGTTGGAGGGAGGACAGTAGGAATTCTAGTGCTTTGGTGATTAACGGCCTGGAGAAGTACTTTGGAAGAAATAGGGAAAAGTAGTAGGGATGGGGGTGCAGGGAAAAGACATGGAAGAGGCTCAAACAGTTGATGCCAACCAATAATCATAGTGTGAGGTGCTTCGTAGAGACCCACCACTCTCACATTCTTTTCTCTTTGGACTGCCCTTTCAGAGACACCAGGAGGACCGTGGCTTCACCCCACTGTCACTCCTCTGTCCACATGGTTTTCCCTCAGTGCTGTGCAGAGGCTTGGCTGGAGGCTTCAGGCATACTGAGCAGAGGCAGAGGGTGGATCATGGAGAAAGAAAAGGCAGAGGCCATCCTAATCACGCGATGCAGCGCTGGCCACCCCACACTGAGGAGCCAGGGATGCAAAGCCATCTGGCAAACTGTCTAGGGCCAGTAATGATACAACTGCAGGCCAAGCTGTTGCAAGTTGACATGGCTCCAAGAGATCTTGAAAAGAGGAAAAGCAGCTGTGTTTTTTATTTATTTATTTTTTTATTTTTTAAATACTCAACAAATTTAATCATCAGAGAAATGCAAATAAAAACCACAATGAGACATCACATCACAACTCTCAGATTGGCTATTATTATGTATATTTCAAAACAGCTAAAAAAGAGAGGATTTTAAATGTTCTCACTACAAAGAAATGACAAATATTTGAGATGATGGATATGCTAATTACCCTGATATGATCAATTCACAATGTATACATGCATCAAAATGTAATATTGTACCCCATTAATATATACAATTATCATTTATCACTTAAAAATAAAATAAAACTTTAAGAATCGTGAGGTTAAATACACCTTATACATTGCTAGAGGAGCATAAAGCATACTTACATTGGTTAAGGATTTGCTCATCTCCTTAACATCTTTTTTTAATTTATATATATATATTTTATTATACTTTCAGTTCTAGGTTACGTGTGCACAAGTTGCAGGTTTGTTACATGTGTATACATGTGCCATGTTGGTGTGCTGCACCCATTAACTTGTCATTTACATTAGGTATATCTCCTAATGCTATCCCTCCCCACTCCCCCCACCCCACAACAGGCCCCAGTGTGTGATGTTCCCCTTTCTGTGTCCAAGTGTTCTCATTGTTCAATTTCCACCTGTGAGTGAGAACATGTGGTGTTTGGTTTTTTGTCCTTATGATAGTTTGCTGAGAATGATGGTTTCCAGCTTCATCCATGTCCCTACAAAGGACATGAACTCATCCTTTTTTATGACTGCATAGTATTCCATGGTGTATATGTGCCACATTTTCTTAATCCAGTCTATCATTGTTGGACATTTGGGTTGGTTCCAAGTCTTTGCTATTGTGAATGGTGCTGCAATAAACATACGTGTGCATGTGTCTTTATAGCAGCATAATTTATATTCCTTTGGGTATATACCCAGTAATGGGATGACTGGGTCAAATGGTATTTCTAGTTCTAGATCCCTGAGGAATCGCCACACTGACTTCCACAATGGTTGAACTAGTTTACAGTCCCACCAACAGTGTAAAAGTGTTCCTATTTCTCCACATCCTCTCCAGCACCTGTTGTTTCCTGACTTTTTAATGATCGCCATTCTAACTGGTGTGAGATGATATCTCATTGTGGTTTTGATTTGCATTTCTCTGATGGCCAGTGATGATGAGCATCTTTTCATGTGTCTGTTGGCTGCATAAATATCTTCTTTTGAGAAGTGTCTGTTCATATCCTTTGCCCACTTGTTGATGGGGTTGTTTGTTTTTTCTTGTAAATGTGTTTGAGTTCTTTGTAGATTCTGGATATGAGCCCTTTGTCAGATGAATAGATTGCAAAAATTTTCTCCCATTCTGTAGATCACTCTGATGGTAGTTTCTTTTGCTGTGCAGAAGCTCTTTAGTTTACTTAGATCCTATTTGTCAATTTTGACTTTTTGTTGCCATTGCTTTTGGTGCTTTAGCCATGAAGTCCTTGCCCATGCCTTTGTCCTGAATGGTATTGCCTAGGTTTTCTTCTAGGGTTTTTATGGTTTTAGGTCTAACATTTAAGTCTTTAATCCACCTTGAATTAATTTTTGTATAAGGTGTAAGGAAGGGATCCAGTTTCAGCTTTCTACATATGGCTAGCCAGTTTTCCCAGCACCATTTGTTAAATAGGGAATCCTTTCCCCATTTCTTGTTTTTGTCAGGTTTGTCAAAGATCAGATAGTTGTAGATGTGTGGTATTATTTCTGAGGGCTCTGTTCTGTTCCATTGGTCTATATCTCTGTTTTGGTACCAGTACCATGCTGTTTTGGTTACTGTAGCCTTGTAGTATAGTTTGAAGTCAGGTAGCGTGATGCCTCCAGCTTTGTTCTTTTGGCTTAGGATTGACTTGGGAATGTGGGCTCTTTTTTGGATCCATATGAACTTTAAAGAATTTTTTTCCAATTCTGTGAAGAAAGTCATTGGTAGCTTGATGGGGTGGCATTGAATCTATAAATTACCTCGGGCAGTATGACCATTTTCACAATATTGATTCTTCCTATCCATGAGCATGGAATGTTCTTGCATTTGTTTGTTTCCTCTTTTATTTCATTGAGCAGTGGTTTGTAGTTCTCCTTGAAGAGTTCCTCCACATCCCTTGTGAGTTGGATTCCTAGGTATTTTATTCTCTTTGAAGCAATTGTGAATGGGAGTTCACTCATGATTTGGCTCTCTGTTTGTCTGTTATTGGTGTATAAGAATGCTTGTGATTTTTGCACATTGATTTTGTATCCTGAGACTTTGCTGAAGTTGCTTATCAGCTTAAGGAGATTTTGGGCTGAGACGATGGGGTTTTCTAAATATACAATCATGTCATCTGCAAACAGGGACAATTTGACTTCCTCTTTTCCCAATTGAATACCCTTTATTTCTTTCTCCTGCCTGATTGCCCTGGCCAGAACTTCCAACACTGTGTTGAATAGGAGTGGTGAGAGAGGGCATCCCTGTCTTGTGCCAGTTTTGAAAGGGAATGCTTCCAATTTTTGCCCATTCAGTATGATATTGTCTGTGGGTTTGTCATAAATAGCTCTTATTATTTTGACATATGTCCTATCAATACCTAATTTATTGAGAGTTTTTAGCATGAAGGGTTGTTGAATTTTGTCAAAGGCCTTTTCTGCATCTATTGAGATAATCATGTGGCTTTTGTCTTTGGTTCTGTTTATATGCTGGATTATGTTATTGATTTGTGTATGTTGAACCACCCTTGCATCCCAGGGATGAAGCCCACTTGATCATGGTGGATAAGCTTTTTGATGTGCTGCTGGATTCGGTTTGCCAGTATTTTATTGAGGATTTTTGCATCGATGTTCATCAGGGATATTGGTCTAAAATTCTCTTTTTTTGTTGTGTCTCTGCCAGGCTTTGGTATCAGGATGATGCTGGCCTCATAAAATGAGTTAGGGAGGATTCCCTCTTTTCCTATTGATTGGAATAGTTTCAGAAGGTATGGTACCAGCTCCTCCTTGTACCTCTGGTAGAATTCGGCTGTGAATCCGTCTGGTCCTGGACTTTTTTTGGTTGGTAAGCTATTAATTATTGCCTCAATTTCAGAGCCTGTTATTGGTCTATTCAGAGATTCAACTTCTTCCTAGTTTAGTCTTGGGAGGGTGTATGTGTCCAGGAATTTATCCATTTCTTCTAGATTTTCTAGTTTATTTGCGCAGAGGTGTTTATAGTATTCTCTGATGGTAGTTCGTATTTCTGTGGGATCGGTGGTGATATCCCCTTTATCATTTTTTATTGCATCTATTTGATTCTTCTCTCTTTTCTTCTTTATTAGTCTTGCTAGTGGTCTATCAATTTTGTTGATGTTTTCAAAAAACCAGCTCCTGGATTCATTGATTTTTTGAAGGGTTTTTTGTGTCTCTATCTCCTTCAGTTCTGCTCTGATCTTAGTTATTTCTTGCCTTCTGCTAGCTTTTGAATGTGTTTGCTCTTGCTTCTCTAGTTCTTTTAATTGGGATGTTAGGGTGTCAATTTTAGATCTTTCCTGCTTTCTCCTGTGGGCATTTATTGCTATACATTTCCCTCTACACACTGCTTTAAATGTGCCCCAGAGATTCTGGTATGTTGTGTCTTTATTTTCATTGGTTTCAAAGAACATCTTTATTTCTGCCTTCATTTCGTTATGTACCCAGTAGTCATTCAGGAGTAGGTTGTTCAGTTTCCATGTAGTTCAGTGGTTTTGAGTGAGTTTCTTATTCCTGAGTTCTAGTTTGATTGCACTGTGGTCTGAGAGGCAGTTTGTTATAATTTCTGTTCTTTTACATTTGCTGAGGAGTGCTTTACTTCCAACTATGTGGTCAGTTTTGGAATAGGTGCCGTGTGGTGCTGAGAAGAATGTATATTCTGTTGATTTGGGGTGGAGAGTTCTGTAGATGTCTATTAGGTCCGCTTGGTGCAGAGCTGAGTTCAATTCCTGGATATCCTTGTTAACTTTCTGTCTTGTTGATCTGTCTAATGTTGACAGTGGGGTGTTAAAGTCTCCCATTGTTATTGTGTGGGAATCTAAGTCTCTTTGTAGGTCTCTAAGGACTTGCTTTATGAATCTGGGTGCTCCTGTATTGGGTGCATATATATTTAGGATAGTTAGCTCTTCTTGTTGAATTGATCCCTTTACTATTATCTAATGGCCTTCTTTGTCTCTTTTGATCTTTGTTGGTTTAAAGTCTGTTTTATCAGAGACTAGGATTGCAACCCCTGCCTTTTTTTGTTTTCCATTTGCTTGGTAGATCTTCCTCCATCCCTTTATTCTGAGCCTATGTGTGTCTCTGCACGTGAGATGGGTTTCCTGAATACAGCACACTGATGGGTCTTGACTCTTTATCCAATTTGCCAGTCTGTGTCTTCTATTTGGAGCATTTAGCCCATTTACATTTAAGGTTAATATTGTTATGCGTGAATTTGATCCTGTCATTATGATGTTAGCTGGTTATTTTGCTCATTAGTTGATGCAGTTTCTTCCTAGCATCAATGGTCTTTACAATTTGGCATGTTTTTGCAGTGGCTGGTACCGGTTGTTCCTTTCCATGTTTAGTGCTTCCTTCAGGAGCTCTTGTAGGGCAGTCCTGGTGGTGACAAAATCTCTCAGCATTTGCTTGTCTGTAAAGTATTTTATTTCTTCTTCACTTATGAAGCTTAGTTTGGCTGGATACGAAATTCTGGATTGAAAATTCTTTTCTCTAAGAACGTTGAATATTGGCCCCCACTCTCTTCCGGCTTGTAGAGTTTCTGCTGAGAGATCAGCTGTTAGTCTGATGGGCTTCCCTTTGTGGGTAACCCGACCTTTCTGTCTGGCTGCCCTTAACATTTTTTCCTTCGTTTCAACCTTGGTGAATCTCACAATTATGTGTCTTGGAGTTGCTCTTCTCAAGGAGTATCTTTGTGGAGTTCTCTGTATTTCCTGAATTTGAATGTTGGCCTGCCTTGCTAGGTTGGGGAAGTTCTCCTGGATAATATTCTGCAGAGTGTTTTCCAACTTGGTTCCATTCGAGGAAGAGCAGCTTTGTAAAGGTCAATCTTCCTGGGGAAATAGGGTGGAGCCTAGTGTGGCCCTTGTCAGGTGTGTGATGGGGCAGGTCATGCTCTCCTCCCCTTAGGCTCCTCCTGCAGCCTCACACTGAGGAGCTGGATTAGATGGGGGACTTTTTCTACTTATTAGGGCTCTAGAAGGTCTGAAGTTCTGCAAAGAGGCCATGAGAGAAGTAAGAAGCTGGGTGGTAGGAGCCCTGAAACCCTCACCCTCATTTCAATGAAGCAGCTCCTCTCCCACCTGCTTTCTGTGTTTAGCTGATCATGGTCCCAGAAAGACTCTTTGTTCCTGCCTGTGCCATCCATAAAACTGATGTGAGGGCTGAGCAATCTTCCTCTCTATTCTCCTTCTGTGGATAGTGCATGTACACACAAAATCACAAGGAAAATTCACTCAGTTCTCTACTGTAGGCTCACAGTGATGTATTAGAAAGTTCAGCTGGGTACAGTGGCTCACGCCTGTAATCCCAGCACTTTGGGAGGCTGAGATGGGCGGATCACGTGAGGTCAGGAGTTTGAGACCAGCCTGGCCAACATGATGAAACCCCATCTCCACTAAAAATACAAAAATCAGCCGGGCGTGGTGGCCCGTGCTTGTAATCCCAGCTACTCGGGAGGCTGAGACAGAAGAATCGCTTGAACCCAGGAGGCGGAGGTTGCAGTGAGCCAAGATCATACCATTGCACTCCAGCCTGGGCAACAAGAGCAAAACTCCATCTCAAAAAAAAAGAAAATTCAGACTACAGAAAGGAATGAAAGGCTCTTTGTCTAGAGGCCTCATTTGAGGACAGTTCCATCAGCATGGGGCCTGTCTGCCAGTGCACTGGAATGCCTCAGGTGAGTCAGTCAAGCAGTGTTCCCCAGGCTCCTGCTTCTCTTCTACACACCCTTCTCTGCACCTACTCAGGGCCCTGGACTAGTTTAGTTCATCCCGTAGTCCACTCCCCTAGACCAGGTCATCTTCAAACCTTGGGAAGGAAAGGGAAGGGAAGGGAATGCTGTGATGCTTCATCCCACTCCAGGGCTGGAGAGGGAGGGGGAAGGCTGGCAAGGTGGCTGGGGACCCAGGGAACCACTTGCCTTTTTGTGTTTTCTCGCATATCCTGGATGGCTAAATGGAAAATCTGGTGCAGCAAAAGCAGTTACTCTCCTGAAAAGGTGACCAGATCTTTATGGGCTTTATTTGCCCTAAGATCATCCATCTCCTTTGCAATCTTGCTTACAAAGTTTCCGGTGGTATGAATGTTCCCTCCTGGGTGGTCCCTGAGTTCTAACTCAGCCTAGAGGGTCTCTGGTTCTATGGGTTCCATCCTTCCTCAAAGCCAGCCACAGTAAGAGGCAAGAAAGAGAAGACCTTCAACAAATCAACTTTCAGTGGCACAAAAATGACTTCGCCATAGCCCCTTTGCATCTGCATATAGAAGCTCAGAAGGAACACAATCCTTCCATTGAAAAATAACACCTCCTGAAGTCCCAGACCTGGTCTTGTATCCTCCCAACACTCCAACACTGCCATCACAAATAGGATTTTAGGTAGAAGACCTGGGTGGGGACTGTCTCCCCGTTTATCAAAACTGGCTTTTTAGCCAGTGAGGGAGTGGGAGGCCTCCTTTTTCAAGGCCTTCTCTGTGCTCTTGGGTGGGATGGAAGGACCAGCCTTTTGGTACAGAGATGATCTGATTGTTTCCCCCATTGTTGTGTCCTTGAAAGGTGGAACTGATGAGAGCAAAACTCTAGACAGCTCTGGAGGAGGTGCTTTGGTTGTGAGAGGAGGCTGAATCTGAATAGGTGCTCTAGTTCTTATTCATTTCATCCCTGTAGAAGAAAGCACATGCTTCCAGCTTTCAAGAGAATGAAGCAGTGCAGTGGCTGGATCCATATGGTGTCACTGGGATTCGAGTTCATTGGAGACAAAGCTTGATGACTTCCTGGGGACAGACTTTGTTCATAAGTAGTGAAAGCCTGTTTTTTTTCTGGCCCCTTGGGGTGTCACACAGAAGCAATACTGTGCTGCTCACTAATGCTCTATGTCCCCATCATCCTGTGCTGGATGCCCTTTCATGGTTGGGGGAGAGTATGGTGGCTGCACCAACACCAGCAAAGGGTATGATAAGAAAGTGCCAGGTGGTGCCTCCAGGCTGGTTATCAGCTGGACTGCAAGAAAGTGCCAGGTGGTGCCTCCAGGCTGGTTATCAGCTGGACTGCCTTTCTGCACAGACTCCAGGTCTTTGTGAGCCCCAGGCAAATGCCCTATCCTGAGACTCTGGGTGGATCTCGGGCTTTTTCTGTGACCCTTCCAGCTCACCTGGTGCTGGGTGGGTGAAGTAAACAACCTCAGTGATTTGTCTGCACCCATGTTCTCATTGGCCAGAACCATTCTGAGGTCCATGAATCATATCGCATTCAGTTCTGTCAGGAGAAAGGCCTGGTTGTAAAACTTTAGGGAACCAAGGCTCCCTAAGAAATTGTCAAGACTACAGCGTTAACAAAGATGAAGTGGCTTTGCAATGGGAACAGCCCAGCCCCTCAAACTTTTGATCCATTTGTTACACATGCATCTCTGAGCTAACCGCTAAATGCTCCCCATCACTCCCCACAATCCCCAGTGTCCCAGCCCAAGGTGAAGAGAGGCATGAGCGGGCCATTACTGCACATCTGGGCCCAGCAAACTCTGAGGAATCCAGATTGGAATCCCAGGAAGGATCTTATTCAGTAGTTGACCACAGAATAGCCGAGTGGGAAGAATGTGACTTTGGGAGTCCCACGCATCTGCCTTGAATCCAAGCTCTGCTGCTTGCTAGCTGGTGACCTAGTTCTGGGCCTCAGGGTATGACAATGGGGGCTTATGTTCAGTGACCTGCAGGGTCCCTCCCTCTTGAAAGCTCGGGGGTTCTGCCCCGAGGAGTAGGAACTGACCTATTTTACTGGCATGTACTGAGTGTTTTCCAAAACAAAGTCTGGTTACTAATTACCTGACCTACATTCCCTGTGATTGCAATGGCAGGTGGCATATCTGCACATTTCTAAGGAGGAACTGGAAAGGAGCTAATAGGAAGCACTTAGAGGCGAGGCCCTAAGGCTCGTATTGGTTGGGCAGAATTCTGAAATTCTGATTGATGCTATTCTCCATCAACGAAAAGGGGATTTTGGAAGATCCCCTTAGTCTTTAAACACAGAGAAGCACTGTCCTAATATTTTCCTGGTTATAAAAAATAATATGAGCTTATTCTATATATTACATTGCAGGCATGATGGCTCAGGAAGCCTACTGCTGCCTTCCCCCTGCTTCCTCAGCCCCCAGGATAATGTGGTTAACCGTTTGGCTTATATTCTTGTGGGTATTTTCTCCATAGAAACAAACATATAAATCTATTATCTTATGAAGATGAGATCACAGTACACATGCTGATTTGCAGGTTGCTTTTTATACTTAACTGTGTATTTTGGACATTTGTCCATGTCTGTACATGTGATCTATTTTATTCCTTTTAATAAGACATCTTAATGCATTGGGAAATCTAGAAAAGGGAAGAAACCATGAAGCATATAAAGCTTTTCTTTCATTTTAAATATTATTTCTGTATTGGGAAGAGCAGAACATCTGAAATTGTTTTCAAATACTTTAAATAGCATTTACATTTTAAAAATCACAGGAATGATAGTTGTACTGTTGTAGAAAATCAGTGAATACATGGG
Source organism: Homo sapiens (assembly GCF_000001405.40). Classification (NCBI taxonomy): domain Eukaryota; kingdom Metazoa; phylum Chordata; class Mammalia; order Primates; family Hominidae; genus Homo; species Homo sapiens. The sequence continues at coordinate 91,527,443 of NC_000010.11, read as the reverse complement.
AAAGACTCAGTATGCCATTCTGACCATTCCTTATTATTATGTCCATTTTGTCTTCAATTCAACTATTCAGATAATAAAAATCTTTCTGTGGTAGGAAAAATACTGGCCCCCAAAGATGTTCATGCCCCAGTCTCACGAAGCTGTGAATGTTACCTTACATGGCAAGTGGGACTCTGCCGATATGATTGAATGAAGGATTTTGAGATGGGTAAATTATTCTGGATTATCTGAATGGGCCCCAGGTAATCACAGAGGCCCTTGTGAGTGAAAGAGGGAGGCAGGAGAGTTGATGACACCCTGTGGCTTTGAAGATGAGGAAAGGGGTCACCAGCCAAGGCCAGTGGGCAGCATCTGGAAGCTGGAAAAGGCAGGAAGCTGTTTCTCCCCTAGAGCCTCCAAAAGGGACGCAGCCCTTCTGACACCGTGATTTTAGCCCAGTAAGACCTATTTTGCACTTTTCATCTCCAGAACTGTGGGATAATAAATTTGTATGGTTTTAAGCCTCTGAATTTGTAGTAATTTGTTATAGCAGCCGTAGGAAACAAGCCCACCTTCATTCATTTGTTTGGCATGCTTACAAATGCTGCGTCTGAAACCGTGAAACCACGACACATCTTGTGATTCTGGGTGACCGGGAACTAACTAACCCAGTTCTCCATATAACATGGTCCTCTGGGGGAACCAAAGTTGGTGTGTGGAAATCTTTTTAGGTTATTGAAATCAAAAAGAAAAACGACAGGAAAAGCTATTAACTTCCAGGAGGATGTACACAGACCCTGGGAGCCCATGGACTCAAGGATTTAAAGTGCCAGAAAGGAGGTAGACTACATATACTCACCCTACTTAATGGATGAATCATGGAGGCTCTGTGAGGTTACTTGTCCAAGGTCACAGGATGAGCTAGGGCCTGAGCAAAAGATGGTCTTCTCTCTCCAGTTCTGTGATGGTTCCTTTGATCTTTAACGGGAACATGCTGGGGCTTGCCACAGGGCCATCAGCATCTTCTGACAGCCATCCACTCTCTGCCAGGCTTCCACTGAGGGGTGGCAGGCAGAAGATGGGTGGGCCCAGATTTGCCCATCCTGGGGGGACTTCCTTTGCAACCTGCTTGCTCCTCATCCACCTCAGCTGGCAGCCTGCCAAGCTCCCTGCTCAGAATCACCAGTGTGGGGTTTGGTACCCCAATCTTGGTCCCTTGTGGTTCTAGATAACAGAGCAATAACCCAGGCAGTCTCCCTGGGTGGCCACGATTTGTGTTTGGTTTGAATTTCCCAATGCCCTCCTTTGAAGGGTCAGAGCAGGGAGAGCTTGGCAGCTGCATCCTCAGCTGTGACGTGCACAGAGAGCTTCCCAACTTTTCATTTGACCACTGGAACCTCAGAAGTGACAGTTGAGTAAGAAAAGTAGGTCACTTGGTACAAAGTGGGGGATTTATTCCTAGATCTCCTTGGACCAGGAAAGTGATCATAGGCTCTTGGCACCTCAGAGGTCAATGCATAATAAACAAGGGCAGTTGTGTAACTTTTACTTAATAAATCACTGAGCACTGATTAGGTGGGCTCTGGTTGGGGCTGTTCATACTCTCAAAGAAGCCCAATTCAGCAACAAAATCTGGAGACAGAAGCCACGTTGATCAGGCACCTTCTGTCTAGGCACTTCACAGGCAGTGTTGCTAGGGTTAGGTACCTGGTATCCATCACCCCTGCTCCGCGCAGGGTTCTAATAGATGGAGTCAACACAAGGCTAACTGAAGAGCAAACTGTCTTCTATAGCATTCAACTCCCAAGTACAGGGCTCTTTTGTCAAATCAGTTTGGAGAAGATCTTGCCTGACTGCTAGCTGTCACTCAAATCTCTTTCCCCTCCTCTTAGATAACAGCTGGACTAATTTTCCAGACTCCTTCACAGTGAGGTGTGGCTGTGTGTGGTAGATGTGCAGGTATGCCTCCAGATGGGCCTTGCTGCAGCAAGTGCAGTCAGTAGACAGTCTCCTGCCATCACCTCCGTCAGGGCCGGCCTCAGCTACAGAGCCTCATCCACTTTGCCTAATGTCACACCCTTCCAGGAGCCTCCTACCTCTGGGGACCACTTGAGGCGCGGCTATTTTGGCTCAATAAAGGACACCACCAATGGGTAACATCCACTGTAGAGGTCCCCACTGGGTTGGCCGTTGGTTTGTCAGGACTGTGTCACGGCTTGACTTCTCCTTCTGCCCAATTCTGTTTCTTCTCCCTTTCCATTCACAAGTATTGACTCCTAATACTTGGAGTGAATCCATCTTGCTTTCTCCTTCAGCCCGCTGAATATGGACTCCAACGGTGCCCTAGGGGATGGTGGAGCCACCAGATGGAAGGAGCCTGGTGATCCCGAGAAGGAGAGATGCCTCGCTGACCTGAACATCTTTCCAGAACTGTTAAGTGAGTTAGAAATGAACTTCTACTATACAAAGCCGCTGAAATTTGGGCATCTGTTACTTTAGTTGGCCTACTGAAGCTTCTCTCCTCTCCTCACTTACCTCTCCAGATGCAATGGCAGGTCTTTCGGGGTGGGGGTGGGGCACTGATCAGAACTGCCTGGAAGCTCAAGTACCCACTATACCTAGGCTCAGGCAGGCCAGAGATTCCCAGAGAACGAGAGAGAAGAACAAGGCTTGAAGTGCCTTTTCTGTGCAGAAATCCATACTTTATCAAAATGTGGCCAATTGCTACCAGGCTCTCCTCAATAAAGAAGCAACTGCCCTCCCTTGGGGGCAGCAGTCAGAGTGGAGAGAAAATAAGTTCTCATTCTAACTCTCCTTGAGGGAGAGGAAAATCAAAGTCCTGTGTTTTCTGTAGGAAGGTTGGTATGCAGGAAGAGGAGCCATTTACCCAAGAATGGGAAAATTCAATTCTTTCAACAATTTATAAAGAGGTACATAATGTGGATGGATAGATGGTATATATCAGTAGATAGATTATACATAGGTAATAGAGATGGTAGACAGATAAGGATGATAGAGACAGATACATGATAGGTTGATATGTAGAGAGATGATAGGTTGGTAGCTGGATAGGTAAGTAGGTAGGAAATCGAGGCTCAGAGATATTGAGGTAGGTTCTTATGGTCATATAACTAGTATGTGACAGAGGAGGATTCAACTTTAGGTCTAGTTTGACTCAGAAGTGGGATTCAGGCTGGGCGTGGTGGCTCACCCCTGTAATCCCAGCACTTTGGGAGGCTGAGGCGGGTGGACCATTTGAGGTCAGGAGTTTGAGACTAGTTTGGCCAACATGCTGAAACCCCATCTCTACTAAAAATACAAAAAAATTAGGCAGGTGTGGTGGCACATGTCTGTAGTCCCAGCTACTGGGGAGGCTGAAGCAGGATAATTGCTTGAACCTGGGAGGTGGAGGTTGCAGTGAGCTTAGATTGCACCACTGCATCCCAGCCTGGGCTACAGAGCCAGACTCCGTCTCAAAAAAAAAAAAAAAAAAAAAAAAAAAAAAAAGTGGGCAGGTGTGCAAAACCCAGCTCCACATCCTTTCTTCCGCTGAGGATGGCAAAGAACGTGTTTCGTTTGCTCCATACACAGGGTTTCATTTGCCTGACATGATGTTTTGTTTGCTTTTGTTCTATTTTATTATGTTAAGAATTCATCTACTTGTAGCTTGAATTTTGTCATCTAGTAGGTTTTGTTTGTTTGTTTCAGGTGAGCATTTAAGGGCTGCATTCTCTAAATTCATGCATGTTCAAACATATTTTTTACTTTTTTATTTGAAGGACAACTCAGGTTGCTGCACAATTTCTTAGTAATCCCTTTTCTCAGAACTCTTGTCATGGTTTTATGACAAGTTTTCTTGCTGTTTGGGAAAATTATGGAATATCTGAAGGAAATGCATGAGAGCTAAGGTTGAACAAATTGGGTTGAACAATTGAAAGCCTTTAATCCCTGGCCAATGTGTTTTGACTTGCTGTTGTTGGCAATAGACAGCCATTGAGAGCTTCTTTTCTTTTCTTTTCATATTATTTTTTTCATCAACTTTAAGTTCCAGGGTACATGTGCAGGATGTGTAGGTTTGTTACATAGGTAAACACATGCCATGGTGATTTGCTGCACTGATTAACCCATCACTTAGGTATTAAGCCTAGCATCCATTAGCTATTCTTCCTGATGCTCTCCCTCCCTATGCCCCTTGCCTCGACAGACCCAATTGTGTGTTGTTCCTCCCATGTATCCATATGTTTTCATCGTTCGGCTTCCACTTATAAGTGAGAATATGTGACATTTGGTTTTCTGTTCCTGCGTTAGTTTGTTGAGGATAACAGCTTCCAGCTCCATCCTTGTCCCTGAAAAGGACATAATCTCATTCCTTTTTATGGCTGGATAGTATTCCATGGTATATATGTACCGTATTTTCTTTGTCCAGTCTATCATTGATGGGCATTTGGATTGATTTCATGTCTTTGCTATTGTGAATAGTGCTACAGTGAACATACACATGCATGTATCTTTATAAAAGAATGATTTATATTCCTTTGGGTACATACCTAGTAATGGGATTGCTGAGTGAAATGTTATTTCTGCTTCTAGATCTTTGAGGAATCGCCACACTGTTTTCCACAATGATTGAACTAATTTACATTCCCACCAACAGTGTAAAAGCGTTCCTTTTTCTCTGAAACCTCACCAGCATCTGTTGTGTCTTGACTTTTTAATAATAGCCATTCTGACTGGTGTGTGTGAGATGGCATCTCTTGTGTTTTTTTTTTCTTTTTTTTTCTTTTTTTTCGATGGCGTCTTGCTCTGTCTCCCAGGATGGAGTGCAGTGGCATGATCTTGGCTTACTACAGCCTCCACCTCCCAGGTTCAAGCAATTCTCCTGCCTCAGCCTCCCAAGTACCTGGGGTTACAGGTGTCTGCCACCATGCCTGGCCATTTTTTTTTTTTTTTGTATTTTTAGTAGAGATGGGGTTTCACCATGTTGGGCAGGCTGGTCGTGAACTCCTGACCTCTGGTGATCCACCTGCCTCGGCCTCCCAAAGTGCTGGGATTACAGGCGTGAGCCACTGCGCCTGGGCTCATTGTGGTTTTGATTTGCATTTCTCTAATGATCAGTGATGTTGAGTTTTTTTCATATGTTTGTTGGCTACATGAATGTCTTCTTTTGAGAAGTGTCTGTTCATGTCCTTTGCCCACTTTTTAATGGGGTTGTTTTTTTCTTGTAAATTTGTTGGAGTTCCTTGTAGACTCTGGATATGAGACCTTTGTTAGATCATTGAGAGTTTCTGAGCAATGTGGTGGTGGGTTGTATGTAGATGAATTTGAGGTGGAAGAGACCTGTCACAGAGAGACCAGATTAGAGCTACTGCAGTGATTAGGTGGTCAAGGCCTGTAAACAGGCATATGTGGCACTTTATGTACAGGTACACTGTGGATACAGAATTGATGGGACTTAGCAACTGCTTGGGTACAAAGGGACAAGGACAAAAGAGAAGGAGTTGTTAAACAACAATGCCTTGGGTTAACCTGGGGTGAGCAGGTAGATGGTGTCATTTGTAGAGCCAGAGAAAGAGTAGATGAGGAAGAGAAAAGGGGAACAGGATGGGGAGGGGGAGGAGAATAGAATGGGAGAATATGAGATCTGAGTGGCTGCATTTTTGAGGAGCTGGTGGAGCTGCCCAGAGGCTGCTGAAATCTGGAACTAGAGTTCAGAGGAGAGGTTAAGGTGAGGGACAGAGTAGAATTGGAAATAGTCCCTAAGTGTGTTGAATATGTCCAATATAGATTCTTTCTAAAGGGAAAGCCTTAGTCATTTTCTAGAAGGCATTGTGAAATCAGCCTCTGAAATTCTGCCCTACCAAACTTGTTTTCTTCTAGGAAGTGACAAAATTGTAGCCCCTGAAGAGCAGGAGAATCCTGGGCTCCATGGATTTCCCCTGCTGTTTGCAACTGCATTTGATTCCACTTTTGTGTGTTTTCCCTTTTTCGTGATTAATATTTGCTGGAAATGTATTGATTTTTCAGTCTTTTCAAGAAAACTGCTCTTGGGCTTATGTCTCAATTATACTGTTTTTATGTTTCCTCATTTATTTATTGATGCTTTTATCTCTTTTTCTCTTTATTTTTCTTTGCTACCCCTTCCCTTGAATTTTTAATTTTTTTGTTGATCCATTAATTTTATCTTTTGGTAATAAAAACACTTCGAGCTATAAATGTCCCCACAAAAACTGCTTTGCCTATATCCCAGGTAGTCAGACATATAGGCACTCACTGTCATGGTTTTATAAGTAGTCATTATTATAGACAGAATTTCTCTCTTGACCCAGAAGAAATTAGTTTGTATATTTTAAAATTCCAAGAATATACATAATTTGTTTTTGGAAGGCAGAAAGGGAAGCAAAGGGAAGTATATTATACAAGGTTACACAACCATTAAGTGTCATATTTAGGACTAGAATCCACATTGACTGACTTCTAGTCTAATCAGCAAGAAAATGTTTTCTCCACTTCCAGTGGAATGGTTCAAGCTTGGGAGTTTCTGGAAAGCCTCACTAGCTGGGGGAGCATGTGAAATGGAAAATCATGTTTTGAGTCAGACAGATGTGACTTCAACTTCTGCCTTGGCTCCTTGACAGCTGTGTGACCTTGGACAGGCTCTAGGCCTGAGTTTCAACTTCCTTGTCTGTAATATGGAGAAAATAACACGAATTTTATGCTGCTGTTGTAAAGATTAAATGAAATGTAAAATTGTGTGCATAAAATGCCACATACACCATAAGTGATCCATAAATATTTATCTCTGTTCCTTTAATTAATATCCTATAGATGCCCAAGGTACTGGATAAAAATTAAAGTAAAAGCATGCATAATCTCAGTGATAACAACGGTTAACAAAGTGCAATATCTTTTAGAACATACACATATGTATACACACATTCATACATGCACGCTCTCACGCACAGACACACACTCAAAATTTGGATTGTACCATAAAGCTACCCTGTAACCTGTTTTGTTGTTTGTTTTTTCCCTTCTCAGTTAATGTACAGTGGCCACTGCCACTCACTGCTGCTTCCTTCGGTGAATGAGCAACTTGGTAATTGGAGATGGGCAGGCTGAGGCTCTGTGTAGTTTGGAGTGGAAAGGCAGCCCAAGACTGATGGGAACACAGGGCCTGGGGTGGGGGTTCGGAGGCGTTTCCTGGAGGTTGACGGTCGGGGTGTGAGCAGGTTTGTGTGAGTCAGGGAAACAGGCTATGAATTCAAGATGAAACTACTTATCCATGCAGGTCTCTGGTTCACTATGCTGATTTGGTAGGTGTTTCACCTGCCCAGTCAAGTTAAGAAGTCAGGCAGGATTTTACCTGAGTTTACTGTCCCAGCACTGTGCCAGGTGCTAGGCAGGGACATAAGAAATACCTCTGCTCTTGAGCTGCTGATATGCACACATTTAACCACAGACCAGTGTGAAAATACGGACATCTGAGAAATGAAGATTTGTGTCAGGGGTATAAAAAAGAAGATTTGCTTTTCAGATGGATTTTGTTTGTTTGTTTGTTTCAGGGGTTGGTGATGGTTCAGGATAAGGTTTGGCAGGGGAGAGAAAATTCTTGTTTTGGGAGGCTCTGGAGGGCAGGAGACTCAGCTAAGTTGGGATAGACAGGGAGAAGAAAGGAACAGAAAGAAGACCACAGAAGGCACTAGGCTGAGCAGGCAGAGATAGGACTGAACAGGATGTGTTAAGGAGACAGTAAAGGACCTATCCTTTTGGAAGCTGGTATTAGGGAACAAAAACAAATTATGCAAAATAAAAGTAGAACTTATGCTATGCTTTGCAGTTAGAAGGTGGCCAAATAAGCACCAGATACATCTTTGATTTGTAATAAGGAGGCACAGAATAAAAACAGAATTTTAGAAAGATTAACTGTAGGGGCCTTAGGAAAACTGGGAAAAGAGTAAGTCTACAGACAAGGAAGTAAGTTAGTTGTGAAGGGTTGAGTGTCTCTCTAAATCACGGAAGAGGCTGTAGAAATTGAGCAGAAGGACAATGTAAAGATAAAGCTTGCTGACATGGACGTTAAAGAGAAAGTAAAGTCAAAATGAGATTAACGTTTACAAGCCAAGGAAATCAGAAGAATAAGATTGCCAGTGACAGAAATAGACAAGGCAGCCATATTGAAAGTCTTATAGGTGGAGGTGGCCTATATGGTTGGAAACACAGCACAAGATTGTGCTTGAGAAACTCCTGAAATAATTCTGTATTTTTTCATTGTAATTTGTGTGTGTGCAAGTACACATAGGAAAACTAGTCTGGTTACAGAAAAACCTACCAGTGGCCGGGCATGGTGGCTCATGCCTGTAATCCCAGCACTTTGGGAGGCCGAGGCAGGCAGATCACAAGGTCAGGAGATTGAGACCATCCTGGCTAACACGGTGAAACCCTGTCTCTAATAAAAATACAAAAAAATTAGCCGGGCATGGTGGCAGGCGCCTGTAGTCCCAGTTACTCGGGAGGCTGAGGCAAGAGAATGGCGTGAACCCGAGAGGCGGAGCTTGCAGTGAGCCAAGATCACACCACTACATTCCAGCCTGGGCAACACAGTGAGACTCCATCTCAAAAAAAAAAACAAAAAAACAAAAAACCCACAAAAACCTACCAGCTTAACTCAGTGGCGACTAATGCTTCTATTGTATGTATGCCCATGTGTTCAGTCATAATCTCTAAAGGGCATGAAAACATTGAGCTGCATAATTGTCACGAAAACCCTTAAGAAATTTTCTTGCTATGATACACATTTAAGGTTTCATAAGATACTCAGAATTAATTTGCTGCTTATGTTTATAAAGAATAAGTGAGTATGAAGCTGAGGATTAGCCTCCTGCTGAAATATAATGGGCACTCAATAAACAAGTGTTGAACAAATTCACAAACATTAGTGCAATGGGTATGCTTCTATAGACCAAGCTGAAATGGAAGAGGCCATCTAGTACTATAAACTTTTATAAATTTTGGACAACATATATCTATAAAAAATATATATCCAAGCTTGAAAGGAAGGGAAATAATTAGATATAGGAAATAAGGAAGAAATGAAAAGCCGGAAGTAGGAAGCAGGTGCTGATATTAGGGTGACTCATGAGGATGAGCTCTCTAATGGATGTTAATGTCCACATGAGCTCAACAGACATGCTGTAGGCCTCTTTAAGGTGAGGAGCCAAAACGAATTCTCTTGCATAAATCCTAGACCTTAAAAGGGTTGCTCTGTCTATGAAAAGAAGATAGAAGAACCCTACTCATAAATCCCAACTGTGCCACTGTAAGTATGGGGTCCAAATTTACACAAGTGGAGAAGGAACTCTAATCGAAGAAGTTAACATAAAAATCTGTGGGAAACCTGTAAGTTCTTGGTTGAGAACAACATAAAACTGCTTTGCTAGGCTACTTACAGTATTCAGGACACACAGGATGTCCAGTGGAAAAGATCATCCTTTAAGTAGAAATGCAAAATCAAAAATTACAGATCACATAAGGAAATAAACCACTGTGAGACAACGGATGAACAAATAGAAAAATGAGTGCTTTAAGGACTAAAGAGAACAATTTAAAAGAGAACATTAAACAAGTATGCCAAAATTATTAAAGAAAACCATATGAAGAAATGGTATGGAAAAAGAGCATGTGAATTTGAAAAGAAGCCAAAGAAGTTTCTAGAAATCAAAAAATGCAGCCACTGATTAAAACTGAGTTTTTAATCTCAGTGGGTTGGTTAAACAACACATTAGGTACAGAGAAAGAGATGGAATGGTTGAATGAGATGGTCCAACATATGTTCAACAGGAAAAATTAGAACAGGAAAAAGCAATAGCCAAAGAGGAAACAGCTTAAGAATTTTTCCATAATTGATGAAAGATACAAATCTATAGATTCAAGAACCATAATGAATCTCAAGTGGGAGAAAAAATACACATACACATGTTGGCTTTGATGTTCTACCATTTTTTGAAAAAAAAAAAAATCTTAAAAGTAGCCAGAGAAAAAAGAGAGATTACCAAGGCATACAATTATACTAATAGCTAACTTTATGTCAACAACGAAATCAAAGGTAATGGATTAATATATTAAAAACTATAAAATAATTATCAACCTACAAATGTATGCTTAATAAATCTTTCATGAATAAAGGTGACAGTTATTTAAAATAATTTGCTACCAACCAACCCTCATTAAAATAATTTCTAATAGATGTTCTTTATGAGGAGGAAATTTGATTCCAGAGGTAGGTGGAGGACCATAGAAGAGGGAATGGTGTTTGAAGAAGTTGTAAATGTGTGGTTAAATCTAAACATTATCTACATAAAATGATAATAATGGCACCTTATTTTATGGATTATATTAACATTAAAAATTCATAGTATAAAAGATGAGGTAAATAAAGTTAAAAATTAGGCCACATATTAGAAAATATTTGTAATGCAAGCACAATAAGAATTAGAATACAGGTAATAACAATAGTAATAATACCAAACATTTAGAGACCACTTATGGGTCAGGCACAAATGTAAGCCCTTCATATGTATGTTCTGTAAGTTTAAGTATGTAAGTCTATACATATGCATATATCTGATACACTTATAAACTTATATATAATATACACATATACATACATATGTACATACATACAAATATACCTGTATGGAAACTTATTTAACAACCCTGTGAGCTAAGTATTATTTTCTTTAGTTTCTAGATGAGTAAACTGAGACAAAGAAACATTAAGTAATTTGAAGTAATTTGTTCCAAGTCACTTAGTCATTGGCAGATCTGGAATTCAACTGAAGCAATGTAGCTCCTGTTAACAAAGGATCAATATCCAGAATAAGGAAAAAACTCCTAAACACCAATAGGGAAAAAAAATAGGAAAACACAGGCTAAGAATATTGAACTGGCCATTCACAGAAGAAATCTGAAGAGCCTGTAAATATACACAAAGGTGTTCAATGCCATTAACAATTATGGAAATAGAAATTAAATCACACTAGTTAAATAAGCCAAGAAAGGTCTGCTAAAGCCAAGTGTTGGGGAGAATGTGGACAAACGACAACTCTTTATAATGCTGATGGAAATTAATGCCGGAACCACCACTCTGGAGAGCAAGTGGACAATATCTGGTAAAGCCGGAGATGTACAGCCTGTGATCCAGCAATTCTACATCTGGGCTATAGTCTAGAGAGCCTGGTTCACACTGGAAAACAACTCAATGTTAGTGTGTGGGAGGATGGATCCAGAAAGTGGTACATGCATTTCATGATTCTATTCTGCAGTTAAAAATGCATTATATCTAAATGTAAATAAATCTATAAAAGACAATATTAAGTGAAAAAAGTTTTGGAAAGATATATAGAGCATGAGATGTATGCAACTGTAACAATATTACATAGTGTTTACACATAGGTACATATATGTAAAGACAGCATGGGAAAGATTCACACGAACTACAGGTTAACAGAGAACAGAGAGGGAGTAGAGGGGGATTGGAGATGGGCACAAAAGGGGCTTCAATCCCATTTGCAAAATTATTTTTAAAAAACTGGTAATATTAACACATATTATCATTTTTTAGGTCTGAGTGTGGGATCATGGTATTTCATTATGTTAATCCTGAAATTTTTCTGTTTACTTGAACTATTTCATTAAAAATAGAATTGTATCTTGTTACACAGCTATAAAATAGTATTTAAAACCCTTGCATCATGAGACAGCTATAAGGATAAATCCTACAGTACTGTTTCTAGAATAAGAAAGATTCTCCCAACACAATTTTAAGGCTTCAAAAGCACTTTGCGTTCTATAATCTGTGGTTGAACCCAGCATTTAAGTCAAAAGCCTCCAGAAGGCGTCAGAAGCAGTGGTTGTAGGATGTTTCTACATCAGTACCATAATTTGTCTTGCATCACTTTTTATTGCTTATCATGTGCCAGGCACTGGATAAGTGCTTTACACATTAGTTCATTTAATCTTCCCTACAACTCTATGGGGTAGGTAGGTTATTTCCATTTTACAAATTATTTCCATTGTACATTTGAGGAATGAGGAAGTTAACTTGCCCAGCTAGTAAATGGTGAACCCAGGCAGTCTGGCTCCAAAACCTAGGCACTAGACTAAACGATTTGCGGCCATCTGGGTGAACTGATCTTGTGTCCCCTCCTGCGAAAACCCATCCTGGTCTTTTTTCCATCCAGCTACCTATTTTCTTTCATTAATCACCCATAACATTCTCTCTTACATTCTTATAATCTCCACTCTTCCTTCCTTAAGCATGAGGTATGTGGACAAGGGGAAAAGGGCCAAATGAATGGTTTTGGAGAGGAATACTTACTTAAGAGCTGAAGTTATCTATCTACGGCCAATGAAATGTTACACTTGGTTCACTTCTGGGTGTACTCCAAATGGTATTATACATTCATTTGGTGGAATAGCTGTGTGATCTTTCAAATATTGGATATACATTTCATGCTGAAAATATGCTACAGAGGTTGGTAATACTTAATGTCAACAACATACATCTTTTGAAGTTATGTGTCAGCAATTTTCCTAAGCACTAGATTGAGAGAGTATAATGCAAAGAATAGCTTGCATTTATAAAATATTTTAAACATATGGCTTTAATTAATTGCCCAAGTGTTCAAAAAATAAACTGAAGCCTGACTGACTGTATAATTTTAATATTTGAAAAATTGCATCCAGAAATTAATACAATACAGATTTGTACAAAAAAGGAAGGACGTAAAAACTTCTAATCATACAGACAAAAATATGACTGACTAAGCAAAGATTTTAAAAAAGGACAGGATGTTTAAAAAATACTGATAAATACTGTGTAATGCTTTAATTTACTGTGGCAGATACAAAAATCAATAATTCATTAACAGATTATATATGTAAAAAAAGTAACTACATGAATTTTCTAGCTTTTTAAATTAATAAAATGTAACAGTAGTGGTTTTTATTTTTTAAATGAGGTATTATTACACTGTAAACCAAAAACAGAGCACAAATAAATAAAGGCAATGTGCAATTTAGTGATAAATGATTATACATTTCAACTTAACAACAGATAACAAAAATTCTCTAGTTATTTATGGACTTCGTCATCTAAAAATTTGGCTTGCTTGTGTGGACTTCTTATTTAAAAGTGACACAGCTAATCGATATACAAGCACATCATTAAACATGCAGACCAAGCCAACACAATTTTTCCATGAGTCATCTCTACCAAATAAAAACTGTTTACATTTTATTTAAAACACTTAAATCTGGTTTCTTATACATGTTTCTTTTGTGCTTATAAGTGGTAACCTACATTAAAAAGCTGATTTTCTAGTTCAAGCAGTGTAAGAGAGAAGCAGTTTTATTTGCATATGGATTTAAAACAGAGCAAAATGAAACAAAACCAGGATGCCTTTAACTCTCTTAGGCTTTCCAAGATTTTTAAGAAGAAATACCCTTGAAATAATATACCCAAATGGAAGAGCAGAATCACTTCCATCTCCAAGAGAATAGTAAACAAAGTGACCCCTTTTCCTCAAAGATTTGTGGGTTGGCTTCAGAACTGTTGGAGAACAAGCTGATTAGTTCCTCCACCCTGGAAGAATTCTGCTGGTTGGGTGCAGGAAGCATAGCAAGAAAATAGCCTAGCCCAGAAAGATTTTGGGGAAAGTATTATTTGCATATGAACCATATGCTGGTACTAAATGCTGGTTTCATTATTATTGCAAATATAACTTCAGAGTTTTCTGAAGGAAAGCTGTTAAAGTATGGTAGAGAAGTCTTGGTTTGGCAATATTTGTAACATGCTAATAAAACTGCTTCATTTGCTGTAAATTAAAAAAAACATTTACTGTCTGACTTAAAATGCAGTTTCTTTTTACATACTACTTTATTAGAAACTCTAAAAAAAGGGTACTTTGAATTTATTATATTCAGAATCCAGTGAAAAACAAACATTTTGGCCAAAACGTTGAATTTTATTTTTATACTAAGCTATATCATTTTGACACAAGTGTTATTATTGTATTCACTTTTGTCAAATACTTTAACCTATCTTTTTCAAAAATTAGTGTTTTGGTACAACTGGTGATCAAAAAATGTAGATATAAGTCTTGTACATGATTCAAAAGATTTATAAAAGCAGTTATATTCTTTTGTGCTTGTAACTGACATACTTCATCAATGATTATTTAGGTCTGATTTCTTTTCTAATATCTTGAGCCTTAAGAAGAAATGATCATTATACAAATATTACAGAGTACACAAGTAACTAGTTTACTGCCAATGTGCATGCAGACTAACAACACTTAAAAGAATATAACCTTGAATCCAATTAGTCTGAAAATACTCTTGTACAATCATCTTTATTGATTTGTAAAAGCTGTGTACACATCTAAAACCCTGAATTTACTTTGTAAAAATAAATCTTTAACAATAAATGGCACTATCAAAATCCCATTATTCTCAGGCTATTATGTAGTTATTTACATGCTTTTCAGCAACTGCTGAGAAGAATCTTATAGGTCCCAAGCCAGTATATCAAAAATCCCTGTAAACTGCATTTGCAATGATACTGTGTTGTATACCACTATATGAAAATATGGCTACATGCCTTATGTTAAAGATAATGTAGCTGTTTGCTTTGCTACTGTGTGCTAGCAGTGCTAGCAGTGTACAATCTGCCACTGGGTTCAACTATACCATAAATTCATTCTTCACTGTACTTTGCTTTCCCAGTGGAATGCCTGTGACAAACTACTTGTGGAGAATGATAAAGTGCTATATAAAAGAGGAACTGGACCATACCTGTCTCTGCCATGTGGACTTTTCCTCACTCAAGCGATTTCTGTGTGTGTTTTTAGAAAATTATGCCTTTGCTGAACATACTTCATATTTGATTTTTTAAAAACTTAATATTTTAAAGTTGGTGAGCTTTGTCAAAGTGTTTTGAGACAGAAACATGAAAAGGCTAAAGGCACAGTAAGAGGGAAGTGAATGCTACATATAAAAGATTATATTTCAAGTCTTCTAGGTTACTCAAGTCCAAAACCTTCTGAATTTGAAATTCCAATGATCAATTTCTGTTTCAGATCCTTTTTGCTCTTGTAGGGGGGAAGGCAAAGTTGATTGAAGCAGGTATGGGCCACAGGTAAGCTAGGGAAAAAAATTAAAAAAAAATACTAAGTCTTGAAACACACACAAAATGACTGCTATGCAACTTTAAAAAATACCAGGACACACACATTCAAATCTATTTCACTCTGTTAAGAGATGACTCATCCATTTCTTCACTGAACAGATATTTACTGAGTACCTCACTTTGTATCAGACACCACTCTAGACACTAAGGCTGTGGTTACAGACAAGACAACCAATGTTACCACTTTCATGAAACTCATTTAAGAAGCATTTTGTTGGAGTCAGACAGATATGAATTTGAATTCTGCTTTCCCCACTTACTAGCTGTGGGGTCTTGTTCGAGTTGCATAATATCCCCAAATCCCAGTTTCCTCATCAACAATATAGGGTAAACCATCCAATTAGGCTGTTTAATAACCTAATCAGGTTGTTTAATAACCAGGAGTTCCCAACCCCAGGGCCAGAGATGGGTATGGTTGTTGGTGGCCTGTTAGGAACTGGGCTGCACAACAGGAGGTGAGTGGCAGGCGAGCATTACTGCCTGAGCTCTGCCTCCTGTCACATAAGCGGCAGTATTAGATTCTCATAGGAACAAGGACCCTATTGTGAACTGCACGTGCAAGGAATCTAGGTTGCATGCCCCTTATGAGAATCTAATGCCTGATGACCCGAGGTGGAACAGTTTCATCCAAAACTACCACCACCTCCCACTCTCCCCACTCCTCCCTGGTTCTGTGGAAAAACTGTCTTCCACAAAACCGATCCCTGGTGCCAAAAAGGTTGAGGACTGATGGTTAAAAAGATTAAAAGAGTGATATACACAAAACATCTAGCAGCCGAGGAGTAGATAATATAATGAATGATACTATTATTCCGGTTTTTAGTATTAAAAAGTAATTTAAAAAAGAGCATTTTGGGGACAGTAGATGCCCCTTGATGCACATGTAAAAATTATCTTCTGAATCCTTTTGGTGTCATCTCCCCCACCTACTATCTGATAGTGTTGTTATCATCATTTAGGATTCTTACAGCTATCTTAAGACTCTTTCCTTCAGTCTTTATGAACTTCACAGCATCAGAACAGCTGTCAGAGAAATCAATGAATAAAAATGTGAATACACTACAGAAAAGGAAAACATTTTTAAAGAAGTTTGTAAGATTTAAAACTAAATTTTGAGAGCCCCCTGAATTAAAAGACTTAAAACTACTAGAATCAGCATTTACTCAGTGTTTGGTCTATGATAATCACTGTGCTGAGTGCATTTACATGCATTGTTTCCTTTAATTTCAGCCTCAAAGCAACTTAAAAGTGGTTGTTCTCATTTTACTGGTGAGGAAAAATAGACATGTAAATATACAAGTAACCTGTTCAGGGATAGAGAGCTGGTAAAGATGTAGGCCCAATATTCAGACCCAGATCAGTCTGACTTAAAAAACCAGTGTTGTTCATATGTAAGATTTAACATTCTTAATTTTTTACGCACCAGACATACATTTGTATGAATTAAAAATATCATCAAATAACAAAGCAAAGAAAAAAATGAAAATGCCAACTCAGTTTTTTAATATATTTTTTTCTAAAGTGCTCTGCTGTTTACAAGGTCCTAAGCTACACAACTTATTTTTATGCCAGTGTTTCATGCATCCATTCAATAACATTTCCCGAGTTATTTAAAACATTTGTTTTCTCTTCATTCTGTTAAGGCTGAGCTTTCCAAGTTTATTTAATACTCATCTACCTAGATACAAGGTCTCTTAAAACTGAAAGAAAACAATATCAATATTCTACCAGAAGAATATCTTATGAAAATGTTTATTGAAGAAAAAATGTGTCCAGGATTTTCTTAATCCATCAGGGGCTTCAATAACATGTATTTGATGAGGTGCAGGACCAAATTATGTATATCTTTTAAGCCTGACTCTTTGGATGATTTGCAAAGGAAGCTGCTTAAGGACAACCAGAGATGGAAAAGGATGTAATTTGAAATTTGCTTTGCAATCTTGGCCATTCTACATTACACTCTGTACTAAAGAATCAGGATAACCACAAAATATTGCCAAGGATTCATGCCCTTTTAGGGGAAAAAAGCATTCTGAATACAATTAATGACTGAAGATTATTTTCTCCATGGACTTTATTCTAAGAGGCACTGGGAGAAGGCATCTGGTCCTATCTATGAATTTAAAATTGAAATCCTGCACTGGCTTATTGTGCCCATTATATGTCTTCATTTTTTGGCCCTTTTCACTGATACTATTCACTATCTTTTTCTGGACTCCTGTTATCCTCTTCTTCATTAACTGCTAGTGAGTTGAGATATAATACAACATGTTTTTCCTCTACCTTTTATTTTAGGTTCAGGGGTACATGTGCAGGTTTGTTATATAAGGTAAACTGCATGTCATGGGGGTTTGGTGTACAGATTATCTCATCACCCAGGTAATAAGTAAGTACCTGATAGGCAGTTTCTTTTATCTTTACCCTCCTCCCACCCTACCCGCTCAAGTAGGTCCCAGTGTTTGTCATTCCCTTCCTTGTGTTCACATGTACTCAGTATTTAGCTCCCACTTACAAGTAAGAATATGTGGTATTTGGTTTTCTGTTCCTGTGTTAGTTTGCTTAGGATGGAGCCTCTAGCTTCATCCATGTTGCTGCAAAGGACATGATCTTTTTTTTAATGGCTGCATAGTATTCCATGGTATATATGTACCACATTTTCTTTATCCAGTCTTTGCTATTGTGAATAGTGCTGCAGTGAACAATGAACATATGCATGCATGTGTCTTTATGACAGAATAATTTATATTCCTTTGGGTACATACCCAATAATGGCATTGCTGGGTTGAATGATAGTTCTAAGTTCTTTAAGAAACCTCCATACTGCTTTCCACAATGGCTAAAATAATTTACATTCCCACCAGCAGTGTATAAGCATTCTCTTTTCTCTGCAACCTTGTCAGCATCTGCTATTTTTTGATTTTTTTTTTAAATTTATTTTTTTTAATTATACTTTAAGTTTTAGGGTACATGTGCACATTGTGCAGGTTAGTTACATACGTATACATGTGCCATGCTGGTGTGCTGCACCCACTAACCCGTCATCTAGCATTAGGTATATCTCCCAGTGCTATCCCTCCCCCCTCCCCCCACCCCACAACAGTCCCCAGAGTGTGATGTTCCCCTTCCTGTGTCCATGTGATCTCACTGTTCAATTCCCACCTATGAGTGAGAATATGCGGTGTTTGGTTTTTTGTTATTGCGATAGTTTACTGAGAATGATGATTTCCAATTTCATCCATATCCCTACAAAGGACATGAACTCATCATTTTTTATGGCTGCATAGTATTCCATGGTGTATATGTGCCACATTTTCTTAATCCAGTCTATCATTGTTGGACATTTGGGTTGGTTCCAAGTCTTTGCTATTGTGAATAATACCGCAATAAACATATGTGTGCCTGTGTCTTTATAGCAGCATGATTTATAGTCCTTTGGGTATATACCCAGTAATGGGATGGCTGGGTCAAATGGTATTTCTAGTTCTAGATCCCTGAGGAATCGCCACACTGACCTCCACAATGGTTGAACTAGTTTACAGTCCCACCAACAGTGTAAAAGTGTTCCTATTTCTCCACATCCTCTCCAGCACCTGTTGTTTCCTGACTTTTTAATGATCGCCATTCTAACTGGTGTGAGATGGTATCTCATTGTGGTTTTGATTTGCATTTCTCTGATGGCCAGTGATGGTGAGCATTTTTTCATGTGTTTTTTGGCTGCACAAATGTCTTCTTTTGAGAAGTGTCTGTTCATGTCCTTCGCCCACTTTTTGATGGGGTTGTTTGTTTTTTTCTTGTAAATTTGTTTTGAGTTCATTGTAGATTCTGGATATTAGCCCTTTGTCAGATGAGTAGGTTGTGAAAATTTTCTCCCATTTTGTAGGTTGCCTGTTCACTCTGATGGTAGTTTCTTTTGCTGTGCAGAAGCTCTTTAGTTTAATTAGATCCCATTTGTCAATTTTGTCTTTTGTTGCCATTGCTTTTGGTGTTTTAGACATGAAGTCCTTGCCCATGCCTATGTCCTGAATGGTAATGCCTAGGTTTTCTTCTAGGGTTTTTATGGTTTTAGGTCTAACGTTTAAGTCTTTAATCCATCTTGAATTGATTTTTGTATAAGGTGTAAGGAAGGGATCCAGTTTCAGCTTTCTACATATGGCTAGCCAGTTTTCCCAGCACCATTTATTAAATAGGGAATCCTTTCCCCATTGCTTGTTTTTCTCAGGTTTGTCAAAGATCAGATAGTTGTACATATGCGGCATTATTTCTGAGGGCTCTGTTCTGTTCCACTGATCTATATCTCTGTTTTGGTACCAGTACCATGCTGTTTTGGTTACTGTAGCCTTGTAGTATAGTTTGAAGTCAGGTAGTGTGATGCCTCCAGCTTTGTTCTTTTGGCTTAGGATTGACTTGGCGATGCGGGCTCTTTTTTGGTTCCATATGAACTTTAAAGTAGTTTTTTCCAATTCTGTGAAGAAAGGCATTGGTAGCTTGATGGGGATGGCATTGAATCTGTAAATTACCTTGGGCAGTATGGCCATTTTCACGATATTGATTCTTCCTACCCATGAGCATGGAATGTTCTTCCATTTGTTTGTATCCTCTTTTATTTCCTTGAGCAGCGGTTTGTAGTTCTCCTTGAAGAGGTCCTTCACATCCCTTGTAAGTTGGATTCCTAAGTATTTTATTCTCTTTGAAGCAGTTGTGAATGGGAGTTCACTCATGATTTGGCTGTTTGTCTGTTATTGGTGTATAAGAATGCTTGTGATTTTTGCACACTGATTTTGTATCCTGAGACTTTGCTGAAGTTGCTTATCAGCTTAAGGAGATTTTGGGCTGAGACAATGGGGTTTTCTAGATATACAATCATGTCATCTGCAAACAGGGACAATTTGACTTCCTCTTTTCCTAATTGAATACCCTTTATTTCCTTCTCCTGTCTAATTGCCCTGGCCAGAACTTCCAACACTATGTTGAATAGGAGTGGTGAGAGAGGGCATCCCTGTCTTGTGCCAGTTTTCAAAGGGAATGCTTCCAGTTTTTGCCCATTCAGTATGATATTGGCTGTGGGTTTGTCATAGATAGCTCTTATTATTTTGAAATATGTCCCATCAATACCTAATTTATTGGGAGTTTTTAGCATGAAGCGTTGTTGAATTTTGTCAAAGGCCTTTTCTGCATCTGTTGAGATAATCATGTGGTTTTTGTCTTTGGTTCTGTTTATATGCTGGATTACATTTATTGATTTGCGTATATTGAACCAGCCTTGCATCCCAGGGATGAAGCCCACTTGATCATGGTGGAGAAGCTTTTTGATGTGCTGCTGGATTCGTTTTGCCAGTATTTTATTGAGGATTTTTGCATCAATGTTCATCAAGGATATTGGTCTAAAATTCTCTTTTTTGGTTGTGTCTCTGCCCGGCTTTGGTATCAGAATGATGTTGGCCTCATAAAATGAGTTAGGGAGGATTCCCTCTTTTTCTATTGATTGG